>NC_000006.12:41575151-41878181 GCF_000001405.40 Homo sapiens | reverse complement strand
TTCTTTGGTAGCAAAGAAAGAATACCTAACATATATACAGCTCTTGCCAGTTTATAATGCACTTACACACATTTTCTTATTTGATCTTTGCAGCTCTTTTGGAAGAAAGTAGAGCTGATGTTACATCCTTTACAAATGAGCATCCCAGCTACTTGGGAGGCTGAGGTGGGAGGGTCGCTTGAGCCCTGGAGCCTGGAGTTCAAGGCCAGCCTGGGCAACATAGTGAGACTCTGTCTCTAAAAAAAGAATTTTATAAATGTTAGGCAGCATATTGCCTAGGAAGTAAAATTTAAGATAAATGTAAAAAATGGGGTCCTCAGCCCAGCGTGGTGGTGGCCCACGCCTATAATCCCAGCACTTTTGTAGGCCAAGGTGGGCAGATCACTTGAGGCCAGGAGTTCAAGACCAGCTTGGACAACATGGTGAAACCCTGTTTCTACTAAAAATACAAAAATTACCTGGATGTGGTGGTGCAAACCTGTAATCCCAGTTACTTGGGAGGCTGAGGCATGAGAATTGCTTACCTGGGAGGCAGAGGTTGCAGTGAGCTAAGATCATGCCACTACCCTCTAGCCTGGGCAACAGAGCGAGACTGTCTCAAAAAAAAAAAAAAAAATGGGATCCCATATGAGTGATTCATTAGACCAGCAGTATATATTAATATGTCCTTTGTACCATGTACTATGCTGTGTCAACAGGACACAATAATGGATGATAAATAACCCTTTCTCCCAGTCTAGCTCACAGTCTAGATTGCCATTCCATGTATACTGTAAATACAGCTTTGTGGACTGCATTTCTGTTTAATGGTGAGGAAGCATTTTAATAAATAACTTCTAAGAAGTCAATTAATGTGGCAAATGAACAGCATTTTTACCACCTAGATTATTCTGAATCGTAGTCAAAATGTGTAAATGCAATCCTGCTACCCTTTGTATTTCACAATAATTCAAACATCTCTGTTTTGCAGTTTTCTGTGCAGAGGCCTTGAATTTAAACTTAAACCATTATTGAGAGTCATAAATGGACAAAACCCATGGCAAACTAATACTTTTGAATGTTAGTAAAGTCAGCAGACCTTGAGCCTTTTGTTCATGCTTTCTATGTGGTGCACTGAAATGTGAAATGTTATATGTTTCTTATTTACTCTGGGCGATATGTACAAAATTTTAGAATTTTAAATTTGAGTGGGACTGGAGATAACATAATTAATCAGTGGCAGAGTGTGGACTGAAACCCAGGCTTCCTGATACCTAGTTTATTTAGTTCTCTTCCCGCTATCCTATGCTGGGCTTCCTAATTTAGCAGCCAAGGGAGATTTAATTGTAATTGCTGATTGTGGTCTCCTTAAAACTTTAAAGTTTTCTTTATTTAGCTGTAAATGCATGTAAATTTTTTCTTTATTTAGTTGTGTGAATTTCCTCTGCCTTGTATCTTCCAAGGCATTTGGGCTGTTTTAACTTCGATTACGGCAGGTTGCGGTGGCTCACGCCTGTAATCTCAACACTTTGGGAGGCCGAGGCTGGCGGATCACGAGGTCAGGAGTTTGAGACCATCCTGGCCAACATGGTGAAACCCCCTCTTTACCAAAAATACAAAAATTAATCAGGTGTGGTGGCACGCACCTGTAGTCCCAGCTACTTGGAAGGCTGAGGCAGAATCACTTGAACCCAGGAGGCGCAGGTTGCAGTGAGCCGAGATTGTGCCACTGCACTCTAGCCTGGGCAACAGAGCGAAGCTCTGTCTTAATTTAAAAAAAAAAAAGTTCAATTAGATGGCTGATCATTTATGATTTAAAAAGTCATTTATGACATTGACTTAAAAATATGTCATTCTTATAGACTTTGTACCAAAATGCAGAGAAAGTATCTAACTCAG
Source organism: Homo sapiens (assembly GCF_000001405.40). Taxonomy (NCBI): domain Eukaryota; kingdom Metazoa; phylum Chordata; class Mammalia; order Primates; family Hominidae; genus Homo; species Homo sapiens. The sequence continues at coordinate 41,876,303 of NC_000006.12, read as the reverse complement.
GTTTTGAGCCATTGATTCATTGGCAGTGACAATGAAGATATGTTTCCACTCCAAAACAGGATTAGATGCAGCTTCCTAGATTATTATGACTGCCTTGCCTGCTTTCACAGCTATCTTGAGGCACTGAGGGGATGTGCGTGGAAACACTTTGAAAAAACATAAAGTGACATAACAATATGTTTTGCTTTCATTCATGAATCTTCTAATTGTATATTTGGGACTTTTTGTCGTAAGACATTTTGCTATGTGAGCTTATAGATTGAAATAGATTTAGGGCTGAGCATGGTGGCTCACACCTGTAATCCCAGCACTTTGGGAGGCCGAGGCAGGTGGATCACAAGGTCAGGAGTTCGAGACCAGCCTGACCAACATGGTGAAACCCCATCTCTACTAAAAATACAAAAATTAGCCGGGTGTGGTGGTGCGTGCCTGTAATCCCAGCTACTCAGGAGGCTGAGGCAGGAGAATCACTTGAACCCGGGAGGCGGAGGTTGCAGTGAGCCAAGATGGCACCACTGCACTCCAGCCTGGGCGACAGGCTGTCTGAGACTCTGTCTCAAAAATTAAAAAAAAATGAAATGGATTTGGATAGGCCAAAAATGTGACTGGGTCAAGGAAAACACTTAAGTCCATCAAGGCCTTGCTGATAGTAAAATAATGGAGTGGATGGGTAGTGGAAAATAAGGATAGTGTGCTAGTGCCTTAGAATGTAAAGGGAAATAATAGGCAGACTAGAAAGTTTTGTCTGTGTTGCCTATCCAGCCTCTCCATTCTTTGGTCAGTATTTATTGAAGCACCTACTAAGGACAAGGTACTTTTTCAGACATAAAAGATATTATTTACTATCACAATAAGTAAGACAAAGATGCTATTTCTCTCCTCCAGGAGCTTACAGGGCAAGACACTTACAGATGAGATACAGCATAAGTTAATAAATGTTTATAGTTTGGAATGTGCCACCTTATTGAGCTTGCTGAAAAAGATATAATCTTGGTTAAGTTATTTACTGACTTAAATGTATTAATATTCTCTTGGTCCACTTTTTAAACTTTAAAACATATAAAATATACATTAAAATATTTTGAGATATAAAATATATTTTAAAATATGTAACTAAATCTTAAAATATATATAGATAGTATATTTATATGTATTTTTAAGATAACAGATCTATTCTACTTTGTAAGTCATCTGAACATTCCCTACCTTACTACATTAATATTAGGGAGCTATCAAAGAATGGGCATTGCTGCTGTGACATCACCCAGAAGTTAGTTTTTGGTGTTTGTCTTTCTTTCTCTCTCTCTCTTTCTTTCTTTCTCTCTCTCTCTCTTTCTTTTTTTAGACAAGGTGTCACTCTGTCACTCAGGCTGGAGTGCAGTGGTGCAATCACGCACAGCTCACTGCAGCCTTGACCTCATGGCCTCAAGTGATCTTCCTGTCTTAGCTTCCCAAGTAGCTGGGACTACAGATTTGTGCCAAAACACACAGCAAATTATTTTTTGTAGAGGTAGGGTCTCCCTGTGTTGCCTAGGCTGGTCTCAAACTCCTGGGCTCAAGTAATCCTCCTGTCTTGGCCTCCCAAAGTGCTGGGATTACAGACGTAAGCTACTGCTCCCAGCCTGGTATATTTCCGAAGAGCAGAAACCTGGGTTTGAATCCTTGCCTTGCCACTTAACTAGCTGTGGAACTTAGGTGTGCCACAGTTTCCTCATCTGTCAAATTGGAATAAAAAATATCTACCTCACAGCTGTTGTGAGGATTGAATTTGTTAATATATGTAACAGCATTTAACTGCATTTCTGGCACACATTAAACACTGTTATCAGTGTTGCTGGCTATCATCATAATCAATCACCATCATCATCATCATTGTTATTGTTTGGCAGAATAAGAGTAAATTGGGTAAGGTTTCAAGAATGGATTTTCTCCTTTTCAAGCCCTGAAAATTGCTCTAAACTAAAGGTAGATAAAGGAAGGAAATTAAACCTTTGTTGATCATCAGCTATGTGCCAGGCAGTGCACTGGTGTTTTACTTGCGTTCTCATTTAATCCCTACACCAGTGCTGTGAAGTAGATTAGAAAACAGGCTCGGAGAAGTTAAGGAAGGTCTTGTAATAAATGGACACCATGATGTTGACTGGTCTCTGTTACTCCACATCATGTGCTCTTCTTGCATGAGCCAGACAGCCCCTGAGAGTTCAGCATGTTTCAGTAACAGGTAAGCTTGGAATATGGCCTCCTGACTTTGGGAACTGCCTTTCTAATGACCATTTAAAGGGACGTCTTCCACATTTTTAGTTAGTTCCTACTGTAGTGATTTGTTTTATATATCTGTAATTTCACTTCCCACCCATTTAAAAGTATATTGCAGTAGTGTAAATGATATAAGTGGGACCTGGATAGAAAATATTTGAATGTATAGAATCTTATTAATAGTTTTCAGCATTGAGCTGATTTATTATAATTTCCCAGTTTTCAAGATCACCATCGTAATTATTGAAGTTGTTACCCTTCACATTTATTAATATAACTTTCCTAGGGCTTTAAGCCTAAACTCCATATGGTTACATACGTGTCCTAGGTGCTGCTTAGTGTAGGACTGATTATTACAGTCAGCTTTTGGGGAGCATCCCAAATTAATTAGAATAACTTGGATTTAAATGTAATTAAGTTAACTTTAAATTTTTTGGTGTTCTTATGTTGAAAGTAGGGTCATTTGGGGGACATTTTGTGGATGTGAAACCCCTGTCCATAAAGTGTCAGCTTAGCTTTTCATGGATACGGTTGCCTCAGATCCCCGAACCTAGAACTAGAAGTTGTAAGCTCTCCCTAAAAATATTTGTGTTTTTGCTAGGTTTCATGATCTTGTAACCTCTTCTGCCTCCTGGGACCTACTTTCTGGCCTCGTGCCACTGATTTGCACCATAGTGCACCCACATGTGAAACTTGGCTCCCTCTGATTTTCAGAAAGGCCCTATTCACACAGGGCATTTGCAGATTTTGTGTACCTACCTGAAGAAAGGGGCAAAATAGAGGTGGAGTGAGCCTTTGCATTAATGCAAACAACTTCCCTACTAAAACATTCCTGTTCTGAAAGTGTTTTCTGACCTCCCTTGACCCAAGAGCTTCACCCCCACCTAATCCCAGCTCTGCTCCATTATACTAACTCTTTTCTTCTTTTTCTTTCCCTCTCCTCCTCATTCTTCTCCCCATTCCTTTCAGCGATATAAAACCAAATTCTTCCCTGTCTAATGCAGAGCAATTTCCCTTTCTTGACAACCGTTCTAGGATCTTGACAGCCAGCCATTCTGCAGCAAACCACCTACTCCAAGGGGACTGGACATGAGTGATGGGAGCCCATATTATGGGAACATATTTTCTTTTTTTTTTTTTTTGAGGTGGAGTCTCTCTCTGTCGCCCAGGCTGAAGTGCAGTGGCGCGATCTTGGCTCACTGCAAGCTCCGTCTCCCGGGTTCACGCCATTCTCCTGCCTCAGCCTCCTGAGTAGCTGGGACTACAGGCGCCTGCCACCACACCCTGCTATTTTTTTTTTTTTTTGTATTTTTAGTAGAGATGGGGTTTCACCATGTTAGCCTGGATTGTCTCGATCTCCTGACCTCATGATCCGCCCGTCTCGGCCTCCCAAAGTGCTGGGATTACAGATGTGAGCCACCGTGCCTGGCCGGGAACATATTTTCTTCTTTCTTTCTTTTTATATATATATATGTACTCCAATTTAAAACTTTTAATTAAAAAGTAAACTTTAATGTCGAAAATGCAAACTTGGGGAGGACAGAAAGATAACACACAAGGCTGTCACTTCATACTTGGATGGTTGCACAGCAGTCGCGCAGAGGCACTCCTCACTTCCCAGACGGGGCGGCGGCCAGGCAGAGGGGCTCCTTACTTCCCAGATGGGGCGGCGGACGCCCGGCCGGGAACATATTTTCTTAAAGTTTCTTCGAAGAGGAACTCTGTGTTAGCTGTTAGGATGACACAATAGAGAATTTTCTTTCCTCTTACAGTGGTGGCCCAGCTTGCCGATCTCAAGCTTAATACTGAGTCCTACTTCCTGATAATGTGTCAGAAACCTTAAACATGCTTATACATATAATTTGTCAAAATCATAAACTCTAGATGTCTTTGGCTAATATATTGTCCTTGTGTACAGAATATATACCGCTTTTAAAGAAGCATGCCGCTTACATATAGGTCATAAACCCACTTAGCACAAAAGAGTCACCACCTCATGCCATCTTGTTATATATTTTGCTTACGCAAAAATAATTTTAGCTTTTGATATTCGAGTATTTTTGTTACCATGAATTTGTGTGTTTTTTCCTGAGTTTCAGATTGTATGCAAATATAATGTGTAATTTTTAAGACCTAAAACAAATGCAGAAGTGCTTTTTTTCAGGAAGTAAACCTTTAATACTTCCATTTGTAGATCAGTCTACCCATAAGTGACTGACTCTTTGGTTACTCTTAGCTGAAAAGAAAGATCACAGTTTTTTTTTTACTCTTACATCAGTTTTAAGGACTTGTAGGGAGTTTAATGCATTGTAATTTACTGGTCCTTTTTTGAATTTGTATTACAATTAATGAAATTGCTTTTTTCTTGCCATGTATTAGCCCAATCTTACAGATTGTTTCCCACTTGTAGGTAATAGAGAAGAGGAAACCTAACCAATGACTGTGGAATAATATGGAAGAAGATGGAAAAAACTTGTTTAATGGGTAAGAAATAAAAACTGTAATAAAACATTATTAATGAAAGCTATTTATAATAATAGTATTATGTGTGGCTGAGGTTGGCATACTATGAGGGTAATTGATCAGTTACTGTTTTGTCTAACTCCATTCTGAACTTTCACCGCTTGCTTTCATCTTAACCTTGTGAATTTTTTAGTACCACGAATTAACTTAAGCTAAGAGGGGACACAGCCATATTTGAAGTTAAAATGGGACCTAAAGACCAGCAACCATACTGAAACAAGTCTAGGGTAGGTCTTGAAACTTGGTGGTAAGATAGAGATCGTATCTGTCATGACCTGTCAAGAGTAATTATCTACCCCTTCTTTTTCTCCAAATATGTCAGTTGCTATGATGTTTGTCCCACCACGAGGATCCCGTTCATTTGAGCAAGTGCAGATGTGTGTCTGGTGGTAATCAAATAGAATTCTGCTTTGGGAGGTTGAGGTGGGAGGATGGCTTGAGGCCCGGAATTCTTTTATTTATTTATTTAGTTTTGAGATGGAGTCTTGCTCTGTTGCCCAGGCTGGAGTGCAGTGGTGTGATCGTGGCTCACTGCAACCTCTGCCTCCCGGGTGCAAGCAATTCTCTTGCCTCAGCCTCCCAACTAGCTGGAACTACAGGCACCCGCCACGACACCTGGCTAATTTTTGTATTTTTGTAGAAACGGGGTTTCATTATGTTGGCCAGGCTGGTCTCAAACTCCTGACCTCAAGTGATCTGCCCACCTTGTGCTGGGATATGCCTCCCAAAGTGCTGGGATTACAGGCGTGAGCCACTGTGCCTGGCTGAGACCAGGAATTCTAGCCAGCCTGGGCAATATAGCAAGACCTCATCTCTACCAAAAAAAAAAAAAAAAATTAGCCAGGTGTGGTGGCTAGCTACTCGGGAGGCTAAGGTGACAGGATTGCTTGAGCCCAGGAGATTGAGGCTGTAGTGAGCTATAATCATTCCACTGCACTCCAGCCTGGGCAACAGAGCAAGACCTTCTTAAAAAATAGAATTCTACAGAAAGCTCAGTAAAAGGTTTGACTTTAAGTTTATGAGATATAAAAGTTTTTTTAATTATGCAAGTTTATACATTCATGTCAATAATTTAAAAATAACAGATAACTACAATCCTCTACCTGAATCTTACCCTCCTCCCAGAGTCTATAAGTATATGGCATGTATTTGTGCAACCTTCTTTGCCTAGTGGTTAAAAACATGGATTTGGAGCCAGACCGTTTTTAACCAGTCACTATTAACTTGACATTTGGACATGTTATCTCTGTGCCTCAATTCCTTGGATATAAGGTGAGGACAATAAAATGCTATCTCTTAGCAATTGATTAGTTAATCCATATAAAAAACTTGAAATAATGTCTGGAATGAAGTAAGTGTTTAGTAAATGTTAACTATAATTCTCATATGTATCCCAGTTAGCCTTTTTATGTGCCAGCCATCCACACATAAATTTTTCTCTGATACATTCCAAGAGTTAAACCATCTCAGATACGGTTAACCATGGTGGCAAAAGCTTTTTAGTTTTTTTCATGAGAAGTTTTCTTTTGACTTCATCTCTGAGTATGCTGCTAGACTATGTGTGAGGATAAAGTTCTATATCTTTACCTTTTACTGTATATCTTAGGGTGTATATGATGTTTATAGTTATATATGAATAAACAACTATCTTCAGCCTAACATAGGTTCATCTTGCCTGTAAAAGTATCTTGTAAAGCAGGCTACACAATTCTTTTGTTTCTAGATAGCTATGTCAAATGCTGTGTTGTGTTTCTGTCAATCTATTTTGAAGGACATGCCTTCTTGAGTTTTTTTTCTTTTCTATTTTTTTTTTTTTTGAGATAATCTTCCTCTGTTGCCCAGATTGGTGTGCAGTGGTGCAGTCTTGGTTCACTGCAACTTCCACCTCCCAGGTTTAAGCAATTCTCATGCCTCAACCTCCCGACTAGCTGGGATTACAGGCGTGTGCCACCATGCTCAGCTAATTTTTGTATTTTTAGTAGAGATGGGATCTCGCTATGTTGTCCAGCCTCTCTTGAACTCCTGGCCTCAAGTGATCCACCCACCTCAGCCTCCCAAAGTGTTGGAATTACAGGCATGAGCCACTGCACCCAGCTTGAAGTATTTTTTTTTCCTTTTTGCACACAGGATCATAGTAATTATTTTATTTTTTATTTAAAGAGACAGAGTCATGCCGTGCTACCCAGCTGGCCTTTAACTCCTAGACTCAAGTGATCCACCTGTCTGAGCCTCCTGAGTAGCTGGGACTATAGGTACCACTGTACCTGGGCTAGAGTCATAGCAGTTTTGAAGATTATCTCTGATACTGTTTGTATGGCTTGTCAGCACTTTCTTAGGTGGTGTAGACAATTAACTATTTTAAGAAGGAAGAGCACTTAGAAACAGTAATCTATTTTTATTGTTTCCTGTTATCTCGGTGTTAAAATTAAAAAAAAAAAAAAAAAGACTAAGAACAGAAACAGGCCAGATGTGGTGGCTTACGCCTGTAATCCCAGCACTTTGGGAGGCTAAGGCAGGTGGATCACCTGAGGTCAGGAGTTCAAGACCAGCCTGATCAATATGGTGAAACCCCATCTCTACTAAAAATACAAAAATTAGCCGGACATGGTGGCGCATGCCTGTAATCCCAGCTACTCGGGAGGCTGAAACAGGAGAATTGCTTGAAACCGGGAGGCAGAGGTTGCAGTGAGCTGAGATCACGCCACTGTACTCCAGCCTGGGCGACAGAGCAAGAGTCTGTCTGAAAACAACAACAACAAAACAGAAACAGTAATCTCTTTTTAGTATTTCCCTCTTGAATTGCTCTGGAGTAGATTAGATTATTATGGACTATTCTATCTGCTGTGACCATAGATAGTGAGGCTATTTTAGAAGGCTAAAATATAAAAAACAGAAGTTGGCTGGGCGCAGTGGCTCACGCCTGTACTCCCAGCACTTTGGGAGGCCAAGGTGGGCTGATCACAAGGTCAGGAGTTCGAGACCAACCTGACCAACACAGTGAAACCCCCATCTCTACTAAAAATACAAAAATTAGATGGGTGTGGTGGTGTGTGCCTGTAATCCCAGCTACTCAGGAGGCTGAAGCAGGAGAATCACTTGAACCCGGGAGGCGGAGGTTGCAGTGAGCCAAGATCGCACTATTGCACTCCAGCCTGGCAACAGAGCGAGACTCCGTCTCAAAAATAAATTAAATAAATAAATAAATAAATAAATACAGAAGTTAACATTTACTAGTATGTATTGTGTGTCAGGCAGTGTTTTAAGTGCTTTACTCATTTATTCATTATCTCATTTCATCCTGTCACTTATGAGGTAGATACTGTTACTGTCTTCACCTTAAAGCTGAGAAAAGTGAGGTGCCAGATTAAGTAATTTGCCCAAAGTCACATTGCAAGTGGCAGCTTCAGGATTTAAACCTAGGCCTATGCTATTGACCAGGGGAGTGCTGGCCTAGTTAATAACTCTTAAAAGGTTTACTAGGGTAGTGAGAATTTATATAAGACATAAAAACCAAATATCTCCTGAAAAAGTCACTGTAACTATTTGATTTTGTTTGCCTGTGTGAAGGAAAATTTGAAATCATGTATCTTAAGTATGGGAAAAATGACATGAGATGATTATTCATAAATAATTATTTTTCTTGACCATGCTTAAATGAATATTGCTGTTTTGCTTCATTATGAATCATTTATAGTAGATAGAAATCACCTAACTAGCTAAAGAACGACATATTTTGTTTGTTTGTTTGTTTGGTTTTTGTTTGTTTGTTTTTTGAGATGGAGTCTTGCTCTGTCGCCCAGGCTGGAGTGCAGTGGCGTGATCTCGGCTCACTGCAAGCTCCGCCTCCTGGGTTCACGCCATTCTCCTGCCTCTGCCTCCCGAGTAGCTAGGACTACAGGCGCTCGCCACCACTCCTAGCTTTTTTTTTTTTTTTTTTGTATTTTTAGTAGAGACGGGGTTTCACCATATTAGCCAGGATGGTCTCAATCTCCTGACCTCGTGATCCACCTGCCTCAGCCTCCCAGAGTGCTGGGATTACAGGCTTGAGCCACCGCGCCCGGCCAGAAGAACATATGTTTAGAAAGGATTAGAGTTGGTTTGTAGATTGCTATTTAGCTGCTATTCATAGAAACTTGCAGACAGAAAGATTGAACTGTGCAGCAGTTTGGAACTGATTGATAATTGGAAATTGCTCTTTCATCCTGTTAAATAATATTTGAGTGACAGTCAGCAGAAAGTTGTAGAGGAGAAGAAAAGCCAGGAGAAAGGTGACTTACAGGTCGTGTAATTAGAATGTGATGGCCTAAAGAGTAAATGTGCACTAACAATTGACATTTATATAGGAACTAGGAGGAATTGTAGTATGTGGTTTTTGTTTTGGGGTCTGGCTTTTCTTTTCTTCAAATAGCAATTCACTTCTTGTTAAAATATGGTAAAGTACAGCGTAAGCGACAGTTAAAGTAACAACAAGTACACTAATAAAATGTCTTGGCCCTCCTATAAGTGTGGTTGCAGGTAGTCAGTGATGTTTTTCTCTTTTTCTCTCCATCTTTTTTTACCCCTTTCCCTTGTTTGAGAATCTCTTCTGAATATTGATCAAAGTTATGGCCCTTATTGCACATATCTTTCAAAACAATGTCTTAAAGGGTGGTCTGGGGCCCCTCAAGATCCTTTCAGGGGCTGATGAAGTTAAAACAATTTTCATAACAATTCTAGAATTTCTACCCTCGTTCTCTTACGAGTGTGCAATGAAGTCTTCCAGAGGCTACATAATGTGCAGTTGACTGAACGCAGAAGCAGATAGGAGAATACAGCTGTTTTCCTTAATCCAGACTTTAGAAGATTAACAAAAATGTAAAATAAGGCCACTCTTCTCATTAGATTTGCTGTGATGAGCACTGTGGTTTCTTTCTATCTCAGAACATTGTAATGATCCCAGTGTGGGTTGAAAGTCATGATGTCTCTCCCACTGATATGTACCAAACTCAGAATGTTGTTTGTATGAGTTGCTCCCAACTTTGGACAGGCCCTTTCATGTTCTTTCAGCCTTTTGTTTTACATTATTAACTGAACACCCACTGTGTTCTAGCCCTGTTCTATAAAAACAAAAAAAATCTCTACCATCATGGAGCTTATGTGCTATTAACAGCTTCCATTTTAGCCTTTGAGTGCTTTGCCTTAGACACAGCTGCCTCTTTAGGGGAATCTCAGAGTTGATAGCACTGGTGTGTCTCAGTGGCTGAGTGCTGAGGATAGAGTGGCTTGACATTTTGCCAATTTCGATTATTAAAAAAGGCACCATGCAGGGCCGGGTGCAGTGGCTAACGCCTGTATACCAGCACTTTGGGAGGCCGAGGTGGGCGGATCACGAGGTCAGAAGGTCGAGACCATCCTGGCTAACACGGTGAAACCCTGTCTCTACTAAAAATACAAAAATTGGTGGGACGTGGTGGTGGGCGCCTGTAGTCCCAGCTACTTGGGAGGCTGAGGGAGGAGAATCGCTTGAACTTGGGAGGCGGAGGTTGCAGTGAGCCGAGATCGCGCCACTGCACTCCATCCTGGCGACAGAGGGAGACTCTGTCTAAAAAAAAAAAAAAAAAAAAAAAAAGGCACCATGCTTTGGAAGGCTGAGGTGGGAGGATTGCTTGAGGTCAGGAGTTCTAGACCAGCCTGGGCAACATAGTTAGACCCAGTCTCTGGGGGAAAAAAAAAAAAAAAAAAGGCCAGGCATGGTGGCATGCACCTATAGTCCTAGCTACTCAGGAAGCTGAGGCAGGAGGATGGCTTGAGCTCAGGAGTTCGAGGTTACAGTGAGCTATAATCACATCACTGCATTCAAGCCTGGGCAACAGAGCAAGACCCTGTCTCTTAAAACAAAAAAACAAGCCGAGCATGGTGGCTCATGCCTATAATCCCAGTATTTAGGGAGGCAGAAGCCAGAGGATTGCTTGAGTCCAGGAGTTTGAGACCAGCCTGGGCAATATACTATGACCCACTCTCCAAAAATAAAAATGAATAAAAACATAACAAAGGCACCACATGGTTTAGGATTTTTCAAATTTTACGTGGAACCCCAGCGTAACAATAAAGATAGGCCTATCCCGCTGTTCTTTTGGTTGATTTTACCTTGTTTTGCTTTCAAAGTTAGTGCTAGTTTTGTCAAGAAATAAAGAAAATGAGGGCTGGGTGCTGTGGCTCATGCCTGTAATCCCTGCACTTTGGGAGGCCAAGTTGGGTGGATCACCTGAGGTCAGGAATTCAAGACCAGCCTGGCCAACATGGTGAAACCCCGTCTCTACAAAAAATACAAAAATTAGCCGGGCATGATGGCGGGTGCCTGTAATCCTAGCTACTCGGGAGACTGAGGCAGGAGAATTGCCTGAACCCAGGAGACAAAGGTTGCAACAAGCCGAGATTGCACCATTGCACTCCAGCCTGGGCGACAGAGCAAGACTCCATCTCAAAAATAAATAAATAAATAAATAAAAATAAAAAAAATGAGATACCAAAGGATGTTAAATTTATTCTAATTGTTTTTTATTATTTGAAGAAAAATATTCTTAAATGCGTGAGATTTTCTTTGCCTGGTGAGTTGTTCCCCAAACCCTGTAATTTATTTAATAGAGTTTTATACAAAAAGATATGACTTGGCTCATTAGATTGAGTCACTTAATACTGACTTGAAGGTTAACTAATATGGCTGTCAGACTCTTTGCTCACTGGCTAGATGTCTGTCTTATCACTCACTAACTTCAGCCGTTTCTAAATACTGACAACTGGAATGCCATTAGAATATTAATGGAAAAAGAAACTGACATTTAAAACGTGAATGACCCAAATTTTTTTCCAAAAATTATTTTAATTTTAAAATATACTTTAATAGAATTTTTTTTTAATTGGGTGGCATTTTGGCCTTCCCTTCATTGAAGGTGTGAAAGGAGATTTTTGTTTTGTTTTGTTTTGAGACGGAGTCTCACTCTGTCGCCGAGGCTGGAGTGTAGTGGCGCGATCTCAGCTCACGGCAACCTCCGCCTCCCAGGTTCAAGTGATTCTCATGCCTCAGCCTCCTGAGTAGCTGGGATTACAGGCATGTGCCACCACACCCAGCTAATTTTTGTTTTTTTAGTAGAGACAGGGTTTCACCATGTTGACCAGGCCGGTCTCGAACTCCTGACCTCAGGTGATCCGCCCGCCTCAGCCTCCCAAAGTGCTGGGATTACAGGCATGAGCCACTGCACCCAGCCCTATTTTTTCTGTCCTTATGAATTTATGCCCTTTTTAAAACCCCTTTATTGTGATTTTAAGAGGGAAAAGAGGTAAATATATTCATTCTGCTTTGTTTTACTGGAAGTCCAGGGTTTAACATATGTTATCAAGTGCCTGCAAAATACTAAGAATTGTGTTAGACATTTGGTCTTTTCTCTAATTTAAAAATCCCATCAAATTCTGTTGAGGTTTATGGCCAGGTGTGGTGGCTCAGGAAATCCCAGCAGTTTGAGAGGCTGAGGTGGTAGGATTGGTTGAGCCCAGGAATTTGAGATCAGCCTGGGAGACACAGTGAAACTGTCTCTACCAAAAAAAAAAAAAAAAATTACAAAAATTAGCCAGGTGTGGTGGCACATGCCTATAATCCCAGCTGTTCCAAGGGCTGAGGTGGGGTGATCACCTGAGCCCGAGGAGGTCAAGGCTGCAGTGAGCTATGATCATGCCACTGCACTTCAAAGTGGGTGAGGGTGAATCAAAAATAAATAAATACTGAGGTTTAGAAAATTCATTTGCATTAATGTTGTTCATCTAATTTTTTGAGCACCTTCTATATGCTAGGCACTATCACGTGCTAGGCACTATCACATACATTATTTTATATAATCACATCAACTCTGTGAGAACATTAAGACAAATTCAGGAAAGTTAAATAATAAATTTAACTTATACAGTGCCTAGCTGTTGGATATTAGATAGCTGATGTGGTTTTTAAGCAGGGGAATCAGTACAGAATGAAAATGCTGTTTTTGTTTAATACCCGTGATAATACTTAAGATTTACTGTAGTAGATCCAGAAAGATCGGAGGCGTCAAGATCCACTAGCAATTAAAACAGTAATAATGCAGGCATGCAGCGTAAGGACAGATTTGGGGCAAGGGTATAGCAGTGGAAATGGGGAGGGTGACTAGGTTCAAGAAGTCAAGAAACAAGGGGAGCATTTGAATTCATACTCTTAAATGAGCTATCATAATGAAGAGCCTAGACTAGGATCTAATACTCCCATTTCTGAATACAAATTAGTAGGCTTTAGTAACTGACTTGATTGTGACATGAATAAGGAGTTAAAGAGAAAGTCAGGTTTTCAAGACAGGTAAATAGGAGTGCCATATCTAGAACTGGAGGAAGGTAGGAAGAAGTGCTGAATTAAGGAGCAGCTAGTATATTTAAATATTAAGTGTGAGAGGCCAGGTGCGGTGGCTCACATCTGTAATCCCAACATTTTGGGAGGCTGAGATGGGCGGATTGCTTGAGGCTAAGAGTTCGAGACCAGCCCAGCCAACCTGGCGAAACCCCATCTCTAATAAAATACAAAAAAAAATTAGCCAGGTGTGGTAGTGCACGCCTGTAATCCTAGCTACTCTGGAGGCTGAGGCATGAAAATTGCTGGAACCTGGGAGGTGGAGGTTGCAGTGAGCCGAGATCACACCATTGCACTCCAGTCTGGGCGACAGAGTGACTCTGTCTCAAAATAAAATAAAGTCAAACAAAATAAATATTAAGTGTGAATTTCATGGTTTGTTAAAGATATGAACATCTAACATGTCTTCTGTATTCCTCTGTTTTTTGATATTTGTCTGAATGTGCTGTAAACATATCATACACTATTAAAAAAATTGAGTTCATTAAATCACATTGTTTCCTTAATGTACTCTTATTTTTAAGCTGATCTTTTAGTATTTTTAAATCTGTAGTTTGAGGACCATCTTTTCCTTTTGAAACCATGTACTCTGATTTCATTAGAACACAAAATATTTTTAGAAATCAATTTTACAAGGCTGAGAGCCCAATAGAAAAGACATGAATTGACAGTTCACATAAAAAGAAAAAATAGATCAATATTCACTATAACTAAAGATGTACAAACAAAATATATGTATATATTATTTTTCAAATGTCCTATTGAAACATATTTAAAGATATATCAGTCTCCAGTATTAGGGAAATGCATTCTCAAATACTACTGGTGGGTAATTAGGGGATAGCGTAAATTAGTGTAACCTTTTGGAGGCCAGTTTGATGATCTCTATCCAAAATTTAAATGCATATATCCCTTGACACAGCAATTCATTTTCTGTAAATTATGTCATAGATGCACTTGTGTAAGTGTCCCATGATAGATACCCAACCATATCTGTGGTGTATTGTTTATAATAATGAAACACCAAAAATGGCATAATTCTCCTCTCATGGGGGCTAGTTAAATGCATTATGCAGTTCATAGCATAGCATATGCTACAGTCTTTAAAAAGAGTGACATGGCCGGGTGCGGTGGCTCATGCCTGTAATCCCAGCACTTTGGGAGGCCGAGGTGGGCGGATTGCCTGAGGGACAGGAGTTCGAGACCAGTCTGGCCAATATGGTGAAACCCCGTCTCTACTAAAAATACAAAAAAATTAGCCGGGCATGGTGGTGTGCACCTGTAATCCCAGCTACTTGGGAGGCTGAGGTAGGGGAATTGCTTGAACCAGGAAGGTGGAGGTTGCAGTGAGCCGAGATCACTGCACTCCTGCCTAGGCAACAGAGTGAGACTCCATCTCAAAAAAAAAAAAAGAGTGACGTAAAGCCAGATATATGGGAAAATGTATAAGATATATTAAGTTAAAAGAGGAAAAATTTAGAATAACATACAGGATACAATTTACATTAAGCATTATGTTTCTAAATGCATAAAATATTCTTGGAAATGTGCCCCAGAAGGATGCTCAGTTAACAGTAGTTACCTCTAGGGAAGCTACTGGAGACAGAAAGCAGCGGGAGAATACTTATAGAATTTTAATGTTCTATACTTATATTGGATTTATTTATTTATTTGTTTTGAGACTGAGTCTCACTCTGTCGCCCAGGCTGGAGTGCAGTGGCGCGATCTTGGCTCACTGCAAGCTCTGCCTCCTGGGTTCGAGCGATTTTCCTGCCTCAGCCTCCCAAGTAGCTGGGACTACAGGCACCTGCCACCATATCCAGCTAATTTTTTGTATTTTTAGTAGAGACAGGGTTTCACCATGTTAACCAGGATGGTCTTGATCTCCTGACCTCGTGATCCGCCTGCCTCGGCCTCCCAAAGTGCTGAGATTACAGGCGTGAGCCACTGCGCCCGGCCCTGGTTTTATTTTATTTTTATTGTTATGTTTTGAGGCAGAGTATCACTCAGTGTTGCCCAGCCTGGAGTGCAGTGGTGCAATCTCAGCTCACTGCAACCTCCACCTCCTGGTTCAAGCAATTCTCCTGCCTCAGCCTCCCGAGTAGCTGGGATTACAGGCGTGTGCCACCATGCCCAGCTAGTTTTTATATTTTAGTAAAGATGGGGTTTCACTATCTTGTCCAGGCTGGTCTCGAACTCCTGAGCTAGACAATCTGCCTGTCTCGGCCTCCCAAAGTGCTAGGATTACAGGCATGGGCCACCAGCCACCGTGCCTGGCCTATGAGTTCTTTAAAAAATAATAATAATAATCTGCCGGGCGCGGTGGCTCACACCTGTAATCCTAGCACTTTGGGAGGCTGAGGCAGGTGGATCACGAGGTGAGGAGATTGAGACCATCCTGGCCAACATGGTGAAACTATGTCTCTACTAAAATACAAAAAAAAAATTAGCTGGGTGTGATGGTGCACGCCTGTAGTCCCAGCTACTCAGGAGGCTGAGGCAGGGGAATCACTTGAACCCGGGAAGTGGAGGTTGCAGTGAGCCGAGATCATGCCACTGCACTCCAGCCTGGCAACAGAGCAAGACTCCATCTCAAAATAAATAAATAAATAAATAAACAAATAATAAAAACTACAATAATTTTCAAGCATATAAAAACTGATAGTAATTTCTTAATATCATCGAATAGTAGTCAGTGTTCAAATTTCCTCATTTATCTCATTTAAAAAATTGTTTGCTGATTTGAATTAGGATTCCAGTAAAGTTCAAATGTTGCAATTAGTTGATTATTTTTCTCTCTGTCTCTCAACTGCCTCACCTCCTCTCTCTCTCTCTTTCTCTCTCTCTCCCTCCCTCCCTCTCTCCTTGCAAGCTATATGTTAAAGAAACTAAGTCATTAGTCTTGTAGTGACTCTAAAGAAACTAAGTCTAAGTCTTGTAGAGTTCCCCTCAGTCTGAATACTGGTGACTGTATCCCAGTGTTATTGGATACACTGGTGGAAGAAATACTTAATAAGTGTGTATATTTCCATCAGGAGATACCTAATATCTGGATGTCTCTCCTTTTTCTTTTTGTTGAGTAGCCATTGATGGTCATTGCCTAGGTCTGCTAATTCATGACAGTCTTCGGTAAATGGGACTATTAGCTAGTGGCTCTTGCCAATATATTAAGTATTCTAGGATATACAACATTTAGACACAGGTTACACACTTTCTTTTTATATTGTCTGCAACTATTTCCATTGGTATTCTAGTTTATTTTACTGCAACTGCCTTTTAATGGGTCTTCCTGCACCCTTTCATAGTAGTTTAAAGTACTCTTTTCGATCAGAAAGATTGTCTTATTTTTTGAACTCTAATTTAAAAATTACTGTAGCTTTCTCAGTTTTTGTCAGAATATTTTTTCACCTCTGTATGTAAAAAGAATCTTAGACATAGCAATTAATAATTTGCCAAAGAGGACACTGAAGTAGAACGTTATTTGTTTATTCACTCGGTCTTTAATTCAACAAAATTTATTAGGTTCCTGCTCTGTTCTCGGCACGATGTCTTCTTCAGGTTTGTTATAGTTGGGACACAGTCAAGCAGACAGACAATTACAGTACAGCATGGTAGATGCTGAATAAGGGAAAGTACACACGTGCTCGGAGAGCACATAGAAGGTATGCTTAACCCAGCCTTGGAGGGTAGTGGAAGATTTCTTGGAGGAAGGAGTGACTATACCAAGATGTGATGGATAAGTAAGAGTCAGGCTAAGGAAGGAATGGATAGCCAGGGGAATGATGAAAATGTTCTAGGGGAGGGAGCAGCTTATGGGAAGACCCAGAAGTAAGAGAGAATAGTTCCTTTGGGGAACTTAAAATGCTTTAGAACAGCTGGAGCATAGTCATGGGGTAGAGAAAGAGGGATGAACTAGAGAGGTATGCAGGATCAGACTATGAAAGACAAGCCATGTTAAGGAGTTTGGACTTTCTCCCCAAGGCAGTGAGAATGACATATTTGGGTTTTAGGCTGAATGCAGGAAGACCCATTAAAAGGCAGTTGCAGTAATGTGGGCTAGAACTGATGATAGTTTAAATTAGAATCGAGGCAATGGATGTGGAGGTAGTTTTATTCATTCTTTCAGAAAATAAGTACTTAGTATCTTTTTTCTGGTAGGTGCTGTTCCAAGTGCTTGAGATATAGCTGTGACCCAAATAGAACTCTCTGCCCTCATGGAGCTTATCGTCTAGTGGGGAGAATGACTATACATAAGTAAATACATACTATGTTTAGATAGTGATAATTGCTAGGGAGGAAAACAAATTGGGAAAAGGAATAAGAGAGTGTTAAGTGGGGAATGATTTTATAATAGAGTGACCAGGGAAGGCTTCACTGAGAAGGAAACATCTAAGCACACATCTGAATGAAGTGAGGATGGCAAGCCATGTAGATATCTGAGGGAAGAGCATTCTAGGCAGAAAAAAAAAACAGAATTGCACAGTTCTGAGATGAGAGATTGCCTGGTGTGTTGGAAGAACAGTGAGGAGGCCAATGTGGCTCATGGGGAGTAAGTGAGAGGAAGAATAATGAGATCAGAGAGAAAAAGGGGTCTTAGCATCTAGGGCCTGATTGGTCATTATAAAGATATGATGGAGAGAAATAGTCAAAGCTCATAAGGAAGAATTAATAGGATTTGGGAATTGATGGGATATGGGAAGTGGTGAAGGAGGAAGGAATCTTGAGATAGGGAACTATCACTAAGATAGGGAACACAGTGCTCTCATAACATGAACGCTGTGACTTAATTTAAAAGAATAAAGCAGCTGGAGCAGGCAAGCATAGATACCTATTATTGTGTAAATCTCTCTTTTATGACAACCTTGGGGAAGAGGTAATATTTATTACACCCATTATGATGAGGGGGAAGTCTCTCACCATAGAATGGGTTTTCCTTTGGTTTTGGTAGGTCTCTAATTAGGGACAGACTTTGTTCAGCAGCCAGGAAGATACCTGAATGATGGGGCAGCAATGCTAGGCTAAATATGGATGGAGCCCTTAGGATACTGAAAAGTGCTCCCTGATACACAATGCCACATGCTACACACACACACACCCCATTTGCATTTTGTCTGTATCCTCAGTCTTTAAGATGTCTGCTAAATCCCTGGTTGACATTATCATAGTTGAATAGTATAGCAGCTGCTTCTACTGAGAGAGAAGTCACTTTGACTGTGTCTGTACTTAACATGGTTTCAGGAGATTCATCCATCCATTGAATCCTCACTTACTGATGAACTATGTAAGTATGCATGTAATGCCTGTGTTACAGAGATAACAATAACAGGCTCATTATTCCGGGTCTTAAGGACTTCAAAGTCTAATCAGGTGGATAAAGGAAAACAGGAATTACAGTTAGGCATGCCATAATCTTGGGTGTGAAGAAGGTATTAGAATACCAAGGAAGAGTTCCTCATACTCTAGATGAGGTTAGACAAACTTTATTTTTTTGAGACTGGGTCTCACTCTGTTGCCCAGGCTAAAGTGCAGTGGCTGCAACCTCCGCCACCCAGGCTTAAGTGATCCTCCTGCCTCAGCCTCCCAAGGAGCTGGGACTACAAGCATGCACCACTATGCCTGGCTAATTTTTGTATTTTTTTGTAGAGATAGGATTTTGCCATGTTGTCCAGGCTGGTCTTGAACTCCTGAGCTTAAGCGATGCACCTGCCTTGGCCTCCCAAAGTGCTGGGATTATAGGCATGAGCCACCGCGCCCAGATGAGATCTTTCTATAGTAAGATACAAAGAGGGTTAAAAGGAGATAATACGCTGAAAGGAGATAACATGCTTAATACAAATTTTATTAAGCTTTTTGTGTGTTTTCCCTTTACTTCCAGTTTTATTTTTTAGGTAGATGAGTAAATATGCCTCAAGGCCACTGTCACTTTAGCACTAAGATAAATAACTGGTTGAAGAAGGCAGATGTTGATAGTTACACTTTAGCCTTTGTAGTTGAAGATGGCAGCCACTGACCAGCAGTTGCTGTATAGCCAGCAGATCCCTACCAGTTGCACACACTGGTCCTTGATTTGTAGCTGGAAACTCCATGAACAATAGGCTCCCCTTATCCTCAGGGGATACATTTCCAAAACTCCCAGTGGATGGCTGTTTCAGTACCATGGTATCCAGCACCACGGGACAGTAGTGAACCCTATATATACCATGTTTTTCCTGTATATACATACCTATAAAGCTTAATTTATAAATTAGGCACAGTAAGAGATTAACAACAACAATAATAAAATAGAACAACTATAACAATATGCTGTGATAAAAGCTTTGTGAATGTGGTCTTTCTCTGTCTCTCTCAAAATATCTTACTGTACTTGTACTTATGTATTTTCGGACCACAGGTAACTGAAACCTCAGAAAGCAAAACTGTGGATAAGGGAGGAGTCTGCATTGAGTTTGGCACAGTTTGCACCTGGCATCCTCTCTTCAGAAATAAATATATCAGGTGCTTGTCCATGCCCCCTAGGCTTATCTGCCTCTGTGATTTCTCTGAGTCCCCAGTAGTGCTGTATCATTTGAAGTTGCATGTTAGCTTGTCTTCGGAGTGTTTCTTCTGCAAATTCTGCATATCTTTGTTCAACTTACAACACAGCAGCTATTTGGGAATGCAAAGCAAAGGGAAAAAAGTATGTTTGAGGTTTGAGAGAGCGCTGAAATGTTGGAGCTTATTAATATTACAAGTTTTTTTTTTTTTTTGAGACGGGGTCTCGCTCTGTCGCCCAGGCTGGAGTCCAGTGGCGCCATCTCGGCTCACTGCAAGCTCCGCCTCCCGAGTTCACGCCATTCTCCTGACTCAGCCTTCCGAGTAGCTGGGACTACAGGCGCCCGCCACCACGCCTGGCTAATTTTTTTTGTATTTTTAGTAGAGACAGGGTTTCACCATGTTAGCGAGGATGGTCTCGATCTCCTGACCTTGTGATCCACCCACCTAGGCCTCCCAAAGTGCTGGGATTACAGGCATAAGCCACAGCGCCCGGCCTTAATATTACATGCTTTTATTTATTAATTTACTTTTTTTTTTTTGAGATGGAGTCTCACTCTGTCGCCTAGGCTGGAATGCAGTGGCACTATCTCAGCTCACTGCAACCTCTGCTTCCCGGGTTCAAGCGATCCTCCTGCCTCAGCCCCCCTAGTAGCTGGGATTACAGGCATGCACCACCATGCTCAGCTAATTTTTGTATTTTTAGTAGAGACGGGGTTTCGCCATGTTGGCCATTCTGGTCTCAAACTCCTGACCTCAGGTGATCCACCTGCCTCAGCCTCCCAAAGTGCTGGGATTACAGGCACAAGCCACAGTGCCTGGCCTAATATTACAAGTTTTTAAAGCCTTAAGTGTGTCGAGTTTCCAGTGGTGTGAGTGAAAAAAGGGACTGAAAAAAGGTAGCTTTAAATAATAAACCTATAGCATTAAAATGGCGGGATCAGATTGTGTGGCAGTAAGCAGTTAGGTTTTATAAGTGACAGATTAAAAATTTATTCCTTAACCATTTTGCAGAGTGCTAAGGGTCAGAAAATAATAAAAGTACTTTTCTTTTGTTTGTCTGTTTGGTTTTTTTGAGAGAGAGGCTCACTCTGTTGCCCAGGCTGGAGTGCAATGGTGTGATCTCGGCTCATTGTAACCTCTGCCTCCTGGGTTCAAGTGATTCTTGTGCCTCAGCCTCTCAGGTAGCTGGGATTACAGGTGTGCACCACCGCTCCTGGCTAATTTTTGTATTTTTAGTAGAGACGGGATTTCACCATGTTGGTCAGGCAGGCCTTGAACTCCTGACCTCAGCTGAGCTGCCTGCCTTGGCCTCCCAAAGTGCTGAGATTACAGGCGTGAGCCACCGTGCCTGGCCAATAAAAGTACTTTTAATGAAGAAACAGTACTATGCCAAAAAAAAAAAAGTCTCTATAGCAGAAGAGCTCAACATCAGCACTGGTTATTTCCTTGAGAAGCTCTTCCCTAGAAAATTGTGACATTTAAATAATAGAATTATAAGATTAAAAGGCTCTCCTGCCAGGCACAATGGCTCACACCCGTAATCCCAGCACTTTGGGAGGCCAAGGTGGGCGGATCACTTGAGGTCAGAAGTTCGAGACCAGCCTGGCCAACGTAGCGAAACCCCATCTCTACCAAAAAATATAAAAATTAGCCAGGCATGTTAGTATGCACCTGTAGTCCCAGCTACTCAGGAGGCTGAGGGACGAGAATTACTTGAACCTGGTAGGCGGAGGTTCCAGTGAGCTGAGATTGCACCACTGCACTCCAGCTTGGGGAAAAAGTGAGACCCTGTCTCAGAATATAAATAAAAGGCTCTCCAAGGCGTTGTTCTAAGGATTTGATCTAAAACATTGTTTCTCAGACTTTTTGATTTAATGGATCTTTAAAATGCACACGTGTGTGTACACTTACATGCACACACACATATACACCAACCTAAACTAACATCTGCTATCATCAACATGCAAGAAAGAATATTTTAACACCAAGAACATTGGAGACATATAATCTCTTAATAAAGAAACCAGTGTTTCCCAAGAACAAAATAGATAGGAATCTTACCCTGGTGAGTGAAATTATTAGTCTGAAGATTAGTAGTTGGGGAACTCATTCATCTCGACTGGTAGATTAAGATCCTATTTTGGGTTAGAATAAATTACCTTGGGATAGAATGAAATCGCAGGTGATTTATCATATTAGTTGGAAGTATGTTCAGGGAAATCTTAGTTGAACTGTAGTTTATGCTGCTGCTTTTTTTTTTTTTTTTTTTTGAGACAGAGTCTCGCTCTGTCGCACAGCCCGGAGTACAGTGGTGGGATCTTGGCTCACTGCAACCTCCGCCTCCTGGGTTCAAGAGATTCTCCTGCCTCAGCCTCCTGGGTAGCTGGGACTACAGGCGCACACCACCACACCCAGGTATTTTTTGTATTTTTAGTAGAGGTGGGGTTTCACCATGTTGGCCAGGCTGGTCTCGAACTCCTGACCTCAGGTGATCCACCTGCCTCAGCCTCCCAAAGTGCTGGGATTACGGGCATGAGCCACCCCTCCTGGCCTACCCTGCTTCTTTTTTTTTTTTTTTTTTTTTTTCGAGACAGAGTCTCGCTGTTGTTGCCCAGGCTGGAGTGCAATGGCGCAATCTTGGCTCACCTCAACCTCCGCCTCCCGGGTTCAAGCAATTCTCCTGCCTCAGCCTCCCAAGTAGCTGAGATTACAGGCATGCACCACCTTGCCTGGCTAATTTTGTATTTTTTTTAGTAGAGACGGGCTTTCTCCATGTTGGTCAGGCTGGTCTTGAACTCCCAACCTCAGGTGATCTGCCCGCCTTGGCCTCCCAGAGTGCTGGGATTACAGGCGTGAGCCACTGTGCCTGGCCTACCCTGCTTCTTAGTAAGACTCTTAGTGTTTGCCTTGGTACCTTGAGATGGCCTTACCTATCCAGGTTCTTTGTACTTATTTCTCATCTTCTATATGAGATTGTAAACTCTGAGGTCAGAGATCTTACATTGGACAAATGTTTTAGTGCTTATCTTTTTGTGTGTGTGGTAAAAAAACATAAAATTTAACATCTTAAACCCTTCATTTTCAAGAGTACAGTTCACTAGTATTTAGTATATTTGCATTGCTGTGAAACAGTTCTAAAGTTTTTCATTTTGCAACAGTTTTCATTTTGCAAATCTGAAACTCTATACGCATTAAAAAACTCTCCATCCTCTTCCCCAGTCCCTGGCAACCACCATTCTACTTTGTCTCTATGAATTTGACTTCTTTAGATACCTCATATAAATGGAATCATACAGTATTTGTCTTTTTCCGATGGGCATATTTCATTTTGCCTAAAGTCCACAAGGCTCATTTATGTTGTAGCATGTGTCAAAATTCTCCCCCCCAGCTCTTTTTTTTTGAGATGGAGTTTCGCTCTTGTTGCCCAGGCTGGAGTGCAATGGCGCCATCTCGGCTCATTGCAACCTCCACCTGCTGGGTTCAAGCGATTCTCCTGCCTTAGCCTCCTGAGTAACAGGGATTACAGGCGCAGGCCACCATGCCCAGCTAATTTTTGTATTTTTAGTAGAGATGGGGTTTCTCCATGTTAGGCTGGTTTCGAACTCCTGACCTCAGGTGATCCATCCGCCTAGGCCTCTCAAAGTGCTGGGATTACAGGTGTGAGCCACTGTGCCTGGCCAGAATTCTTTCATTTTTAAGGCTGAATAATATTCCATCTCATGTGTATACCACATTTTGTTTATCCGTTTATCCATTGATGGACATTTTGGTTGCCTCCACTTCTTGGCTGTTATGAATAGTGCTGCTATGAACATTGGTGTTAAATATCTCAAGGTCTCTTGAAATTTCATATGAGTTTTAGAATTAATTTTTGTATTTCAGAAAATTGCTGCTGGGATTTTGATAGGGCTTGCATCGAATCTGTATATTGCTTTTGGTAGGATTAACATTTTAACA
The DNA here is from genome assembly GCF_000001405.40 of Homo sapiens. NCBI lineage: Eukaryota > Metazoa > Chordata > Mammalia > Primates > Hominidae > Homo > Homo sapiens. The sequence goes on along the minus strand of NC_000006.12, from coordinate 41,852,629 downwards.
ATACCAAGTCTTCCAATCCAGGAACATGGATATCTTTCCATTTATTTGTGTCTTTAATTTCTTTCCACAATGTTTTATAGTCTTCATCGTCCAAGTCTTTCACTTGCTCAGTTTTATTCCTAAGTGTATTTTATGCTGTTATTAATGAGATTTTAAAAAATTTCCTTTTGAATTGTTCATTGTTAGTGTATATAAATACAGCAGATTTTTGCATATTGATTTTGAATCCTGCAGCTTTGCTGAATTTGTCTATTCTAACAATTTTTTTGCAAACTCGTTAGGATTTTCTTTTTCTTTCTTTTCTGAGATGGAGTTTCACTCTCGTTGCCCAGGCTGGAGTGCAGGGGCACAATCTCAGCTCACTGCAACCTCCGCCTCCTGGGTTCAAGTAATTCTCCTGCCTCAGCCTCCCAAGTAGCTTGGATTACAGGCATGTACCACCACACCCAACTAATTTTGTATTTTTAGTAGAGATGGGGTTTTACCATGTTGGTCAGGCTAGTCTCGAACTCCTGACTTCAGGTGATCCGCCCTCCTCGTCCACCCAAAGTGCTGGGATTACAGCACAGGTGTGAGCCACCGTGCCCGGCCCAGGATTTTCTATATATTAGATCATGTTATCTGAGAACAGATAAATTTACTTCTTTTCTTTCTTTTTTTTTTTTTTTTTTTTTTTTGAGACGAGTCTCGCTCTGTCTCCCAGGCTGGAGTGCAGTGGCGCGATCTCAGCTCACTGCAGCCTCTGCTTCCCAGGTTCAAGCAGTTGTCTGCCTCAGCCTCCCGAGTGGCTGGGATTACAGGTGCCCGCCGCAATGCCTGGCTAATTTTTTTGTATTTTTAGTAGAGATGGGGTTTCACCATCTTGGCCAGGCTGGTCTTGAACTCCTGATCTCGTGATCCATCTGCCTTGGCCTCCCAAAGTGCTGGGATTACAGGTGTGAGCCACCTTGCCCAGCCCAGGTAAATTTACTTCTTTTCCAATTTGCCTAATTGCACTGACTAGAACTTTCAACATTATGTTGAATAGAAGTAGTGAGAGTGTGCATGCTTGGCTTGTTCCTTGTCTTAGAGAAAAGGCTTTTATTCTTTCACCACTGAGTATGATATTATCTGTGAGGGTTTCATACATGGTCTTTATGATTTTGAGGCAGTTTCCTTCTATTTATACTTTGTTTGATGTTTTGTCATAAAAGGGTGTTTTGTTGAATCTTGTCCAGTGCCTTTTTTGCATCAATTGAGATGGTCATCTTTTTGTCCTTATTCTGTTAAAGTGATGTGTTACATTGATTGATATTCATATGTTGAATCATACATGCATTCCAGAAATGAGTCCTACTTATTGATAATATGTAATTCTTTTAACATGCTACTGAATTTTCCAGTATTTTGTTGAGGGTTTTTACCTCAATACTCACAAAGAATATTCATCTGTAGTTATCTTTTCTTGATGTCTGTGTCTGGTTTAGTGTCAGGGTAATGCTGGCATCATAGAATGAGCTTGGAAGTGTTCCCTCCTCCTCAGTTTTTGGAAGAGTTTGAGAAAACTTGGCATTCATTATTTTTTAATGTTTGGTAGAATTCTCTAGTGAAGCCATCTGGTCCTGGGCTTTTCTTTGTTGGCAGTTTTTTGGTTACTGATTTAATCTCCTTACTCATTGGTTTTTTTCAGCTTTTCTATTTCTTCATGATTCAGTCTTGGTAAGTTGTGTGTTTCTAAGAATTTATCCATGGCCAGGCGCGGTGGCTTACGCCTGTAATCCTAGCACTTTGGGAGGTCGAGGTGGGCGGATCAGGAGGTCAAGAGATCGAGACCAGCCTGGCCAACATGGTGAAACCGCATCTCTACTAAAAATACAAAAATTAGCTGGGCGTGGTGGCGCACCTGCAGTCCCAGCTACTCAGGAGGCTGAGACATGAGAATTGCTGGAACCCAGGAGGCGGAGGTTGCAGTGAACCGAGATGGCGCCACTGCACTCCAGCCTGGCAACAGAATGAGACTCTGTCTCAAAAAAAAAAAAAAGAATTTATCCATTTATTCTAGGTTATCCAGTTTGTTGGTGTGCAATTGTTTATAGTAGTCTCTTATAATCCTTTTTATTTCTGTGACATCAGTTACAATTTCCCCTTTCATTTCTGATTTTATTTTATATTATTTATTTATTTATTTTTTTTTTTTTTCTTTCCTTAGAGGCTGAGTCTCACTCTGTTGCCCAGGCTGGAGTGTAGTGGCACGATCTCAGCTCACTGCAACCTCTGCCTCCCAGGTTCAAGCGATTCTCCTGCCTCAGCCTCCCGAGTAGTTGGGACTAGAGGCGTGTGCCACCTTGTCTGGCTAATTTTTGTATTTTTAGTAGAGATGGGGTTTCACCATGTTGGCCAGGCTGGTCTTGAACTCCTGACCTCAGGTGATCCGCCCACCTTGGCCTCCCAAAGTGCTGAGATTACGGGCATGAGCCACCGCACCTGGACCTTTCTTCTTTTTTAATATATGCTTTTACAACCATAAATTGACCTCTTAACACTGCTTTTCCTGTATCCCATATGTTTTGATACATTTTCATTTTTATTTGTCTCAAGGTATTTTCTAACTTCTCTTGTGACTTGTTTGATCCTGTGGCTATTTTAAGAGTGGATTGTTTAATTTCCACATATTTGTGGATTTTCCAGTTTTCCTTGTGCCATTGATTTCTAGTTTCATTTCATTGTCATTAGAAAAGATACTTTGTGCCGGGCACAGTGGCTCATGCCTGTAATCCCAGCACTTTGGGAGGTCGAAGCGGTGGATCATGAGGTCAGGAGATCAAGACCATATTGGCCAACATGGTAAAACCTTGTCTCTACTAAAATACAAAAAATTAGCTGGGCGTGGCGGCGCGTGCCTGTAATCCCAGCTACTTGGGAGGCTGAGGCAGGGGAATCACTTGAACCCGGGAGGCAGAGGTTGCAGTGAGCTGAGATCATGCCACTGCACTCCAGCCTGGCAACAGAGCAACACTCAGTCTCCAAAAAAAAAAAAAAGAAAGAAAAGAAAAGATACTTTGTGTGATTTTAGTCTTCTTGAATTTGTTAAGATTTGTTTTGTGGCCTAACATTGGTCTTTCCTAGAGATGTTCCATGTGCACTTGAGAAGAATGTATATTCTGCTGTTGTTAGGTAGAGTTCTCTATATATGTCTATTAGGTCCATTTGGTGTATAATGTTGTTCAGGTCCTCTCTTTCCATGTTGATCTTCTGTCTGGTTGTTCTGTCCATTATTGAAAGTGGAGTTTTGAAGTTCTCTACTGTAATTGTGTTGCTCTTTTACCCTTCAATTCTGTCTAAGTTTATTTCATATATTTAGAAGCTCTGATGTTTGGAGCATAAATATTTATTATTGTATATCTTCCTGGTTTACCCTTTTATCATGTCATTTTTTATCTTTTATGAGAGTTTTTTATTTAAAATCTATTTTGTCTGACATTAATATAGCCACTCCTGCTCTCTTCTGGTTACCATTTGCATGGAATATCTTTTTCCAGACTTTTCAATCTATGTGTCCTTAGAGCTAAAGTGAGTCTCTTGTAGACAGCATATAGTTGGATCCTTTTTTAACTCCAGTCAATATATGACTTTACATTTAAAGTTAATTACTGGCCCAGCATGGTGGCTCCTGCCTGTAATTCCAACACTTTGGCAGGCCAAGACAAGAAGATCACTTGAGGCCAGGAGTTAGAAACCAGCCTGGGCAACATAGGGAAGAACCCATTTCTCTCTCTCTCATTTTTTTTTTTTTTTTAGACGGTGTCTCACTGGTGTTGTCCAGGCTGGAGTGCAGTGGCGCGATCTTGGCTCAATGCAAGCTCTGCCTCCCGGGTTCACACCATTCTCCTGCCTCAGCCTCCCAAGTAGCTGGGACTACAGGTGCCTGCCACTGCACCTGGCTAATTTTTTGTATTTTTAGTAGAGATGGGGTTTCATGTTAGCCAGGATGGTGTCAATCTCCTGACCTTATGATCCGTGTGCCTTGGCCTCCCAAAGTGCGGGGATTACAGGTGTGAGCCACTGCACCCGGCCAGGGAAGACCCTATTTCTCCAAAAAATATATATATATTTTTAATTAGCCAGATGTTGTGGCATGCACCCATAGTCCCAGCTACCCAGGAGGCTGAGGCAGGAGGATTGCTTGAGCCCAGGAGGTCGAGGCTGCACTGAACCATGATAGTGCCACTGCACTGTAGCCTGGGTAACAGCGTGCGAGCCTATCTAAAACAAAACATAGGCTACCAATAGGGAGGGAAGGATTTACTATTGCCATTTTGTTAATTGTTTTTGGTATATTTTGTAGCTTTTTTGTCCCTTCTTTTTTACTGCCTTTTTCGTGTTTTGTTGATTTTTTTTGTAGCGATGTATGTTGATTCTCTTCTCATTTCCTATTATATATATTCTATAGATACTTTATTTGTGTTTATTGTTGTGATTGCATAAATCATCTTTAAAGTTACAGCATTCTGTTTTAAATTGTTAAAAACTTCATTCACATACAGAAAACTACTTCTTTGGAGTTTCTGCTGGTAAATCTGGGAATGGAAACTCCCTTGTATGTGATGAATCGATTTTCTTTTGCTGCTTTGAATATGTTCTCTGCCTTTGACTTTAGATAATTTAATTATAATGTGTCTTTATGATCCTCTCTAGATTTATCCTTGTTGAAGTCCTTTGAGGTTCTTTAATGTGCATATCCATTTATCTCCTTAGATTTGGGAAGCTTGCAGCTGTTATTTCTTCAAAGAAGCTCTCTGCCACTTTGTCTCTCCCTCTTCTGAGTTTTCATAATGTGCATTTCAGAATGTGTTGTCCTGATCGTGCCCTATAAGTTCTTTATGTGCTCTTTGCCAATCTGTTTCCTTTTTGCTCCTGTGACTCTACTTTTTTTTTTTTGAGACAGAGTCTCGCTCTGTTGCCAGGCTGGAGTGTAGTGGCACGATCTTGGCTCACTGCAACCTCCGCCTCCTGGGTTCAAGTGATCCTCCTGCCTCAGCCTCCTGAGTAGCTGGGACTACAGGTGCTCACCACCATGCCCAGCTAATTTTTGTATTTTTAGTAGAAACGGGGTTTCACCATTTTGGCCAGGATGGTCTCAACCTCTTGACCTCGTGATCCACCTGCCTCGGCCTCCTAAAGTGCTAGATTACAGGTGTGAGCCACTGCACCCGGCTGACTCTACTTTCTTTTGCCTGATTAAACCTGCTATTGAACCCCTCTAATAAATTTTTCAGTTCAGTTATTGAATTTTTCAAGGTCCAGAATTTCTGTTTGGATCTTTTTCATTGTTTATCTTTTTGGTCATGGATTGTTTTCTTCATTTCATTTAGTTTTGTATCTGTGTTCTAGCTCATTGAGCATCTATAACAGTTATTTTAAATTCTTTGTCAGGCAGCTCACAGATCTGCATTTCTTTAGGGCCTGTTTCTGGAGTTATATTTTATTCCTTTAATTCAGCCATATTGCCCTGTTTATTTGTATGCCTTATAATCTCTTGCTGGGCTTTAAGCACTTAAAACAAACAACCATCTGTCCAAGTCTTTGTCTAGTGACTTTGCAGAGGAAGACCTTTACCAATTATCCTGGTTGTTGTTTCCAGGATCTCTCAACCTTTTTCTGACCTCTTGCTCCCCCTGATGTCTGCCTATGGAACTTCAGTGCTAACATCCTGCTCTCCTCTGTTTTCAGTGTCTTCTGTACTCTGGAACCTGTCCAGTCAGTATTCTGAGTCATATGAGATAGAAATCAGTCTCTCAGGAAGCCCCAGACAAGCCAGAATGTTGGACACACGGTCAACTCTTTTGTTTCTGTCCAAGGAGTAGACCCAGTATGGGGGGGGTTTCCTCCAACTTGCTCTGTGCTATGCTACATAGGAAGAAGGACATGAAAGGACATGCCAAACACTGAAATTTCCTAACCCTTTTGCTGTAATCTCCTTTTGGTTTTACAGTGGCCTGGTGCTGTAGCTTCTCAGCTCTTCTTCAGAGCTCTCACAAAGGTATTCTGGTCCATATATTGTTGTTAACACACTAAACACACTCTTGCTCTCTTGACTTTGCTCATATTGTTCCTCTCTAGGAAGGGCCTCCACACTGCCTCTCACTCATTCATTTGTTCAGTAAATAATCTGAATATCTATTTGGCCATATTGTTGGCTCTGGAAATATAGTGAAAAATGCACAGTACCTGACTTCTCTGTGTCTCTGTTGGGGAAGGATCTGTTGCTTTCTAGTCTACCATCTTGTTGATATCACTCCTCTAATGATTTTCATTTTATTTTTATTATTTTTTTCAGACAGAGTCTCACTCTGTCACCCAGGCTGGAGTGCAGTGGCGCGATCTTGGCTCACTGCAACCTCCACCTCCCGGGTTCAAGTGCTTCTCCTGCCTCAGCCTCCCAAGTAGCTGGGATTAACAGGTGCAGGCTACCATGCCTGGATGATTTTTGTATTTTTAGTAAAGGAGGGGTTTCACCATGTTGGTCCAGCTGCTCTCGACCTCCTGACCTCAAGTGATCCACCTGCCTTGGCCTCCCAAAGTGCTGGGATTACAGGTGTGAGCCACCGTGCCTGGCCATGATTTTTATTTTTAAAGCATTTTATTAAGCATTGGAGATATGAGGAAATGGTAGCTGCCCTGAAATAACTTACCTTTTGGCTGCGAAGACAAGATTTATAAATTAAAACTATCAATATTTGGTAGACTATAATAAGTGAGGGGTTTATGCCATAATCCCCAAAGAAACAATCCTGCATGTTAAAATCTCAAAAGATCAAAATCCCCTAAAGTCTAAAATCCCCAAAATCACAATCTTGAAAGATAAAAATCCTGAAAATGTAGTTCTGGAAAAAAAAAATATTTAAAAAATTATTTAAAGGACATTTACTTACTTTTTGTTTATTTTATTTTTAGAGACAGGGTCTCACTGTGTTGCCCAGGCTGGAATGCAGTGGCTATTCTCAGGTGTGATCATAATGCACTACAGCCCCAAACTCCTGGGCTCAAATGAGCCTCCTGACTCTGCCTCCCAAGTAGCTGGGACTACAGGCACATACCACCATGCCCAGCTTATTTACCTTTTTTTTTTTGAGATGGAGTTTTGCTCTTGTTGCCCAGGCTGGAGTGCAATGGCGCCATCTCAGCTTACCACAACCTCCGCCTCCTGGGTTCAAGCGATTCTCCTGCCTCAGCCTCCCGAGTAGCCACAGGTGTGCGCCACCATACCCGGCTAATTTTATATTTTTAGTAGAGACAGGGTTTGTCAGGCTGGTCTCAAACTGCGACCTGAGGTGATCTGCCTGCCTCGGCCTCCCAAAGTGCTGGGAGTACATGGGTGAGCCACCACACCTGGCCTATTTACATTTTTTAAAGGAATTTATTTGAGAAACATGTAAAAACGTAACAGAAAGCCTGTGCGCGGTGGCTCACACCTCTTATCCCAGCACTTTGGGAGGCTGAGGCGGGTGGATCATTTGAGGTCAGGAGTTCGAGACCAGCCTGACCAACATGGTGAAACAGCGTCTCTACTAAAAATACAAAAATTAGCCGGGCGTAGTGGCGTGTGCCTGTAATCCCAGCTACTCAGGAGGCTGAGGCAGGAGAATCGCTTGAACCTGGGAGGCAGAGGTTGCAGTGAGCCGAGATTGTGCCATTGCACTCCAGCTTGGGCGACAGAGTGAGACTCCATCTCAAAACACAAAACAAAACCAAAACAAACAAAAAACCCCAGAAATCTTCATAAGCTACTTTACGCAATAAAATAGGTAATATTTTTGCAAGCATAAACCCACTCACGTATATTAACAGTAGTTATACAGATACAGCGGTTATGAGCAGATGAACCATAATTCATAAAGAAATAGGTCAAAAAATGAAATGTATAAATGGATATCACTGTAGTTGGTAATTGTGTGTACCCAGCTTTATAACTGTGGTCTTCTGGAATACCATGATGGATAACGCAAGTCTTTTGATGAAATTGATCAAAACCATCATTGGCCGGGTGCGGTGGCTCACGCCTGTAATTCCAGCACTTTGGGAGGCCAAGACAGGCGGATCATGAGGTCAGGAGTTTGAGACCAGCCTGGCCAACAGAGTGAAACCCCATCTCTACTAAAAATACAAAAAACTAGCCGAGCATGGTGGCGGACGCCTGTAATCCCAGCTACTGGGGAGACTGAAGAGAATCGCTTGAACCTGGGAGGCAGAGGTTGCAGTGAGCTGAGATGGTGCCCCTCACTCCAGCCCGGGCGACAGTAGGAGACTCTGTCTCAAAGAAAGAAAAAAAAAAAGAAAGAAACTGCAACATACGCAGTTGCCTAAAGAGAAAAACAAATTTTTAAACAATCATTTAGAAAATTGTTTGCTTATTTATTTTTTATTTATTTTGAGACAGAGTCTCGCTCTGTTGCCCAGGCTGGAGTGCAGTGGCACAATCTCGGCTCCCCATAACCTCCGCCTCCTGAGTTTAAGCGGTTCTTGTGCTTCAGTCTCCTAAGAAGCTGAGACTACATGGGCACACCACCATGCCTGGCTGATTTTTTGTATTTATTTATTTATTTTTTGAGATGGATTTTCGCTCTTGTTGCCCAGGCTGGAGGGCAATGGTGCAATCTTGGCTCACTGCCACCTCCACCTCCTGGGTTCAAGCAATTCCCCTGCCTCAGCCTCCTGAGTAACTGGGATTACACGCACCCGCCACCAGGCATGGCTAATTTTTGTATTTTTAGTAGAGACCGGGTTTCACTATGTTGGCCAGGCTGGTCTTGAACTCCTGACCTCAGGTGATCTGCCCGCCGCAGCTTCCCAAAGTGCTGAGATTACAGGCATGAGCCACCACACCCGGCCGATTTTTTGTATTTTTATTAGAGACAGGGTTTTGCCATGTTGCCCAGGCTTGTCTGGAACTCCTGAGCTCAGGAACTCCGCCCGCCTTAGCCTCCCATACTGCTAGGATTACAGGTGTGAGCCACAGCACTCAGCCTATTTCTTTTAAAGATACTGTTTTGCTTTGTTACCCCGGTTGGGCCTGAACTCCTGGGCTCAAACGATCCTCCCAGCTCAGCCTCCCAAGTGGTTGAGACTACAGGCACGTGACATTGCACCCAGCTGAAAAATTCTATGTTCCACAAATGCAGATATACAAAAAGACATCTCTTCATTTATTGAGGAAGTTTCGACCTTTTTTTCCGACATACGCAATGCTTATACACAAAGCCAACGTGATGATGCACTTTTTTGGAGTCATATTTACAAAATACGTAAAACAAATTATAACTCCGTAAAAGTATATAATTTAATTTATACTTTTAGTACTGGAAATGATGCAAAGATGAAATATGTAGCACAGTGAATTGTAAAAAATAGTGCTAGCAAAGTTACTGACTGGTTCGAAAGTAATTAATGTGCATGGTAGGATAAGAAGACACATACTTAGCCAGGCGTGGTGGCCTACGCCTGTAGCCCCAGCTACTCAGGAGGCTGAGGCAGGAGAATCACTTGAACCCAAGAGGTGGAGGTTGCAGTGAGCCAAGATGGCTGGGTGCAGTGGCACATACCTGTAGTTCTAGCTGGTTGAGACAGAGGCAGAAGGATCAGTTGAACCCAGGAGTTTGAGGCTGTAATACACTATGCTTGTGTCTGTGAATAGCCACTGCACTGTGGCTTGGGCAACACAGCAAGACTCCATCATATATATATAACATATTCATGTATATATAGTATTTATATATAATATATAGTTTTCATATATATAGTATTTATATATGTGAATAAGCTGACTAAATAGTGGAATAAAAAACTTAAGAAAAAACACAAAAACTAAAAATCAAATTTAACTTATGAAAAATGTATTACAGGAATAAATTCTGGGCAGTTAGTTGCACAGAGGTTGTCCATAAGACCTGGCTGACTTTTGCAGTAATTTAACTGTATTTTGAAGTCTTACCTCATAATTAATAGCTGTGATTAAAATGAAAAATAGGTTTTTTTTCTTTTAGGGCATGGCTCTCCTTGTAGAATACATTCACATTTGACATATACTGACATGATATACACAGACATGAGCATTTCCTATTAAATTTGCCCATCTTTTGTGCCATACTTCTATGTTGTTTTGGGTACATAGAAATCCATTCCACGTGAAATCATATACAGACCACAGGTTTGGCACAAATAATACTGGTGATTGAACAGCAACACCATTGTGTATGTGTTTTTTTGTTTTGTTTTGTTTTTGAGACAGAGTCTTACTCTGTCACCCAGGCTGGAGTGCAGTGGCATGATCTCGGCTCACTGCAACCTCCACCTCCTGGGTTCAAGTGATTCTCCTGCCTCAGCCTCCCAAGTAGCTGGGACTATAGGTGTGAGCCACCACACCCAGCTAAGTATGTGTCTTCTTATCCTACCATGCACATAATTATTTTTGAACCAGTCAGTAATTTTGCTAGTTTTTTAAGGCAAATGTGGCTTTAATTCATTAAAAGCTCCTGGAATTTCATCAGCTGGAAGGAATGCCAGTGCAAACAAGTGATGCATTTTTATTTTATTATTAGAGACACGGTCTTGCTCTGTCACCCAGGCTGGAGTGCAGTGACACAATCTCAGCTCATGGCAACCTCTGCCTCCCAGGTTCAAGTGATTTTCCTGCCTCAGCCTCCTGAGTAGCTGGGATTACAGGCGGGCGCCACCACACCCGGCTAATTTTTGTATTTGTGGTAGAGACAGGGTTTTGCCATGTTGGCCAGGCTGGTCTTGAACTCCTGACCTCAGGTAATCCACCCCCTTTGGCCTCCTGAAGTGCTGGGATTACAGGAGTGAGCCACTGCGCCCGGCCAAATGATGCATTTTTAAACGGAACTGTGCGTTGTTGTTGTATCATGTGACTAATCTACTCATCTGAATTTTCTGCCAAATGCAAATAAAAATAGGATGGGAATAGGTCCACCTAAGATGATACAAGTAACATGCTACAGCTACCCTGCTTACAATAAAAAATGAACTTCCCCAGAATTCAGCTTTCAGGATTTCAACATGCTGAATTTTAATCTTCCAGGATTGTGATTTTCAGGATTTAGATATTAGGGATTTTTAGACTTTAGAGATTTTGATCTTTCAGGATTATGGCATTTGAGATTGTGTTTTTAGGGATTATGATTAGCACTGGTGTGTGAGCAACCTATAATGCAATGAAAGCTCAGAGTAGGACTTCACAAGTAGATGGGCCTTCAACCTAGAATCGAAGAAAGAATAAGCTTCTCTGGATGGTAAGCTCCTTGAAGGCAGGGACTGTGTCTTTTTTTTTAACTATAATATTTCTAGGGCCCACAGAATGCCTAATAGATATCCAAATTATTTTCTGAACAAATGGATAAGCAGAAGGGAAGTACAAGAGACCCTTCTGGGTTGCGGGGATAGTATGAACAAAGGTGAGAAGGCAAGAGTGTGGTTAGTTTGGGAGACAGACAATGAGTAATTTAGTTTGTCTACATTGCAAGGAGCCTATGGGGCCTATGGGAAATACTCAGAAATAGTTGGAGAGGATGACAGGGGCCAGATAGTAAAAAGGTTTTTTTTTGTTTTTTGTTTTTTTTTTTGAAACAAGGTCTACAAGGATCTTGCTCTGTCACCCAGGCTGGAGCGCAGTGGCAAAATCATAGCTCACTCCAACCTCGACCTCCTTGGCTCAAACAGTCATCCTGCATAGCTAGGACTACAGGTATGCACCACTCTGCCAGGCCAATATTTAATTTTTTTTCCAGACTTCATAGTAGCAGAATTTTATTTAATTAAAAATGTTTTTTAAAAATTAGACATTACAAATTCAGAACCCACTATTTCAATTAACTGAAGAAAAATAGGAGGTTGGGCTAAGACTTTGACAAATTATATTATAAATCCATCCACAGTGTTATAAAATGAAAAGAACAAAAATAGCAATAGTTTATACAGGTCTTTAAAAAAGCAAGTTTAGAAAAAGACCAGATTAAGTCAAGCCTAACCCTGTAAATTATAAAAGAAAGAACCTTGAGATTCATCCAGTTGCTCACTTCCTCCTCTCTTTCCCATTTCCGTGGAGTCAGCCACTACTGTTGGTTCTTCAAAACTCCTTTTATGTGCCAACTTCTCTAAGAGAACTTCACTGACCCAAGGTCTCAATAAATACCATTATTGTGTTCTTCCAAAATCTCTATTATAGCACTTCTTATTTTTTTAATTTTCTTTTTTTTTTTTTTTTGAGACGGAGTTTTGCTCGGTCGCCCAGGCTGGAGTGCAGTGGTGTAATCTCGGCTCACTGCAAGCTCCGCCTCCCGGGTTGACGCCATTCTCCTGCCTCAGCCTCCCGAGTAGCTGGGATTACAGGCGCCCACCACCATGCACGGCTAATTTTTTGTATTTTTAGTAGAGACAGGGTTTCACCGTGTTAGCCAGGATAGTCTTGTTCTCCTGACCTCACGATCCGCCCACCTCGGCCTCCCAAAGTGCTGGGATTACAGGCATGAGCCACCGTGCCCGGCCTATTTTTTTTTTAAATGTTAATAATCAATTCATTATACTGATATTTACATTATGGTATTTGCTGAGACAAACTACAGAAGGTATTGCAGAGTTCTCTTTTATTTTATTTCAATAGTTTTTGGGAACATGATTTTTGGTTACATGGATAAGTTCTTTAGTGGCAATTTCTGAGATTTTGGTGCACCCATCACCTAAGCAGTATTCACTGTACCTACTGTGTATTCTTTTATCCCTTACCCCCTCCCACCCTAACCCCCAAGCCCCCCAAATCCATTATATCATTCCTATGTCTTTGCATCCTCACAGCTTAGCTCCCACTTATGAGAACATACAATATTTGGTTTTCCATTCCTGAGTTACTTCACTTAGAGTAATCGTCTCCACCTCCACCCAGGTTGCTGCAAATGCCATTATTTCATTCCTTTTTATGACTGAGTAGTAGTCCATGGTATATATATTCCACATTTTCTTTATCCACTCGTTGGTTGATAGGCATTTTTGTTTCATTTATCTTTTGTATTTTTTTTTGTTTCAATTTATTTTAGGTCTGTTCTGATCTTCGTTACTCTTTTCTTCTGCTGTGTTTGGGTTTGGTTTGTTATTTCTCTAGTTCCTTGAGGTGTGGCCTTAGATTGTCTATTTATGCTCTTGCAGACTTTTTTTTTTTTTTTTTTTTTTTTTTTTTTTTGAGACAAGGCCTGGCTCTATTGTCCAGACTGGAGCGCAGTGGCACAATCTTGCTCATTGCAACCTCCGCCTCCTGGGCTCAAGCTATCTTCCCACCTCAGCCTCCCAAGTGGCTGGGACTACAGGCATATGCCACCACACCCAGCTAATTTTTGTATTTTTTGTAGAGACAGGGTTTGCCATGTTGCCCAGGCTGGTCTCACACTCCTAAGCTCAAGCAATCCACCTGTCTCAGCCTTCCAAAGTACTAGGATTATAGGCATGAACCACCACACCAGGACTCTTTCAGACTTTTTGATGTAGACATTAAATGCTATGAACTTTTCTCTTAGCACCACTTTTGCTATGTCCCAGGGGTTTAATAGATTGTGTCACTATTATCGTTTAGTTCCAAGAATTTTTTAAATTTCCATCTTGATTTCATTGTTGACCCAAAGATTATTCAAGACCAGATTATTTAATGTCCATAGTTTCGAGCGTTCCTTTTGGAGTTAATTTCCAGTTTTATTCCACTGTGGTCTGAGAGGATACTTGATATAATTTTCATTTTCCTAAATTTATTGAGACTTGTTTTGTGACCTATATGTGGTCTATCTTGGAGAATGTTCCATGTGCTGATAAAAGAATGTATATTCTGCAGTGGTTTGGATCCATTGTTGGGGAGCTAGTGTGGTCTTTTGAGGGTGTTATAGAACCTAGTTTTGTCATATTAGCAAAATTACTTTTCTGATTCCTTCTCATTTGGGTAGACTATTTCAGTGGAAAAATCTGGAACTCAAAGCCTGATGTTCAGATTTATTTATACCACAGAGTGATCCCTTGATGTGGTGCTCTCCCCCTTCCCCTAGGGATAGGGCTTCCTTAGAGCTGGACTGCAGTGATAATTACTGCTCTTTTGGGTCTAGCTACCCAGTGGAGCTACCAGGCCCTGGGCTGGTTCTGGGGAATATCTGCAAAGAGTCCTGTGATAGATTCCTCTTCAGGTCTCCCAGCCATGGATAATAGCACCTGCTCTGGTGGAGGTGACAAGGGAGTGAAGTACACTCTGTGAGAGTCCTTGGTTGCAGATATGTTTGGTGGGCTGGCTCTCTCAAATGCTGGTTATGCTAGCAGTGAAACTGTCATGTGGATAGACGCAGGACCTCTGGTTAGCCAGGATGTTGCAGGCAGTGGAATTACCCAGTCTGCCATTGATGGGCATTTAGATTGGTTCTATGTCTTTACTATTGTGATTATTGCTGCAGTGAACATATGCATGCATGTGTCTTTATGGTAGAGTGATTTATATTCCTTTGGGTATATAACCAATAATGGGATTGCTGGGTTAAATAGTAGTTCTGTTTTAAGTTCTTTGAGAAATCACCAAACTGCTTTCCACAGTAGCTGAACTAATTTACATTCCCACTAGTATTGTATAAGTGGTCCCTTTTCTCCACATCTTTGCCATCATCTGTGATGTTTTTGACTTTTAAATAATAGCATTCTAACTGCTGTGAGATGGTATCTCATTGTGGTTATTTGCATTGCTCTAATGATTAGTGATGCTGAGCATTCTTTTCATATGCTTGTTGGCCACCATATGTCTTCTTTTGAAAAATGTATGTTCATGTCCTTTGCCCACTTTCTAATGGGGCTGTTTGTTTTTTGCTTGTTAATTTAAGTTCCTTATAGCTTCTGGATATTAGACCTTTGACAGATGCATAGCTTGCAAATATTTTCTCCCATTCTGTGGGTTGTCTGTTCACTCTGCTGATAGGTTTTGTTGTTGTTGTTGTTCTTTGCTATGCTCTTTAATTAGGTGCCATTTGTCAATTTTTGCTTTTGCTGCAATTGCTTTTGGGGTCTTCGTCGTGAAATCTTTGCCAGGGCCTGTGTCCAGAATGGTATTTCCTAGGTTTTCTAGAGGTTTTATAGTTTTAGGTTTTACTTTTAAGTCTTTAACCCATGTTGAGTTGATTCTTGTAGATGGTGTAAGGAAGAAGTCCAGCTTCAATCTTCTGCATATGGCTTGCCAGTTATTCCGGTGCCATTTATTGAATAGGGAGCCCTTTCCCCATTGCTTTTGTCGACTTTGTTGAGTATCAGATGGTTGTAGGTGTACGTTTTTATTTCTGAGCTCTCTATTCTGTTCCATTGGACTGTGTGTCTGTTTTTATATCAGTACCATGCTGTTCTGGTGACTGTAGCCTTAAAGTATAGTTTGAAGTTGGGTAACAGTGATGCCTCCAGCTTTGTTCTTTTGCTTATGATTGCGTTGGCTATTCAGGCTCTTTTTTGGTTCCATATGAATTTTAGAATAGTTTTTTTCTAATTCTGAGAAGAATGTCATTGGTAGTTTGATAGGGATAGCACTGAATCTGTAGATTGCTTTGGGCAGTATGACCATTTAAACAATATTGATTCTTCTTATCCATGAGCATAGAGTATTTTTCCATTTGTGTCATCTCTGATTTCTTTGAGCAGTGTTGTAATTCTCGCTGTAGAGATCTTTCACCTCCCTGATTAGCTGTATTCCTAGGTATTTTGTTTGTGTGTGTGTGTGTGTGTGCGTGTGTGTGTCTGTTCTGAATGAGATCATACTCTTCATTTGGCACTCAGTTTGGATACTGTTGGTGTATAGAAATGCTACTGATATTTGTACATTGATTTTGCACCCTGAAACTTTACTGAAGTTGTTTATAAGATCTAGGATCTTTTGGCCAGATACTATGGGGTTTTCTAGGTATAAAATTATTTTGTATTTTGTATTTTTATTTATCGATTTACTTTTTCTTATGCTACCTTGTCCAAGATCTAGTTATAACATTATATCATCTGCAAATATAGTTTGACTTCTTCTCTTCCTATTTGGATGCCTTTTACTTCTTTTTCTTGCCTGATTGTTCTGGTTAGGAATTCCAGTACTACGCTGAGTAGGAGCCGTGAGAGTGAGCATTCTTATCTTGTTCCAGTTCTCAGGTAGAATGCTTCTAACTTTTACCCATACCGTATGATGTTGGCTGTGGGTTTGTCATAGATGGCTGTTATTATTTTGAGATACGTTCTTTCAGTGCCTAGTTTGTTGAGGATTTTCAACATGAAGCAATGTTGAATTTTATCAGAAGTCTTTTCTGCATCTATGGAGATGATCATGTGGTTTTTATTTTTAGTTTTCTTTATGTGGTCAGGGTGTCCTATTTCAGAGCCTTTGGGTACTGCTTTGTGAAGAAAGACCTAGTGTTCTCTATGAGCCAAAAAACCCCCTTCTTTTTCAACTCCCTTCCAGCTTACTCTACCTATGTCTGTTAACTGTTTTCTTACTCAATTTGTATTGTATTTATTTATTTTGTATACAGAGTGTCACTCTGTCACCCAGGCTGGAGTGCAGTGGTATGATCATAACTCACAACAGCCTGGAACTCCTGGGCTCAAGTGCTCCTCTCACCTCAGCCTCCTGAGTAGCTAGGACTACAGGCACACATTACCATGCCCAGCTAATTTTTTTATTTTTTATTTTTGTAGAGATGGTCTCACCATCTTCCTCAGGCTGATCTTGAACTTCTGGACTCAAGCAATCCTCCCACCTTGACCTCCCAAAGTGCTAGGATTACAGGCATGAGCTACTGTGCCCAGCCAATTTATATCATTTCATAAATTTTACTTTACCTACCTTTTGTTAGCTTGGATTTTCTGGTGTTTTTTTTTCTGTTTTTTTTTTTAGAGTCTCACTCTGTCACCAGGCTGGAGTGCAGTGGCGCAATCTTGGCTCACTGCAACCTCCGCCTCTTGGGTTCAAGTGATTCTCCTGCATCAGCCTCCCAAGTAGCTGGGACTACAGGTGCCTGCCAACATGCCTGGCTAATTTTTTGTATTTTTTTGTAGAGACGGGGTTTCACCATGTTGGCCAGGATGGTCTTGATCTCTTGACCTCGTGATCCACCCACCTCGGCCTCCCAAAGTGCTGGGATTACAGGCGTGAGCCACTGCACCCGGCCAGATTTTCCAGTTCTTAAAATAACAGTTGTGTTTACTTCCCAATTCCTTCCATTTTCCATACTTGACTAACCTAGCAAATCTAAATTGCAATTAAATTGGCTTTCATGACTGCATTTCAGAATCTTGTAATGGAAATGTTAATGGCATGAGCATTCGTTTAAGTTGGCTAAAGACTCCTTTGCATGCTAAATGTGCGTTTGTCATCCTTCCATCTCATCCACCCATCCAAAAGTCATTATTAAGTCTTTTCCCCTCTGGGATATACCAAGCAAATATAAGACACAGCACCCAGTGGTAAGCAAGCTGTGTTCTCTAACCTAATGATTGCCCCTTTGATGGTGGGTAGAGACCCAGATTGAAGACTAGTGGTGGTTTGGGCTTAGAGTGATTCATCTCCTTAAGAATCATCAGTCTTCTTTCCTTATTACCATCTCTCCACTTCTACTCTTAACATTATTTTTTTCTTTCCTATTTCTTGAATACAATCATATATTATAAAAACTGAAGATAGGCAGTACTGAGCTGGAACCTTGACTCAGCTATTTTCTATGTGAGTGTTCTTGAGAATACTTACTGTATTAGTCCATTCTCACATTGCTATAAAGAAATACCTGAGACTGGGTAATTTACAAAGAAAAGAGGTTTAATCAGCTCATGATTCTGCAGGAAGCATAGTGGCATCTGCTTCTGGGGAGGCCTCAGGAAACTACAATCATGGCGGAAGGTGAAGGGGAAGCAGGCACATCTTACATGGCTGGAGCAGGAGCAAAATAGAGAATGTTGAGGTGCTACACACTTTTAAACAACTGGATCTCGTGAGAACACACTATCACAAGAACAGCTTCAAGAGGATGGTGCCAAATCATTCATGAGAAATTGCCCCCTTGATCCAGTCACCTCCCACCAGGCCCCACCTCCAACACTGGGGATTACAATTCAACATGAGATTTGGTGGGGACACAGATCCAAACCATATCATTTACCCTCTCTGATATTCAAGATCCTCATATATAAAATCGGGATAATAGTGTCTGGGCATTTTAGGACTAGAGAAGATATGAAAAATACCTGATACTTGATGTTCTTTACTAATTTTTATTGCTGTTATTATTGTATAATCATTGTTTCCATTTTCTCAACAGCATGAGAGACTTTTTAGATAGTGCTCAGTGCTCGATGTTATGATAGAGTGAGGTAAAGTATGGGTATCATAGGAATGGAATTGGTAGTTATTAACTAGAGAATCATAGGTCAGACATCTCAAGGACATCAGAGACCCAAGAATGCCCCATACTGCAGAAGAACTCATGAGAACTTTAAATAGGACAAATTTCCTTTAGTTGCCTACTTTGATTTCTTCCTAGTGATGGGCGTGCATGTTTCAATGTTCTTAGCTATTCAAATATGTGTACAGGTGAAAGCTTTGTTTAAAGTTTTAAACAAAGTGGACCCACTTAATATACTCAACATGTTTTCTAGTTTTGTGCTCACTTTACCAACATTGGAAGTGTTTTGCCAAAAGGGCAGAATTCAGCAACAGCTTCGTAGATAAACTGCCAAGACAGATTTGAAATCACATGCTGAATAGTGTGGACTAGGTTAATAAATAGGGTTTTCCAAATGTACTATCACCCCAAACCTCATCATTTGGCCCTTTCTAGGGTCCAGAAATCTTGCTACTACTTCTTACATTTCAGAAATCTTACACACATGCTGTGATAATCTTGTCCACCTTTGCCTTATTTTAACCTATATTTTTACCCATACCAATAAGAACTACTGAGAGAGAAGGTTTGGTATAGTTATTTTACATGGATTTATTTGCACTATTTGAATTTCAAATTAGAATCACTTTTCTAAAATCTTTCAAAAATTGTTCGAGTATGGAAGAAGTTATTGGAGTAGCGTTTCCTGTCAGTGCTTAAATACTTTATTATTATAATTCTGAAATTATTTCTACTGAGAATTAATGAGAAAACATTTACTGAGAAGCAAAAGAATAAAAGAAATATTTGATTATATTTATTCTTAGTGAGTTTTTTCTAGCTGCTATTGAAGACTATATGAATCTGAACAGTATGAGGAAACTATAGAACTACAGAAATACTGTGTCAAGGCCGGGCGTGGTGGCTCACACCTGTAATCCCAGCATTTTGGGAGGCCGAGGCGGGCGGATCATGAGGTCAGGAGATCGAGACCATCCTGGCTAACACGGTGAAACCCCATCTCTACTAAAAATACAAAAAATTCGCCGGGCATGGTGGCGGGCACCTGTAGTCCCAGCTACTCGGGAGGCTGAGGCAGGAGAATGGTGTAAACCTGGGAGGTGGAGGTTGCAGTGAGCCGGGGACGCGCCACTGCACTCCAGCCTGGGCAACAATGCGAGACTCTGTCTCAAAAAAAAAAAAAAGAAAAAAGAAAGAAAGAAAAAAAGAAATACTGTGTCAATAGAAATACCAAGTTTTAACAAGCACAAAGCCAAGAAAATCAGTGATGCTAGATACTGAATTTCTATGGCACTGATCTTTGGACACCCAGCAGGAATAAACTACTGAGTGCAGATACCATGGCAATGCAATTAAATTATTCTAGTGTTTTAAGATTTAAGACATCCAATTAGTCAATCATTTTAGTTAGTTGATATTTTTGTAATGTTGCCTAATCTTGTTTTGGCTGATTTCTACACCTAAAGCATAGTGTTTGGTATATTGTAGGCGAGTGCTCAGAAAATTTTTTTTTGACTAATTTCTAGTGATAAAGTGCTTGCCAAAAATACCCTTTCATGGACGCTGGTATCCTTGAACAACCCAGTCCTCATAATAACACCAGGTTTCTAGTTGGAAAAAAACACGTTTAAGTATGTCATATTTTTGGGAGCCATTAAAAATGGCATCCTTACCGTGCTTGTTTTTTCTCTTTGCAAGCAACACACCATGTGTGTGAGCTGTTTATTGAAAGCCAAGTCTTTTTAAACATTTGACTTTTTTGCCTGCACATACCCAATTTTGTTTATACTAGGACTTAGGCATTTGCCAGTACATACATATGTAGCTAGGAAAGCATGATAGTCTTACATAGTGCCCTGTAAAGGAGCTAGAACTGGGAGAGAATAGGTTAAATGAGCTATCATCACAGAATTTCAGAAGATAATTGTCTCTGTTCAGTTAATTTATCAAAGGGAAGCAGCTCCACCTAGAATTACAAATCAAGACTATCAGGTAACATGAGTAAAAGATGCCCAGGAAAGATTTGGGGTCAAGTTCTTAGTTCTTTATATCAAGAGCCTTGTGCAGGGGGTGAATGGTAAAAAAAAAACAGTACAGACTTTGCCTTAAGGAGTTTGGACTATGGTTAGTAAACCAGATAAAACAATTGAGGACTGTGAACAATGAGGTGTTCTTTGAGGGAGAGATTCACTGGGTAGTAGAATGGTCAGGAAAAGCCTTTAAAAAAGGACAGGACCTAAGCTGGCTTTTGAGGGTTAGTACAGAAGAGGAAGGATAGCATCTCAAGGAATTGACTGTTCTTGGGACGTCTGAAGAAATAGTGAGTAGACCAGTCCATCTGGTTGTTTGGACACAAAGAAAGGGTGGGAGATAATATGAGAAGCTTGTTTGGGGTCAGATTGTATGTGATACTTTTGAAGGTCTGTCTGAGGAACTTGGACTTTATCATACAGACAGCCCATTAAAAGCGGAGGTTATGGGTTGTTGTGGTGGTGGTTTTAATTTTAGTTTGGAGTAATGTTTAATGTGCAGTATGGATTTAGAAGCTCAAGAGAGTTAGTGGTGAAGAAAAATGATTAGTTTATTTCAAAAATGGTAGCTCTACTTTTTTTTTTTTTTTTTTTGAGATGGAGTTTTGCTCTTGTTGCCCAAGCTGGAGTGCAATGTTACGGTCTCGGCTCACTGCAACCTCTGCCTCCTGGGTTCAAGCAATTCTCCTGCTTCAGACTCCCGAGTAGCTGGGATTACAGGTGCGCACCACCACGCCCAGCTAATTTTTTGTATTTTTATTTATTTTTATTTTTATTTCTGTTTTGAGATGGAGTCTCGCTCTGTTGCCCAGGCTGGAGTGCAGCGGCACAATCTCGGCTCACTGCAACCTCCACCCCCTGGGTTCAAGCGATTCTCCTGCCTCAGCCTCCTGAGTAGCTGGGGTTACAGGTGCATGCCACCACGCCCGGCTAATTTTTGTATTTTTAGTAGAGACGGGGTTTCACCATGTTGGTTAGGCTGGTCTTAAACTCCTGACTTCGTGATCTGCCCGCCTCAGCCTCCCAAAGTGCTGGTATTACAGGCGTGAGCCACTGCGCCTGGCAATTTTTTGTATTTTTAGTAGAAACGGGGTTTCACCATGTTAGCCAGGCTGGTCTTGAACTCCTGACCTCAGGTGATCTGCCCACCTCTGCCTCCCAAAGTGCTGGGATTACAGGCATGAGTCACCAATCCCAGTCGATAGCTCTACCTTTTATAGTGACAATGCAGGTTATCTTGTGTGGAGGTTCCTATCAATCAGCCTGTACAGGTAGCACCAGTGTATAACAATCTCTTGGCCAGTCAGCACTGGTGCTTCGTGCTGCTTTCCTAAATTTTTTTTTTTTCTCTTGAGACGGAGTCTTGCTCTGTTGCCCAGGCTGGAGTGCAGTGGTGCGATCTTGGCTCACTGCAACCGCCACCTCCCAGGTTCAAGTGATTCTCTTGCTTCAGCCTCCTGAGTGGGATTACAGGTATGCACCACCATGCCCAGCTAATTTTTGTATTTTTAGTACAGATGGGGTTTCACCATGTTGGCCAGGCTGGTCTCGAACTGGTTAACCTCAGGTGATCCACTGGCTTGGCCTTCCAAAGTACTGAGATTACAGGTGTGAGCCACCACGCCTGGCCTGCTTTCCTAAATTTGAATTGGTTGCAAATCTGTTTTGTTTGCTCCATCATTGTCTGTCATTAACATACTATTTATTTATTTTCAAAAGTATAAACTTATATGGAATTTCTGTAGGGGTTAAAGTAGACACTAGGTTACCAAGGCATAATTTCCCAAGACTTGGAGACCTGTGATCACTGGGAGGATTTTTGGATCTTCATCTGAACTTAGCTATATTAAACATTGAAACAATCCTACAAAATGCCTAGATGAGACAGGTTTACAGGTAAGTTTTATCAGACCTTCATGGAACAGATAAACCATAGAAGAATTAAACTGTTTTAGAGAAGAGATAAAGTGGGAAAGCTGCTATCTCAGGTTTTGAGGTTAGTATAATCTTGGTACAAAACAGGGAAGGTCAGTATATTATAAGAAAATGAAAGGCTAATCTTCTAAAAATGGATTTGAAACATCTAAACAGTACTAGCAAATTGAATGTATTATTGTATTAAAAAACAAAACATCAAGACCAAATAGTTTGTTTAAATTATTATATGCAAGGATGGTTTCATATCAGAAAATACATCACTGATATCATCCAACATATTAATTTTTAAAAGGGGAAGTTCTTCTTATTTTCTTAATAGGTTCAGAAGAAAACATTATATGAACTTTAATATTTAGTCTGATTAAATTTTTTTCACAAAGCTAGAAATAAAAAACTTTCTTAACCTAAAGTTAACCAAAACTTCCTTTGGTAGACATCACACTTAACAGTAAAACTACAGACCTGTTCCCTCTCAAGTTAAGAACAGTACATGGTGCCCACTATCAGCCTTAATATTTACTAATCAACTGAACTTCCTGGTTAATTCCAGAAGACAAGAAAGAGAGGACCAAGCTGTCTATATTTGAAGACTATGTAGACATCCATAGAAAATTCAAGAGAATCCGCCAGGCGCGGTGGCTCACGCCTGTAATCTCAGCACTTTGGAAGGCTGAGGTGGGCAGATCACCTGAGGTCAGGAGTTCAAGACCAGCCTGACCAACATGGAGAAACCCCATCTCTACTAAAAATACAAAATTAGCCGGGCATTGTGTTGCATGCCTGTAATCCCAGCTACTTGGGAGGCTGAAGCAGGAGAATCGCTTGAACCCGGGAGGCGAGGTTGCAGTGAGCCAAGATCGTGCCATTGCACTCCAGCCTGGGCAACAAGCGCGAAACACCATCTTAAAAAAAAAAAAAAATTCAAGAGAATCCACAAATTATTAGAACTAATAATAATAGTTCTGCAAAGTTGCTGAGTTTCAGATCAGCAACCTTTTGATTCAACCATACAAAATTATAATTTATGTAGGTCAAAATGGTCGTTAAATATTTATTTGCAGTTTCATATGATTAAACCTAATACAGAAATCAATCACATTCCTGTCTACCAGCAATAATCATTTAGTAAATGTATACTTTTTTAAAGATTCTATTCATAGTAGCCACAAAAAAACTATAAAGTATCCAGGAAATATCTAAACAAGAAATATATATCTTGGGGAGAAAACATAATCAAAAGACCTGGATAAACAGAGAGATAGCATGTTCATGGATGGGAGGACTTCATATAATAAAGAGGTAATTTTCCCTAAATAAGTTTATAAATTCAATAAATGCCAATCAAAATTTCAAATGATTAAGGGTGAGGCTAGGAGGAAAAAATCCAGATGTATTGACAACCTAAGTGTAAACTTCAAACTTTTAGAAGAAACTGTTGGCAAGTACCTTTATTACCTTGGCATAAGAAAGGATTTCATAAACAAAAGATGAAATTATAAGATGCGTCATATGATTGTATTAACTGTAAATCTTATGTATGACAAAAGATGCCTTAAACAAAAGACAAATTGCAGACAGAGGATATTTACAACACATCTGACTGCCAGAGGCCTTGTATTCAGAATATATAAAGAACTCCAATCATTTAATATGAAAAATATAAAACAGCCTAATCAAAAAATAGGCAAAGCTTGATCTCTTGGAATATGTAATGCCTATTATTTTGTTTCTGCCAGTATTAAATATGATGTTTCTATTGATAGCACCTTCAAAGCAGCTTAGTTTTTTGAGACAGAGTCTTGCTCTGTCTCCCAGGCTGGAGTGCAGTGGTGCCATCTTGGCTTACTGCAACCTCCGCCTCCCGGGTTCAAGCAATTCTCCTGCCTCAGCCTCCCAAGTAGCTGGGACTACAGGCACATACCACCATGGCTGGCTAATTTTTTTTTTTGTATTTTTAGTAGAGATGGGGTTTCCCCATGTTGGCCAGGTTGGTCTCGATCTCCTGACCTTGTGATCTGCCCGCCTCGGCCTCCCAAAGTGCTGGGATTACAGGTGTGAGCCACCACGCCCAGCCGCAGCTTAGTTCTTATTAGTTTTGGTAAGTTCTTATGTGAGTGGTAGCTTTAGTGGTGATTATATGTTTTGTCAGCTGACAGTAGAGAAAAAATAGCCAATAGATACATGAAAGAATGTTCAATTTTACTTTAGTAATTTAGAAAATGTAAATTTAAAAAATTTTAAATTCTGAGAGTGGTCAATCAAATTTGAGTAAGCCAGCTTTGTAATTCATCTCACAGCTCAGCCATGTACCAGCAGTGCAACCTTGGAGAAGTTTCTTTACTTCTCTGAGCCTGTTTATTTTGTTTAAAATGGGGTTGAAATTATTGCCTCATTAGATTGTTGAGAAAAATAAATGACATATATTAAGTTTCAGAACAGTGCCTGGATGTAGTAAGTGTTCAATAAATGATAGCTGATTTAATTATTTGTAATGCAACTTAATTATCAAAATACCAAAAAGTATCCGGACCCAGGCAAATTTTTTTTTTTTTTTTTTTTTTGGAGACAGAGTCTTGCTGTATTGCCCCTTGCTCTATTGCCCAGGCTGGAGGGTAGTGGTGCGATCTTGGCTCACTGCAACTTCTGCCTTCTGGGTTCAAGCAATTCTCCTACCTCAGCCTCCCGAGTAGCTGGGACTACAGGCGCCCACCACCACTGCTGGCTAATTTTTGTATTTTTAGTAGAGACGGGGTTTCACCATGTTGTCCAGGCTGGTCTCAAACTCCTGACCTCAAGTGATCCATCCGCCTCGGCCTCCCAAAGTCCTGGGATTACAGGCGTGAGCCACTGTGCCCGGCCTGACTATATTCTACTTGGAGAAATCTTAAATAAATGGGGAGTAACCTACCTCTGAAAATGCCAGCTAGCTAGCTTCTTACTCAGAGCCCTCCCAGGTGGCATTACCTTGGTGAAGTCATAACTAGGGTCTAGACCTTATCTCTAAAGGTTCTCAGCCTCAAGTTTGTGAGAATAACGTATGATGCCCAGTTTCTTGGGAACTGACTTATATGATCAACATCATTGGAGTGAAGATTCATTTTCAGTGAGAAATAGAACTGTTAAGCCAACTAGTATTTGAGTTTGGTTGTTATTACATTCTCTCCCTGTAGCCGAGGTATGTGGAAAATCAATTTTGGTTTTCTGTGCAAGGAATCAGTGCAGAGGGAGTCTGCTGGATGGTTTTAGTGACTGTTGGTATCAGGCCCTTATATGATATCAACAGGCTTGAGTAGTTGTATTTTTTAGTTGGGGGACTTGCTGTCTTTAGCTGAAGGAAGAACACTGCCTAACCATTGGTCAGAGGATGCTCGCCTCTTACTGCTGACCTTCAATTTGTGGTCAGGCAGTCCTCCACAGTCCTCCACAGGAGGCTGGCAGTCCTCCACAGTCATATTCTCTTTGGCTCTGTGAGGTTGTATCTGTCACTTTGATTGGGTTTGGGGGGCCCCAGAACTCTGCAGTCACTCAAACCTCAGGGTTTTAGTATTTTTAGCAGATGGATTATTGTGTCCACTGTATTTTTTTTTTTCTAACTTCAACCTCAGAAGATAAAACCTTAATTGCTGTTTTGGAGACATTTTATATCATTGTCATGTGACAATTCCTTATTTCTTGAACCTGCTCAATGACATCATCACCTCAACAGTCCTGCTCCCACCTTCCCATTAAGGAGCAAATCATGTCTGGAACAATTCTATGGCATATTTTCTTTGTCAGCAGACTTATATATGTTGGCTTCTTAGAATTAGTAATGCATTAAATGGTCCCTTAGAGATCTATTGTTTGGTCTCTTGGAATGCGTAATATGTATTATTTTGTATTTTGCTTCTGCCAGTATTAGATAGGATGTTTCTTATTCATAGTTCCTTCAAAGCAGTTTAGTTCTTTTTTTTCTTTCTTTCTTTTGAGATGGGGTCTCACTTGCTCTGTCACCCAGGCTGGAGTGCAGTTGCGCGATCTCAGCTCACTGCAGCCTCTATGCCTCCTGGGCTCAATTGATCTTCCCACCTCAGCCTCCTGAGTAGCTGGGACTACAGGTGCATGCCACCATGCCCAGATAACTTTTTGTATTTTTTGTAGAGATGGGGTTTCACCATTTTGCCCAGGCTGGTCTCGAACTCCTGGACTCAAGTGATCCACCTGCCTCGGTCTCCCAAAGTGCCGGGATTATAGGCATGAGCCACTGCACCTGGCCCAGTTTAGTTCTTATTAGTTCTGTTAAGTTTCTGTGTGAATGGTAGGTATAGTGATGATACATATTTTGATAAGTTAATTGTAGCTAAATTAGGTGGTTTGATGAGACTGTTGTCCTGTCTTCAAACAGGCTATTCTTTATTTACCCTTGGCTATAGGCTGTCTGTGATCACTAACTTAAAAATAATAAACATTCAATGGTAGGCTGTCTTGAGGGAAAAAAGACAAAAATAATTTTAAAATTTACTGAGAAATCAGGCTCACACAACACCTTGTTCATAAACTAAAGGTTATTATTCTAAAGGTTAGTTTAGAATAATTACTTTTCTAGTTATTTGTATCTCTTAAAAACTTAATAAATTACATATATACTTTGTTTTATTATTGAATATTTGCTAAGGATATACCTCACTGATATAATAATTTCATGGGTATGTACAGTGTTCAGCACATTTACCACAGGCAACATAGGAGAGATGCTGGAAAAAATTATGAGGTCAGTGAGACTTATTTTTCGTGTTCTCATATCTTTTTTTTTTTTTCTTTTAAGTGACCTCTCTTGTTGGTGTCCATTACAACCTTAAGGCTCGGAACTTCCTTCTGTGGGATCTCAGGCAATGATTCATGCTTTTCCCTTCCTCTTCAGTTTCTTTCTGTCAACATTTACTTAGGCAGTATCATACGCCTGAGCTCTGCTTTCCATCTCCTGCTACAGTAAATTAACCTGCACTTAGTTATTGGTAGTTGATTGGCTTAGGGTGTTTCCCTTAAAATATTTGCCTTTAATAGGGACTTTGATGTCTTAATTCAAATGGTGAGACTTACTGGCACACCAGGAGGTTGATATTTTAAAACAGGGCAGAGGTAGCTAAGATTTGTGGGACTTAAACTGTAGTAAGTTCATTGCCTGGATATGCACTGGCGCTCTTTTTGTGGTCAGCCTGTTTGATTCTTGTACAAGTTAGGGCCCAGTCCTCTCACCTCTTGTGCCTGCTCACTATAGTTGAGTTCCCAGAAGTACGTCTGCTTTATTCTTGTACAAGAGATGAGGGTTCATGCACAGTCCACGTCTTTGAAATGCCTTCTATGCCTTATTTGAAAGAAGGCCCCCTTTATATTTTTGCCATGCAGCACATTCTCTTGGACCTGTAAGTATTCAATGGGCATACCCCCACGGGAGAGTGAGCTAAGGCTGATTCTGCTTTCTTTAATTTGACTGCATTTTGTGATGCTATGGGCTTGTTCTTGTTTGGGCTTGTTCTTGTTTTTTGTTTTGGAGACAGAGTTTCGCTCTTGTTGCCCAGGCTGGAGTGCAATGGCGCGATCTCGGCTCACCACAACCTCTGCTTCCCAGGTTCAAGCGATTCTCCTTCCTTAGTCTCCCGAGTAGCTGGGATTACAGGCATGTACCACCACGCTAATTTTGTATTTTTTAATAGAGACGGGGTTTCTCCATGTTGGTCAGGCTGGTCTTGAACTCCCGACCTCAGGTGATCTGCCCGCCTCGGCCTCCCAAAGTGCTGAGATTACAGGCATAAGCCACTGTGCCCGGCGATGCTATGTTTTTTTTTTTTAAACATCTAAATTGGACTTTTATTATCCTTGCACTGTGTTGCTATTAAACAATTTTTCAAGATTTAAGAAAATGGATATTAGAAAAACCCTCAAATTTGCTTTAAAAAGATAGTGATTTTTCTTGTTTTTAATATAAAAGTGTCCTCCATTTTCTTGTTTAAGAATAGCTTATTATGAACACCTTATTAGATGAAATTTCCTGGAATAAAATCAAAACTAGAGACTCAGTTACTGTAAGATGCTGAAAACCAGCCTGACTTTAGGCTCTGTGGAGGCAAAAATAACTGGCCTGGGGATGAGTAACAAGGCTGGCCAAGTCAGCCAGTATTTTGATTAGGTTTAACTACTTTCAGAGTACGTGGCTATCTCATTTGAGCCTCCCTCAGAACAGCTCTCTGAAGTGTAGGTATTAGTGCTCTCCAACTTTAGGCAGTAAGAAACTGAGGCTTATAGTGCACCTTTTAAATTTAGAATGGTATGGAGGAGGAGTGCTTCACCATTCAGCCGATTCCCTTCACTGTCCACCCCGCACACACACTCACACACACTCTCTCTCTCCCTCTCTCCCGACCCCCCCACCACCTCCACTGCCCACTTCAGAGAGGTTGGTTGGATATTGAGAGAGATTACCAGTACACTGCAATAATGTTAGGAGCTGTTCCATGAGGGGAAGGAAGATCTCTTGAGAGTTGGGGAAAAGAGAGTCTGCCCACAAATTCACTTCTATGGACAGTTTTTGGTGGTGGCCCCTGGGGAAGAAGACTAGAAATTACCTTGGTACCTTGGTTGATAAGAAATGTCAAATGATTGACATTTGACTGACTGAGGCTCTGCTGTATTGCCACTCTGCAGAGTACAGACTCTTCATAGCCTGCATTTTGCAGTCATCGGCTTATGGAAAAGATGTGAGGAGGGGACTCTTTTTGTAATGGCTAGTGCTACTAACTAGAATTCCTTAGGTACTCTATATACCATAGATACCAGATTGCCTATCTCTAAATCTTACTTCCTAAGGAAAACATAGTAAACCATTTTAGCTCTGTGCTTATCTTCAGTAATCTTGCTGATGCCTCAATTTTTAAGATTACTGAAACACTGAATCTTCTCAGTGCCATGTCCTTTTTTAAAATAGGTAATGTGATTTTTTTCCCCAAAAGGTACAAAGGTTGACCACTGAGTCTCCTTTCCATCTCCATCCCACAAAGCATGTGCTGTCACCAGCTTGTTTATCCTCTTATTTGCATGAGTGTGTATATGTATGCTTGTATGTATATTCATGATATATTATACACATTGTTCTGCCTCTTTGCTTTTTTCACATACTATATTTTGAGTTGTTGTACATATAGCCCTGCCCCTTTTTTAGTTTTTTAAAAATAACTGGTGGTTTCCATGTATGGCTGATTTATAATTCATTTAACCTATCCCCTATTAAAGTACATGAATGATGAATGATCTCTTTGTAGCTTCCAATGTTCTCCTTCTGTATTTATTTAACAAATACTCCTGTGTATTTGACTCCTTTTCTTTGGATATTTGTCATCTTTTCTCTTGAAACCAAGTACTTAAAAGTTGTCTTTTTTTTTTTTGAGATGGAGTCTCACTCTGTCGCCAGGCTTGAGTGCAGTGGTGTGATCTCGGCTCAAGCGATTCTTCTGCCTCAGCCTCCTGAGTAGCTGAGACGACAGGCGCGCGCCACTACGCCCAGCTAAATTTGTATTTTTAGTAGAGATGGGGTTTTACCATGTTGGACAGGATGGTCTTGATTTCTTGACCTCGTGATCCGCCCACGTCGGCCTCCCAAAGTGCTAGGATTACAGGCATGAGCCACCGTGCCTGGCCTAAAAGTTGTCTTCATTCATGCAAAATATGATGGGCCTCCTTCCTGACAGATATGCTTTGGTATGTTGCAGGAGAGGCACAGAACTAAATGGACTGCTGTCGTTTAAGCAGCAGGACATCAGGAAGACGGGTTCCCATTTCTTAGAACAACCACCAAAATAACCGACACCAGCATCTAATCTTGAGGATCCATTTGTAAATTCCAATCAGATTTATTTTCTATTCACAGAAATTGTTCCTTTTTTTCTCTGCAGACAGTTCCTAATGTATATGTGTCTGCCATACAAATGACCATGTGTGGAAAGCCCTCTTCAGCCATGTGGAGAAAATGGGAGGAGGGAGATTCCCAATTTCACTGCTTGAGCTGCAGCTGGGAAAGCAATTCTTGGCTTCTCAAGTTGCAAGTGTGAAATAATTTTCTCAGAGAAAATACTTTTGGTAGTTAACTGTTATAGTGGTAGCACTAGTATTCTATTACTCTACTATACATACATTATGGATTCAATAGGCTTTTTAAACTAGACCAAGTGCTATTTTTCACATTGTTTCTATGACTGAAAACCAACCTGTTGGTTGGTGTTTGTGAATACTGTGCTGGATCTGTGTGGCCAGATTTTGCTTCGTAAAACCAGCGTCATGTAGACTGGGGGTAACCTTTATGTGACTGGGGTCAGAAAAACAAAAATATTGGATTTTTAAATATATAATTTTTGTGCTGCTGTTTGCTGAGACTACAGTGAGACTTATAAATGTATAGGATGAGCTGCTTTCCGTCTGGATAATTGGAGTCCATGAGGAAGGAGCAGAATTGTTAAAAAATCAGGAGTGCAGTGGTGCGATCTCGGCTCACTGCAACCTCCACCTCCCAGGCTCAAGCAATTCTCCTGCCTCAGCCTCCAGAGTAGCTGGGATTACAGGCGCCCACCACCACACCCAACTAAGTTTTGTATTTTTTAAAAGAGATAGGGTTTCACCATGTTAGCCAGGCTGATCCTGAACTCCTGACCTCAAATGATCTACCCACCTCAGCCTCCCAAAGTACTAGGATTACAGGCGTGAGCTACCATGCCCGGCCTCGGACTTTTCTTTCCCAGTAAAGGGGAAGTTTCAGAAAGAGAGAACAACATTTGGCTAAGCAAGGGCATTTCAACAGACTGACTAAAGTGGCTTCATGCCCTCCAAAGACAGAGATAATCAGGAAATTTTGTGGACAAATTGTGGATAAAAATCTGATGAGGTTACTGAAAGAGATTTGGTAGGGTGGTGGGGTTGGGGGCAACTTGAGGCCCAGACAGAAAGGCTGATGCAGGCAATCTCTGTGACTAACACTACTGAGAAAAACTGCACCACTTTGATTTGGTGTGGGGGATCAGGTGGGAGGTGTTTTTCAAAGGGTACATTTCAAAGTAAAACTAGAAATGATGGTAAAAATGAAGAGTATCTCATAACCTATCTAATTTGTGAATAGCTTGTATCTCAAGGTTTTCTCTCACTACTGATATATTGCTTGCTTTTTTTGTCTTTAAAAGTATTTTATTTATTTATTTACTTATTTATTTATTTTGAGACAGGGTCTTGCTCTCTTGCCCAGGCCTGGAGTGCAGTGGCACAATCACAGCTCACTGCAGCCTCAACCTCTCGGGCTCAATCAATCCTCCCATGTCAGTCTCCCGAGTAGCTAGGACTACAGGCACATGCCACTACACCCAGATAATTTTTTGTAGTTTTTGTAGAGATGGGGTCTCACCATATTGTCCAGGCTGGTCTTGAACTCCTGGGCTGAAGTGATCTGCCCGCCTTGGCTTCCCAAAGTGCTGTGATTACAGGTGTGAGCTACCATGCTGGCCTAAAAATATTTTTATGTTATATTTCAAGCATACCCCAAAATAAAGAGAATAGTATAATGAATTCCATGTACCTGTCAACCAGCCTCAACAATTATAGACATTTTGACAATCTTGTTTTTTCTGTCCTTCTACTATTTTTTTTTTCCTGGAGTACTTCAAAGCAAATTCCATATATCAATCATAATATTAATATTTCACCTATAAATATATCAGAGGTATTTCTACATACAAAGATTAAAAATGGAACCACAGCACCATTATCACATCAAATTAATAATTACTTGGTGTCATTTAATACTTAGTCCATGTTCAGTTTCTCTAGTTGTGGACTAAGGGTGGTGGTAGGGAGGGAAGCTGGAAGAAGGGGTTACAAAGGGGCACAAGGTAACTTTTAGGGGTGACTGATGTGTTTATTGTTTTAATTGCAGTGGTTTCACAACTATATCATATATTAAAACTTACCAAATTATAAACTTTAAATATGTGCAGCTCACTGTATGTCAATTATACCTCAATAAAACTTAAAAAAAAAAAAAACTAATGATGTAGCTAGATACAGACAGTATTTTAAAACATTTTTCCCCAGTTATCTCAAAAATATCTTTTTATGGTTGGTTTGTTCAAGTATGGATCTAAATAAGAACCACAGATTGCATTTGATTGCTGTGTCTCTAGGTTTCTGATAATCTGGAGCAAATCCACTCCCACTTGCCTTTGTTTCATGCCATTTATTTGTTAAAGAACCCATATGACTGACTGATCCTGTAGCATTTGCCACATTTCGATTTGGTGATTTGGCTAACTGCAGCCTATGATAGTATGTTCTTGGCTCCTATGTTTCCTATAACCTGGTAGTTAGATCCAAAGGCTTCCTTGGACTCAGGCTCAGTTCTTTTAGCAAGAGTATTTTATAATAGGTAATGCTGCTATGAACCTTTCATGGCATTGAATCAGGGAGGTCTAGTTGCCCTAGTTTCATGCAAAATTGATCAGTAGAGTTAGGTATTGTCAACCTTATCCATCTATTATAACATTTCCTGTCAGTTTTCACCTAATACTTTTAAGAAGCCACTGCCTACATCCCCTATTTTATTAGGAGTAAATTACTCAGATCTGTGTATGTGTTTGAATAATGCTTGACAACTGTACTGAGGTATAATTTTCATAAACCACACATATGTCAAGGGTACAATTCAAGAAAGTCTGACATATATACATATATACACTTTGATATGTATATATGTATGTATTTTTTTAATGATTGCCTGTCTAGCTGCTGTAGAGAACATGGCGTTAGAGAGGCATACTACAGGGATGAACCATGATTCCTTTGGTCAGCTTTTAGAAGGGTAAATCCTGATTCTCTCAGTGGTAGGGATAAAATTTTCCCATGTGGCAGTAGAGAACAGGGAGCCATTAGTTCGGACCTTGTTTTATCACTAGCTTGTCAGGGAGATCATGCTAAAACAAAACAAAATAAAACAAAAGACTTTGAGTGGCTTTTGGGTTTCCCCTTACAGGTTTTATTGTATAGATATTCTAAATACCTGCTTGCAGATATCCACATGCTGTTTGGGGGTTTATTTATCCGAACCCGACCTTGTATCTGGCTCTTCTCCCCACCTGATTTCCTGTTCCATTTCAAAAGCACAAAATCTCAACAAATATTTTAAAAAAAGAAATCTTTTCATTTCTGTACAGACTTTTATCCCCACTTTCCTTTAGGGAGACTCTTAATACTAATGTGGTAATCCCAAGCAGAATGACACACAGGAAGTAGTTTGCATTGTGTAAGTCTCATTGTACATGTGCTGCACTTAATGGAGCTGATCTATGTGCCATTGGATCACATATACAGTATGGCTAAAGACAGAGTATAATGCTTATCTTCAGTAACAGGAAGAGTTAGCAAATGAGATCAGGGGTTCTGTTGCACAGGATAATCCTTTCTTGGCTTAAGAAAAATTCTGGCCTGTGAGTGACATCTTTCTTCCATTGGTTGGAACATTCATGTGTTGGGATTCATAGGGAAGTTGGGTTAGCTGACCAAGGTGCGGACAGAGCTGATTCCCCAGGTTAGTGAGGGAACTGTTATTGAGCAGGGCCTAAGCAGTGGGACAAATTGGGGACAGGATCCTGGGGTGGCTCAAAATGCATGTCATGCTTGTTTAACATCAGCCCTATGAATGGCCTCACCAGGTTGTAGCAAGTAGGCCCCTTTGATCTGGAGGCAGCACAAACTACTAAGCTCTGAAGCTTAATCCTTACCCAGCCAATCTGGTTCTCATCCACTTTTGGCTGCCACTTCTCTGCAGAGAGTCGAGGATAACATTTCTAAGACTGTGCATGTGTGTGTGCGCATGTGTGTGTGTGTGTACACGTGCTCTCCCAGTGTATTCAGAATCCTTGAATTTAATATGACCAGTCTTCTTTTGCCATCTTGCCTCCAGTCAGCTATCCTCCTGGAAAAGGGGTTAGGTTTTAGGTACAGAACTCTTATAGCAAGAATATTAAGTTAATTAATCAAAAAGTCTGATCCCTTCAGGGCCAGCTTGCTTATTAGCTTTGTACCACAGGTGGCATCTCCTTAACACCCATCAGTCATCTTACAGATCTTGATCACCAGGAGATCTGGATGAAACTATATATATAGCTCAGTATAGGATTATCACTGCTACCAAACAAAAAAGTACAAAACATGTTCAGTAGTTTCATCCTGAAAATATCATTAATAGTAGTATACCATAAAGCAGATATTATTATGTGAAAATTCAACCTGAGATTCAAAAGTATGTGTGGGAGTGGCCCGGTGAAGTGGCTCATGCCTGTAATCCCAGTACTTTGGGAGACCTAGGTGGGTGGATCACTTTAGGTCAGGAGTTCGAGACCAGTCTGGCTAACACAGTGAAACCCTGTCTCTACGAAAAATACAAAAATTAGTTGGGCATTGTGGTGCACACCTGTAGTCCCAGCTACTTGGGAGGCTGAGGCAGGAGAATTGCTTGAACCTGCGGGGCAGAGGTTGCAGTGAGCTGAGATAGCGCCACTGCACTCCAGCCTAGATGACACAGCGAGATTCCATCTCAAAAAGAAAAAAGAAAAATGGTGGTGGGCGCCTGTAATCCCAGCTACTCGGGAGGCTGAGGCAGGAGAATCACTTGAACCCAGTGGGTGGAGGTTGCAGTTAGCCAAGATTGCGCCACTTCATTGCAGCCTGGGCGACAGAGCAAGACTCCATCTCAAAAAAAAAAAAAAAAAAAAGAAAGAAAGAAAGGCCGAGCGTGGTGGCTCATGCCTGTAATCCCAGCACTTTGGGAGGCCGAGTCGGGTGGATCATGAGGTCAAGAGATTGAGACCATTCTGGCCAACATGGTGAAACCCAGTCACTACTCAAAATACAAAAATTAGCTGGGCATGGTGGTGTGTGCCTGTAGTCCCAGCTACTCGGGAGGCTGAGGCAGGAGAATCGTTTGAACCCGGGAGGCGGAGGTTGCAGTAAGTGAGATCGCGCCACTGCACTCCAGCCTGGCGACAGAGCAAGACTCTGTCTCAAAAAAAAAAAAAAAAAGCATGCGTGGGAGCCAGGCGTGGTGGCATGTGCCTATAATCCCAGCTACTCGGGGAGCTGAGGCAGGAGGATCACTTGAGCCCAGGAGTTTGAGTCCAGCCTAGGCAGTATAGCGAGATTCTGTCTCTAAAATAATAATAATAATAGCCAGGTGCAGTGGCTCATGCCTGTAATCACAACACTTTGGGAGGGCAAGGTGGGCAGATCACTTCAGTTCAGGAATTTGAGATCAGCCTGGGCAACATGGCAAAACCCCATCTCCACCAAAAATACAAAAAATTAGCTGGGCATGGTGGTGCGCGCCTGTGCTTCCAGCTACTTGGGAGGATCACTTGAGCCCAGGAGGCAAAGGCTGTGGTGAGCTGAGATCATGCCATTGCACTCCAGCCTGGGTGACTGAGTAAGACCCTGTCTCAATTTAAAAAATAAAATAATAATAATAATAATAGAGTGTGGAACTCTGTGTGAGTACACTAAAAATTATCAGGTTTTTACTTTACATGAGTGAATTTTATGGCATGTAAACTACCAATAATTTTTAGTTTTTAAAAAGTATCAAAATATATAATCCTGTATTTAAATGATGCTTAAAGTTTTAGGAAATAGATAAAATTGAGAAGAGAGCTGAGGATGGAGCCTTAAGGAAACCCTAAATTTCAAGGAAGGGAGACCTGAAAACAGAGATGTAATTACAGACACAGGAAGCAAACCAGACAAGAACAGTTGTCTAAAATTCAAGAGAATGTTTGTGCAGTGTTAAGTGTAGAAAAAATGTGGATGGGGACTGAGAAAAGGTTAATGAATTTAGCTATAAGGAAACTGCTAGTGACCTTTGAGAAAACAGTTTCTACAAAAAGGAGGTGTTAAGGAGTGAATTGTGAGGAGGATGAACCTGCACATTACTCTTGCCAGAAGGAGAAAGAATCTAAAAATAGTGTCAAGGATAGTCTAGAGGCAGGGCAAACTTGTCTGTCTGTCTGTGTGTCTCTCTCTCTTTTTAGACAGAAGACACTTGAGAATATTTGTAGCAAGAGGAAGGAAGCAAACAAAAGAGAGCAGAGGATGAAGGTACGGAGGGTATGGAACAAGGCATTTGTGCCACGTCAGGTGTTCTGCCTTTGTCATTTCCCTGCATGGCCACAGGGATAGCCCCTTTCCATGGGCAAACCAGTGTTGTATGCCAGGCCCAGTTCCCTAGATGAACTCTACTCCTTTTTCATTGAAGAAAGCAGATCCTAATGCAAGTGAGCTATTATCATGCTGGCATAACCTTACATCTGCTGTAACCTATGATTAGACACTCATTCTTGAATATCAGCACTTGATTACTGGTGACAAATGAGTGATAGCACACCTCACAAGGGCTCTGGCACACCTAGCATGTCAGGTCTTGTTGACTGTGGCCAAGAGCTGCTGCATAAGTGGACATTCCAGCTCTTGGGTCAGAGAGCTAAGAACACATTTTGTCAGAGCTTCCGAACCCTTCTTAGAGAATTCAGCCTCTCCAGGGGGTCTTTGAACTGCACTATGACTTATAGGTTACCCCTCATCCACCCCCTATTCAGAGACAATGGCACTGATAGGGAAAATGGGAAAATGCAGCAGCCTGTGAGGACACTGCCCATTCAGCAATCTCTTCTCCCACCCACTGTCCCTTAGCAAAGGACTTCTGAACAGTTTCTCTAACCCTACCCTTCTCAGTCTCTGCCCCCCACTCTTTTTTTTTTTTTGAGACGGAGTCTCACTCTGTCGCCCAGGCTGGAGTGCAGTGGCGCAATCTTGGCTCACTGGAAGCTCCGCCTCCCAGGTTCACGCCATTCTCCTGCCTCAGCCTCCCTAGTAGCTGGGACTACAGGTGCCCGCCACTATGCCCAGCTAATTTTTTGTATTTTTTAGTAGAAATGGGGTTTCACCATGTTAGCCAGGATGGTCTCAATCTGCTGACCTCATGATCCTCCCGTCTCGGCCTCCCAAAGTGCTGGGATTACAGGTGTGAGCCACCACGCCCGGCCCCCTTTTTGTTTTTGTTTTGATTTCTAGCTTGATTTTTAAATCTTTTTCTTAACTATATATTGATATTAGATTATGTTTTCCCATACTTCTTGGAAATGCTGGCAGAAAATGAAATTCATTTTTAACATTTATTATTTGTAAATGTGTATTCACTGTGTCTCTTTAAGCAGTCTATGCAGGTTTTGTGGTAGATGTAATTCTAGGTACACTTAGTAAGTTAAAGGGTTAAAATACCCAGCACTGTCGCATATGGCAGTGAGCAGAATCACAGATGTTGATGATACCACGTAATTAGTATTCTTTTATGTAAATGAAGGCTGTCAGCATGTTACCATAGTGTCTACTCTCTGAAGCTGGAATTTATGCCACTTGGTCTCACCAAGACCAAGCAGGATTATTCTACGGTCCTTAGTTAACAACTGAGGAGAAATCAATATGATGAGAGAGCGAGAAGAAATGGAATTCTCTCTAAAGTAGATTTACCCTCTTTTTTTCCCCCTATTTTGTTTTTCTTGATTCCCCTTCAACCCCCAGAAATTTTATTTCTGATGATGTAGTTATATAGTTAAGACCTGCTGAGAAATTTGCTATTTGAGAATAATTGAAATACTCCAATTAAAAGGCATCATATTTTCAAGCTATAGATTTTTTGAAATATTTAGAATCCTAATGTTGTCATCTCTCATATGGAGAGTTTTTTAAAAAATTATATGATAAATCTAGAAGTTTTTCATCAGAACAAAAGATAAATGTTGAAAAGATTTAATTATCTTTTCATTTAATACTTAGTGATATTTATAGAATGCTTTTAAATATTGATTATGGTTCTTAGCTCCAGTTGATTCAGATTTTTAAAATAAAACTACTATGGCAATTAAAAAGGCAAAAGCTGATATTTTGTCAGGTTTACTTTCCTCATATGCAGATCGACCAAGGGTGTGCAGGACATTTATTTAAAGCTGCTGATCTATTTAAAACTTGCTGATGTAGAAGTATTCAGACACATCATGTTCTTTCCCAATTACCTGTAAGTTTATCAGTTTTGGGTACTAGGTGCCTGTCACACTGGATGATGTACATTTTAAGTGGAAATGTTAGAATGATGGCCTTTGAGAATACGAAGGGAAACCTGTACACATCAGAAAAATATAAAATAGAATTCCTCTTTTTGCCAAATGGGTGCTAGGCCCTATTCTGAAATAAAGTGGTCAGAGTATGTGTGAGAGGTGACTTAAACACATCTTCTTTCTTGACCCGAGTATACCTGAGGTGGTATTCTCTTTATTCTCTATTTTGTTTGTTGGTTAAGGTGACTTTTATCTTTTGTGTCACTCTTAGGAGATTTCCATTTCATGATCATACATGTTTTTCCTCTAGAGAAGCTGGTCTGCCTAGCTTAAATCAGTATGGTGAGGTGCAAAGTAGCCCTGTGTTTTTCCTGAATGGATTTACTCTGCCCATATGGCAGGTTAGTGAGTCGCCATGACAAATTTGTAATGGGAAAAGGGCTGTGCAGGAGAGGATGTGCGTGATCAGCAGATTTATAGATCAGAAAATGAAATCAGAAGAAAGAATTTCCAAAGTGCCCTTTTCATTTGACAGCTCTCCATGGAGAGGATGTGGAATGGTTTTTTAGTGTTCTTCTCTTTTGGCTTTTGGTTGTTCCAGCATATTTTTTTTTAGCAGAGGAGTTGATTTTGCGAGGCATCAGTGTTCTGGGTGTGGTGTTGCTATATTCATTTACAGAAATAATTCTCTCTTTGTAGGATTTGAAGCTCTGCTGTATTTCATATGATAAGATCTTGGTAGCAATTAAATTCCTGAAGACACATCAAGGCTAAAATGGGGATTTGCCAGGCATCAGGTTTTGAGTTGTAAGAGGAGGCTATTCAGATGTGATTTAGCTAGTACTGAATCTTTCGAAGGAAAGGACACAAAAAGCAAAGCAGAGCAAGCTAAAGATAGTGTCCTGGTGTGTTTAAGTCTATGCTGTCTTAATATAATACCATAACCACTAGCCACATGTGACTTAAAATTAATTAAAATTAAAAGTGCAGTCCCTTAGTCTCACTAGCACATTTCAAGTGCTCAGTAGTCACGTGTGACTAGTTACTATAGTACTGGACAGCACTGTAATATATTCAGATAGAGAATATTATCAATAATAATGTGTAATAATAATGAATTCTCTATCTGTATATATTCTCTATAGTCTCAATATATCAGTGATATATATGATTGATGATACATAGAGAATATATACAGATAGAAAATATTGATATCCCTCTCATTGATATATAGAGAATATATCATTGCAGAAAGTTCTGTTGGACAGTGTTAGTCTAAGTGGAAGAATTTGAGAAATAAAATTCTTTCTTTGATTTCTATGAAGAGTCTTTTATCCCTATACAATTTACTGGATTAATGTACTAAAGTTTTTTTTGAGACGGAGTCTCGCTCTGTCGCCCAGAGACTGGAGTGCAGTGGTGTGATCTCGGCTCACTGCAAGCTCCGCCTCCCGGGTTCATGCCATTCTCCTGCCTCAGCCTCCCAAGTAGCTGGGACTACAGGCGCCCGCCACCACGCCCGGCTATTTTTTTGTATTTTTAGTAGAGACGGGGTTTCACCGTGTTATCCAGGATGGTCTCGATCTCCTGACCTCGTGATCCGCCCGTCTCGGCCTCCCAAAGTGCTGCGATTGCAGGCGTGAGCACTGCGCCCGGCCTGTACTAAAGTTTTAATGTGCAAAAAAATCATCTGGCCGGGCGCAGTGGCTCATGCCTGTAATCCCAGCACTTTGGGAGGCCGAGGTAGGCGGATCACCTGAGGTCGGGAGTTCAAGACCAGCCTGACCAATATGGAGAAACCCCGTCTCTACTAAAAATACAAAATTAGCCGGGCGTGGTGGCGCATGCCTATAATCCCAGCTATTTGTGAGGCTGAGACAGGAGAATCGCTTGAACTCGGGAGGCGGAGATTGTGGTGAGCCTAGATTGCGCCACTGAACTCTAGCCTGGGCAACAAGAGCGAAACTCCGTCTGAAAAAAAAAAAAGAATCATTGAGATTTTAGAAGCCTCTCCAGGTTCAGATTCATCAGGACTGGAGTAGTAACCAGGAAATCTGTATATATAACAAGTAGCCTGGGGAATTCAGATGTTGGTAGGTAGTTCAGGGACTACATTTTCAAAGAATATTGAATTAGTGAGAGTGAGAAACAGGAATTGTCTGCATCTTGATATTTTTCCCTCCCCTTCATTCCTTCATTACTTTCTTTTGTGTCCCAGGAATTAGTTGTAAGCATCAATGTGTACCCAATTTGTACCCTTAGTTGGTACTAAGTAGCAAGAAGAAAATTCATTTATTTACTATTCCATCTTTTAATGTATGTGTGTTTTGATTTGGCTGTGCACTAAGAAAAATCAACAAAAATGGTTATTTCAATACTATTCCAGACTGTGTGAGAGGGTAATTCTGACAGAATACTTTTGACCACTAAGAGTTGAGCACCCACAAGTCTTGGCATTATAAGGGGGTAAAAACAGAAATATACATAATCTCCTCTCTGAAGAAGATTACAGTATTCCCCCCTTATCCTTAGGGGATATGTTTCAAGACCCCCAGTGGATGCCTGAAACCACAGATAGTATCGAACCCTATATATACTATGTTTTTTTCCTGTACATACATACCTATAAAGTTTAGTTTTTAAATGAGGCACAGTAATAATAACATAATACAATAGAACAATTACAACAATATACTGTAATAAAAATTATGTGAATGTGGTCTCTTGGAGTATCTTACTGTACTGCACCACAGGTGACCGAAACCTCAGAAAGTGAAACCATGTATAAAGGGAGGCTACTGTATATCTTGTTAGAAAGTGGGCAAACACATCCAGAAAAATGATGTAAAGGGTGCTTAGCAATGAGAAAATCATGATCTGGCTTGATTGAGAGTAGTCTAGGTCGCTTCCCTTTGTATGATTTGAGGGTTTCTTATATAAAGACATGCCTCTGCCATCTGGAACAGGCAATAAAAAAGGGAAGAATCTCTAATTTGGTCCTGCAGTATATTTATTTATTTGTGGGTTTTGGCACACATAAATAGGACTAGGCCAAAAACGGCATCTGGAAAATTAAAGGGGCTACTCACAGTACATTGGATTTAGAACTTCTCTGGGTTGACCTCATAATCATGAAACTGCATTTGCTCACAGAAATGAAAAGTAGAGAATAAATGGAGGTGAAAGAAATTCACCTTGAAAGAGGAACTACCGGCCGGGCACGGTGGCTCACACCTATAATCCCAGCACTTTGGGAGGCTGAGGCGGGTCACCTGACCTCAGGATCACCTGAGGTCAGGAGTTCAAGACCAGCCTGGCCAACATGGTGAAACCCCATATCTACTAAAAATACAAAAATTAGCTGGGTGTGGTGGCCCTTGCCTGTAATCCCAGCTACTAGGGAGGCTGAGGCAGGAGGATTGCTTGAACCTGGGAGATGGAGGTTGCACTGAGCCAAGATCATGCCAGTGCACTCCAGCCTGGGCAACAGAGTGAGGCTCTGTCTCAAAAAAAAAAAAAAGAGGAACTATCTTTAGGGAATTGAATTATTTATTTATTTTTTATTTATTTTTTATTTTTTGGAGACGAAGTCTCGCTCTTGTCCCCCAGGCTGGAGTGCGATGGCACAATCTTGGCTCACTGCAACTTCCACCTCCAGGTTCAAGCAATTCTTCTGCCTCAGCTTCCCGAATAGCTGGGATTACAGGCGCCTGCCACCACACCTGGCTAATTTTTTTTGTGTTTTTTTTTTTAGTAGAGACGGGGTTTCACCATGTTGGCTAGGCTGGTCTCGAACTCCTGACCTCAGGTGATCCGCCTGCCTCGGTCTCCCAAAATGTTGGGATTACAGGCGTGAGCCACTGCACCCGGCCTATTTTATTATTTTCTTTATTTTTTTATTTTTATTTATTTATTTTTTGAGACGGAGTCTTGCTCTGTCGCCCAGGCTGAAGTGCAGTGGCGCGATCTCGGCTCACTGCAAGCTCCGCCTCCCGGGTTCGCGCCATTCCCCTGCCTCAGCCTCCGGAGCAGCTGGGACTAAAGGCACCCGCCACCGCGCCCGGCTAATTTTTTGTATTTTTTAGTAGAGACAGGGTTTCACCGTGTTAGCCAGGATGGTCTCGATCCTCTGACCTCGTGATCTGCCCTCCTCGGCCTCCCAAAATGCTGGGATTACAGGCGTGAGCCACCGCGCCCGGCCTATTTTCTTTATTTTTTAATTTTTATTTATCTATTTATTTTTTGAGACGGAGTCTCGCTCTGTCACCCAGGCTGGAGTGCCGTGGCGCAATCTCGGCTCACTGCAAGTTCCACCTCCCGGGTTCACGCCATTCTCCTGCCTCAGCCTCCTGAGTAGGTTGGGACCACAGGCGCCCACCACCACGCCTGGCTAATTTTTTGTATTTTTAGTAGAGTTGGGGTTTCACCGCGTTAGGCAGGATGGTCTCGATCTCCTGACCTTGTGATCCTCCCGCCTCGGACTCCCAAAGTGCTAGGATTACAGGTGTGAGCCACCGTACCCGGCCTATTTTATTATTTTCTTTTTGAGACGGAGTCTTGCTCTGTCCTCCAGGCTGGAATGCAATGGCGCGATCTTGGCTCACTGCAACCTCCACCTCCTAGGTTCTAGCGATTCGCCTGCCTCAGCCTCCTGAGTAGCTGGGATTACAGGCGCCTGCCACCACGTCTGGCTAATTTTTTTATTTTTTTAGTAGAGATGGGGTTTCACCATGTTGGTCAGTCTGGTCTCGAGCTCCTGACCTTAGGTGATCCACCTGCCTCGGCCTCCCAAAGTATTGGGATTACAGGCATGAGCCACCGCACCTGGCCTTTTTTTTTTTTTTAATTTTAAAGAGACTAGGCCAGGTGTGGTGGCTCACACCTATAATCCTAACACTTTGGGAGGCCAAGGCAGGAGGATCACTGTGCCCAGAAGTTTAAGACCAGCCTGGGCAACATAGTGAGATCCCCATATCTACAAAAAATAAAATTAGCTGGGCATAGTGGCATGCACCTATGATCTCATCTACTCTAGAGGCTGAGGTGGGAGGATCACTTGAACCCAGGAAGTGGTGGCTGCAGTGAGCCAAGATCACACCACCGCACTCCAGGCTGGGTGACAGAGAGACCCTCTCTCAAAATATATAAATATATAAGTAAATAGATAGATAGATTAGATAGGACAGGTCTATGTTGGCTAGGCTGGTCTTGAACTCCTGACCTCAATCCTTCCACCTCAGCCTCC
Source organism: Homo sapiens (assembly GCF_000001405.40). Taxonomy (NCBI): domain Eukaryota; kingdom Metazoa; phylum Chordata; class Mammalia; order Primates; family Hominidae; genus Homo; species Homo sapiens. The sequence goes on along the minus strand of NC_000006.12, from coordinate 41,808,825 downwards.
CGAAGTGTGCAAGCCACGGTGCCCAGCCTAAGGAATTTTAAGTTCTGGTATTGAGGGGAAAACGCCTTTCAAAGTTCCAAAGATATAAAAGTTTTCTTTTAAAATAGTTGTATAGCAGCCTGGCGTGTTGGCTCACACCTATAATCGCAGCACTTTGGGAGGCTGAGGTGGGCGGATCACGAGGTCAAGAGATCGGGACCATCCTGGTCAACATGGTGAAACCCTGTCTCTACTAAAAATACAAAAAAATTAGCTGGGCGTGGTGGCGCACGCCTTTAGTCCCAGCTACTCGGGAGGCTGAGGCAGGAGAATCGCTTGAACCCGGGAGGTGGAGGTTGCAGTGAGCTGAGACCACGCCACTGTACTCCAGCCTGGTGACAGAGCGAGACTCCATCTCAAAAAAAAAAAAAAAAAAAAAGTTGTATAGCTTCTTTCCCTTGGAGAAATTGCCCACAAGGCTTCTCTGATTATTGAATTGAAGAAGCATTATTGGGAGGGGGAAAAAAAAACATGCTTAGGATGTTCTACTGTTTTAAAAAGCATTTTCATATATATCAGCTGGAAGATTCGTTGCTTTTTTTTCTTTTGTTTCGGTAGTTTGGTTAAATATTATACCAGTAGCCACTTCACCTCTTGTCCTAAGTCAGATTTGTCCAGTTCTTTACTTACCTTTCCTTTCAGTAAAGAAGGTAAAAGTTTTCCCACCCTTACTGCAAGATGCAGATGTTCTTTTCAAAAAGACGGATGTTGGCTGGGCGCAGTGGCTCGTGCCTGTATTCCCAGCACTTTAGGAGGCTGAGGCGGGCAGATCATTTAGGTCAGTAGTTCGAGACCAGCCTGGCCAACATGGTTAAATCTCGTCTCTACTAAAAATACAAAAAAATTAGCCGGGTGTGGTGGTGCGCGCACCTGTAATCCCAGCTTCCTGGGAGGCTGAGGCAGGAGAATCGCTTGAACCAGGGAGGCAGAAGTTGCAGTGAGCTGAGACTGCACCACTACACTCCATCCTGGGTGACAGAGGGAGGCTCGACCTCAAAAAAAAAAATACATAAAAAACAAAAAATAAATTAAAAAACACATATACGGCTGTGCACGGTGGCTCATGCCTGTATTCCCAGCACTTTGGAATGCCGAGGTGGGCAGATCACCTGAGGTCAGGAGTTCGAGACCAACCTGGCCAACATGTTGAAACCCCGTCTCTACTAAAAATACAAAAATTAGCCGGGTGTGGTGGCGTGGCGTCAGTAATCCCAGATACTCGGGAGGCTGAAGTGGGAGAATCGCTTGAGCCCGGGAGGTGGAGGTTGCAATGAGCTGATATCCCGCCACTGCACTCCAGCCTGGGCGACAGAGTGACCCCGTCTCAAAACAAAACCACATATACAATGTTCCTTAGTCACGTCTCATAAAAATGATACTTTGTACTGGTGAGGACTTTCTTTCTCTTATTTCTATCTTATATCATGTTATCTCTGCTTTGAAAAACATTGCAATCGACCTAAAATTGACTTTTTATTTGAGTTTCTTCATCTCTCCCACTGGTATGTGAAACACCATAAAGTTTCAAATTTGTGCTAACCCTTCCGTAAGAGTCTTCCTTTTTAAGTAATTTAACTGTCCTGTAACTCTCTGCCTTTATACCAAATGTGCCTTTTTTTAACTTTCAAAGGAACCAATTTGGAGTTGAAAATGAATGAATCTAGAGTTGAAATATCAATTGCAAGCCTTTTACTTTTTTTTTTTTTTTTAAGGAAAATATTTTTCTAAAAGTGTTTTCTTTTTCTTTTTCTTTTTTGGGGACTCTGTCGTGCCAGGTTGAGAAAGTGGCGACTTCTATAAGACATGGATAGATGCAAACATGTAGGGCGGTTACGGCTCGCCCAGGACCACTCCATCCTGAACCCTCAGAAGTGGTGCTGCTTAGAGTGTGCCACCACCGAGTCCGTGTGGGCCTGCCTCAAGTGCTCCCACGTGGCCTGCGGCCGCTATATTGAGGACCACGCCCTGAAACACTTTGAGGAGACGGGACACCCGCTAGCCATGGAAGTCCGGGATCTCTACGTGTTCTGTTACCTGTGCAAGGACTACGTGCTCAATGATAACCCAGAGGGGGACCTGAAGCTGCTAAGAAGCTCCCTCCTGGCGGTCCGGGGCCAGAAACAGGACACGCCGGTGAGACGTGGGCGGACGCTGCGGTCCATGGCTTCGGGTGAGGACGTGGTCCTGCCGCAGCGCGCTCCTCAGGGACAGCCGCAGATGCTCACGGCTCTGTGGTACCGGCGTCAGCGCCTGCTGGCCAGGACGCTGCGGCTGTGGTTCGAGAAGAGCTCCCGGGGCCAGGCGAAGCTGGAGCAGCGGCGGCAGGAGGAGGCCCTGGAGCGCAAGAAGGAGGAGGCGCGGAGGCGGCGGCGCGAGGTGAAACGGCGGCTGCTGGAGGAGCTGGCCAGCACCCCTCCGCGCAAGAGTGCACGGCTGCTCCTGCACACGCCCCGCGACGCGGGCCCGGCTGCCTCGCGCCCCGCCGCCCTCCCTACCTCACGCAGAGTGCCCGCCGCCACACTCAAGCTGCGTCGCCAGCCGGCCATGGCCCCAGGCGTCACGGGCCTGCGCAACCTGGGCAACACCTGCTACATGAACTCCATCCTCCAGGTGCTCAGCCACCTCCAGAAGTTCCGAGAATGTTTCCTCAACCTTGACCCTTCCAAAACGGAACATCTGTTTCCCAAAGCCACCAACGGGAAGACTCAGCTTTCTGGCAAGCCAACCAACAGCTCGGCCACGGAGCTGTCCTTGAGAAATGACAGGGCCGAGGCATGCGAGCGGGAGGGCTTCTGCTGGAACGGCAGGGCCTCCATTAGTCGGAGTCTGGAGCTCATCCAGAACAAGGAGCCGAGTTCAAAGCACATTTCCCTCTGCCGTGAACTGCACACCCTCTTCCGAGTCATGTGGTCCGGGAAGTGGGCCCTAGTGTCGCCCTTCGCCATGCTCCACTCAGTGTGGAGCCTGATCCCTGCCTTCCGCGGCTACGACCAACAGGACGCGCAGGAATTTCTCTGCGAGCTGCTGCACAAGGTGCAGCAGGAACTCGAGTCTGAGGGCACCACACGCCGGATCCTCATCCCCTTCTCCCAGAGGAAGCTCACCAAACAGGTCTTAAAGGTGGTGAATACCATATTTCATGGGCAGCTGCTCAGTCAGGTATGTGTGTGCCTACCATGACAATGAGAGGCTTGTATGTTAGCTTGGGCTTCCTGTGAGTGCCTTCCCCGGGTTATTGGGCTAATAAGAGTAGCCCACATTTGCTGTGATTATGCAATTTGGAGGGTGGCCATTATACCTTTCATTCTGCTGTACATTATGATGGCCTTTTGGGGAAACTTGCCTAGTGTCTTTCCGGCCAGATTTTTAGTTTAACTTGCCACATCGCTTAATTTTCAGTGAATATCTTTAATTGTTATTGAAGATAGGGGTAATATAATATTCTCATTGTTATAATTAAGTACCCATTGTTGGTGTGCCATCCTTTGATCAATTTGAGGGAACAGAGTTTGCTTGTAACCCTGGTTCCATAATAGTTTGAAAGAGCAATCTCCCTTCTTTACATACAGGGAAGGTAGGTAGCTGGGAGCATGCTAAAGGCCAGTGCAAGCCTCCTTCCTGTTCCCCATTACCTTTTATTTCCTGCATCTTTAGCCATGTAACCTAAGCAAAAATGCTTAGACAGGGCCTTGCGAGAATATGCAGAAAGAGTATTTCTATAGTTAAAAAAAGGCAGGTGTGCCGGGCACGGTGGCTCATGCCTGTAATCCCAGCACTTCAGGAGGCCAAGGTGGGTGGATCACCTGAGGTCAGGAGTTAGAGACCAGCCTGGCCAACATGGTGAAACCCTGTCTCTACTAAAAATACAAAATTAGCCGGGCGTGGTGGCGCATGCCTGTAATCCCAGCTACTTGGGAGGCTGAGGCAGGAGAATTGCTTAAGCCCAGGAGGCGGAGGTTGCGGTGAGCCGAGATTGTGCCATTGGCACTACAGCCTGGGTGACAGATGGAGACTGTCTCAAAAAAAACCAAAAAACAAACAAAAAAACGTGGTGGGGGGTGGGTTGGTGAGCAACTTAAGAGTTTCAGGTAAAACCTCTACACTATGTGTCTTGGTTTTTAGGGCTTTGAAAGAATGATGAATGGGATGGAAAGGGAAAGTTTAATTAGGCTTTTGTTTTTGAGCATGTAAAAGGGGGAGTATTTATCAGCACTTCTTCTGTCTCCCCTCCCCTTAGGAAGAAAGGTGCACCTGGGAAGGTTATAGTGGGAATGGAGGTCTAATCACAGCACTTTGAGGCTCTGCAGACAGAGGGGTTCAGTGTAGGGCTTCTGCAAGTAACAAAGGCAAAAAGAGAGGCATGCTGGGCCCCATGGAAGGTCTGAAGTCAAGAGGAGGAATGCCAGGGTGAGGGAAGCAGGCAGGGACCTGCAAATCTGTGTCAGACTGATCCCTTGAGTGACTGCATGATAACTTGCAGTCTGTACTACTGTACTATTGAATGGTAGAGCATATTTTGGGAGAGGTGAAAAGGGGGGTTAGTATAGTCTCTATGCAGTATGGTTTTTAAATTCCAGCTAGCATCCCATAGTTAGAAATGTACATCAGAAATAATATACTCTAATTCTTTTAAAGTTATGTTTATTATTTTAATATTACTATTTTTTGAAAATTATACACTTAGTTTTGATAAAGTGTGTCTTTTATGAAGCAAGTAAAACTGTACACAGGAAGCATGGAAGTTATATAATCTGTAAATCAATCTTTTCATTCTAGGTCACATGTATATCATGCAATTACAAATCCAATACCATTGAGCCCTTTTGGGACCTATCCCTGGAATTCCCTGAACGCTATCACTGCATAGAAAAGGGGTTTGTCCCTTTGAATCAAACAGAGTGCTTGCTCACTGAGATGCTGGCCAAATTCACAGAGACAGAGGCCCTGGAAGGGAGAATCTACGCTTGTGACCAGTGTAACAGTGAGTGCTGTGTGGAGGAGGGGGCGTAGTGGGGAAGAATAATTGGAATATCAGTTTAAGGTGCTGCTTTGTCCTCTTTAGTCAAAAGTAACACTAATGATATTGAATGGTTCTAAAGCATCTTTTAAAGATCTTTTTCTCCCATTTTTCTAAAAACAAAAAACATGGACTTGTTTTAATTATGTATTAAAAAACAAAACAAGGCTGGGCGTTGTGGCTCACGCCTGTAATCCCAGCATTTTGGGAGGCCAAGGCGGACAGATCACTTGAGGTCAGGAGTTTGAGACCAGCCTGACCAACATGGTGAAACCCTGTCTCTACTAAAAATACAAAAATTAGCTGGGCATAGTGGCAGATGCCTGTAATCCCAGCTACTCGGGAGGCTGAGGCAGGAGAATCGGTTGAACCCAGGAAGCGGAGGGTGCAGTGAGCCAAGATTGCGCCATTGCACTCCAGCCTGGGCAACAGAGCAAGACTCCGTTTCAAACAACAACAACAACAACAACAAATGAAACAAAGACCTAGGAGTTGATTGACCTCCTGATTGACATTAGTTGTCATCTTGGAAGGGATTTTAAAGTTGTGGCTCCTGAAATGGGGACTCTGAGAATGTTAGTACTTAGCTTCTTAGTGCTGTGGGGCTGCTGCTTAAATTCATGAATGTAGAGTCTGACAGTTCTTACTTAATCTAAACCCAGATGGTATAGCCTTTCTGAAGGGTGCGATATCAGAAAAGCAAGCTTTTGTACTGAACTGGTAGACTTAATGTCTGTCAAAAGTGATGCTAAAGATTGGTACAGTGGAACCAAGAAAGCAAGTCTTAAGGTGCATTGCTCAGTGGCAGCTTCATGAAATATTTTCTGCATTTTGTTTTTATTGTTCACATGCCTGAAAAGTTCACATTTCAGAGAGGGTCATACGGAAGTATTTCTGTGTTGTCTGTAATTTTAAAATGGAACTCTTACATATGGTTACAGAGGCATGTTATCAGGGTCCTTCCATCTTGCCACACTAACACTTAATGCTTCTGCTAATCCAGTATGGACAGAGGAAATGCAGAACAAATATGTGGATGCTTATGTTTGGGGTTTGTGGCATATATAGATTTGGAAACTAAAAGTATAAAGTTAATGGACTGTGCAGAGACCTAGAAATCAATTTTCAGTCACATAATAGTTTAGATTACCAGTTTTGAAGAAAAAAAAAATCTTAGGCCAGGTGCAGTGGCTCACGCCTGTAATCCCAGGACTTTGGGAGACCCCAAGGTGGGCGCCACTGCACTCCAGCCTGGGTGACAGAGCGAGATGCTGTCTCAAAAAAAAAAAATAAATAAAAAATAAATAAATAAATAAATAAATAAATAAATAAATAAATAAAATAAAATAAAATAAAATAAAAAATAAAATAAAATAAAATAAAATAAATTGTGGGAAACCTGTTCCGCTCTTTGAAGAATCAGAACAAAAATCAAAAGTCAGGCTTGAGGCCAGGTGTAGTGGCTCATACCTGTAATCCCAACACTTTGGGAGGCCAAGGCAGGAGGATTGCCTGAAGCCAGGAGTTTGAGACCAGCCTGGTGGCATAGCAAGACCTCTTTTAGGGAAAATAAAAACAAAAACAAAAACCACAAAGTTATGCTCGATATCATTTTGCCATTTCAAAACAAAATTTGAAATTTTATACCTGGTTAACTATAGACTCACCTATCCTGTTCCATTTTGAGATACAGAGTCAGGTGAATCAAATTGTTTCATTAGAGTAATATTTAAAAAAAAAAAAACAGTGATTCCTGAAGCCTTTTACTTGTAAGGAACAAAAGAATATTAACAGCTTTAACTCCATCATTTTTGGATATGATAGATTAGGCAAGAAATAACTTTTGTTTATCTTTACAAGAAAGGATTGTTCTTTGGTTGTCAGATATGCCAATTTATCAGGATTTCTCTAGGCAAGTACAAATAATGGCAGAGAAGGAAACCTATGGTGAGGGGATGAGATGCATTGATCTGTTGCCTGTGAAGTTTCAAAACTGTCAGTCTTCTACCTGTCTTCCTGGCCAGCTTAATGAAATGGAGACAGAACTGATCAATCTCAGTTGAATCAGTAATTTCTTTTTCTTTGTGAATTTCATTTTAGGGAAACAAAGCCTGACTCTATATTGTCTTCATCTTAGCTCACATACTCCCTCTGCTGAAGGTGGCAGTCACTGCCAGGATTCCTAGCCAGAGCTGCAGTAATTTTCAAAAAAATGGTGAATAGGAATATAAAATAAGGCCAAGCCCCTCTGTGAATTCCATTTCTGTTCATGCCCCCACGTATTGTGACGACTACACCCTGGTAAAAGCTTCTCCTATGGCACACTCATTCTGATGCAGTCTATTATGAGAAGTTACACCTCCACATCCTATTGTCACAGAAAGCTCTGTGATACATCATCTGGCTGTGATTTGCTACCTTTCATGAGTAGTACAGACAGGACTTGGAATCAGATGCCCAGCTGCTCTTCAAACACTGAGCCCATGATATCAACAGCTCAAGACAATTAACAGGGACTGCAGTAGACCACTAATTTTCTACTCTCATCCATTTACCAATTTAATATAACAAAACAGTCATCAGTAAATGGTTACAGGAAAGGCTTCTGATAGAAACTAAGAGAACTCTATTTCCATTATTTATTTGCTGAAATTTAGAAATGCATTTCCTCAAGGCTGGGCACAGTGGGCTCACACCCATAATCCCAACACTTTGGGAGGCCAAGGTGGGAGGACTGCTTGAAGCCAGGACTTCGAGAAATGCATTTCCCCCACAGTTAGAAACAAAATTAGAGACTGATCACTGGTTCTGCTTTGGAGTAGATGAATTTAGCCTACCTGTCAGCTTTGTCCTTGCATGTCCAGCAATGTGCTTTTATCTAGGAAATATGTTTCAAAAACTACGCACAGCATAAAAATATAAAACAGTTTATTTTCTAAATGTTTGAATATGCCATAAGCAAATCATGCTAAAGAAAAAAATGTGTTTAAATACTCTATCATTTAGTAATCTTATCCTTTTTTTCCTAAGCCTGAAAGATATGCATTATTTCCTATTTTACTGGTGAGGAAACTGAGGTTCAGAGTTTTGAATAACTTATCCATTAGCACACAACTAGTTGTGAGCAGGAAGTAGAATTAGGCTTACCTAGTGCAAACAAAAAGCTTTTTAAAATCATATTGTGGGGTATCATAATTGAAGTTATAAGCCATTGTGAAGACATGGAACCTTAACATATGCTTCTACTCTATGTGCTTGCTGCTGCACGTTCCATTATATTCCATTATACGCAAAGTTGCTGATGGCAAAAATTGGAAAGATTTGAGTTGCTTGTAACAGTCGACCCAAATAACAATGACTTAAAATGAGAGATTTTATTGTTCTGTTACATAAAACAAGTCTGAAGGACATTCAGGGCCAGCATGGTGGCTGCATGGTCATCAGTGACCCAAGCTATTTCTGTTTTCTGTTTTACTATCCCATTGCAAGACTTCTGTCTTCAAAGTTACCTTTTGGTCCAGGAGGAATTCCAGCAGTTTCAGATAGTGGGAAGGCCAAAGGGATGTGCCTTACAACTGAGTCAGCCCTGTCTAAGCAGAGTCCCACACAGTCATTCCTTTCATCTTAGCCAGAACTTCCATGGCCACACCATGCAGGCGTGTGAAGCTGGGAAATGCAGTCATAAAGAGTGTCACATTGCGCCCCCCAAAAAATTGAGGTTCAGATACTGAGAAATATGGAGAATGCATATTGAATGGCAAGTCACTGTCTCTGCCATAGCTAGAAAAAACTCCTCACAACCTATGTCTTATACCTTCCCAAACCACATAGGCAAACGACGAAAATCCAATCCCAAACCCCTTGTTCTGAGTGAAGCTAGAAAGCAGTTAATGATCTACAGACTACCTCAGGTTCTCCGGCTGCACCTTAAAAGATTCAGGTGAGCTTGCTGTGGGAGTCCCAGCTGGGTGAGAGCTGTGGGAATAGCTGCTCCAAAGGCTTTGGTGAGGGCAAATGTCTTCTATGGTGTTGGGAGGGGAAGCCTGTTCACTTGAGACCTCGTGTTTTCCATGGAGATTAAACTGTTCACATCCACTAAGGCAAATTGATGTGGGAGCCCAGCAGGACTGGGCTTTTGCTCTCATGCTCCTGTGTAATTAATTATCCAGCCTGCACTGGGTGTCTGTGCTTAAAGATTTTCTAGCCTGGCTTGGACTTATGTAGATTCATCTTCAGGATGAAGTATAAAATAATCTGCAAAAGAAGCACAGGCAGGAAACTACAAAAAGACTGTTGCTTGAATTGCTTGTTTAGGGATCTCTAGGTTTAGAGTACTTCATGGAACATTAACAGCAAATAAATGGGCCAGGCGCAGTGGCTCATGACTGTAACCCTAGAACTTTGGGAGGCCAAGGTAGGCAGATTGCTTGAGCTCAGGAGTTTGAGACCAGCCTCGGCAACATGGTTAAAACCCTGTCTCTACAAAAAATGCAAAAATTAGCCAGGCATGGTGGTGTGCACCTATAGTCCCACCTACTCGGGAGGCTGAGGTGGGGGGATCACCTGAGCTCGGGAAGGTTGAAGCTGCAGTGAGCCTTTATCAATCACACCACTGCACTGCAGCCTGGGCAACAGAGTGAGACCCTGTCTGAAAATAAATAAATAAATAAATAAATAAATAAATAAATAAGTGTGAACATTGATTACCACCATTTTATTGATGGGAAAACCAAAACCAGAAGGTTAAATTTTCTCAGTTTCCTGTTTTATTAATACCTACCTCTACCTACGATTATATATGCCAGTTTTTACTAGTAACAAGCTTATATCCATGTTCTAGGTGGTCTGGCCGTAATCATCGAGAGAAGATTGGGGTCCATGTCGTCTTTGACCAGGTATTAACCATGGAACCTTACTGCTGCAGGGACATGCTCTCCTCTCTTGACAAAGAGACCTTTGCCTATGATCTCTCCGCAGTGGTCATGCATCACGGGAAAGGGTTTGGCTCAGGACACTACACAGCCTATTGCTACAACACAGAGGGAGGTGCGTGCGCTTTACTCTGTGGGGTGGGGGACACGGAAAGGGGTTGATTTGTCCACATTTTATTGTTTTCCTTTTATTTCCATCCCATGGATTACCTAGAGGGAAATTACATACATCAAAAATCCAGTGGAAAGAATTGTGAAAATTGGGTTGGGCGCCGTGGCTCACACCTGTAATCCTAGCGCTTTGGGAGGCCGCGGTGGGTGGATCACCTGAGGTCAGGAGTTCGAGACCAGCCTGGCCAACATGGTTAAACCCCGTCTCTACTAAAATAGTACAAAAATTAGCCGGGCGTGGTGGTGGGCACTGGTAATCCCAGGTACTCAAGAGGCTGAGGCAGGAGAATCGCTTGAACCTGGGAGGCAGAGGTTGCAGTGAGCCAAGATTATGCCACTGCACTTCAGCCTGGGTGACAGAGCAAGACTCTTATCTCAAAAAAAATAAAAAGAATTATGAAAGTTGGATTCAAATTTTGGGTATATTACTAAGTAACAACATATGGTTGTTCTAAGAATTAAAAGGAACTGACATGTAAAAGTGCTTAGAACAGGACCTAGGCCCTGTGCAATGGCTCACACCTGTAATTCCAACACTTTGGGAGGCAGAGGCGGGAGGATTGCTTGAGGCCGAGGGTTCAAGACTAGCCTGGGCAACATAGCGAGACTGCATCTCTACAAAAAATTTAAAAATTATCCAGGTGTAATGGTGTGCACCTGTGATCCTAGCTACTTGGGAGGCTGAGGTGGGAGAATTGCTCAAGCCCAGGAGTTTGAAGTTGCAATGAGCTATGATTTCACCACTGCATTCTAGCCTGGGCAACAGAGTGAGATCCTGACTCAAATAAATAAATAAGAAGAGCAGTTGCCTACCACATAGTACTTATTCAGTCAGTGTTAGAGGATATTGTAGTATTATCAAAAGTATTGGTTATTGATAATATTACTGTTTTGTGGTAATGCTACTTCTGCACACCCCAGTTTCCTTCTTGGTTATGCAGAAACAGTAGAACCTGTGTAACCTCAAGGAGATATTGTATGAATCTCACTAGCCGCAGCTTATAATAAAGCCGAGAACATTTACTGAGCACTTACTATGTTCTTACTACTTCCCCTGCCATGGGAAGTGTGGGGATGCAAGGGCCCCTCCAAAGGAGCTTTAGGTCCTCATCCTCCAGAGTGGAGTCTTCCAGCTACTGCACTGACTGATGGGCTGCAGATGTGTTTTCAGCTGTTCACTCTTCTTGAACTGCACAGCCCTTGGGGCAGCCAGAGCTTGTGAATAAATACTTTTTTGTTCCTTCTAAATTTTCCTTCATCACTCCCCTCTATTTCCATTTCTCCTCTCCTCCTCCTCTTCCTCCTCATCTCCCCATTGCTTAGCCTGCAGTATCGCAGCTCTTTCTAGAAGGCCCTAGTGGACAATGAAAAAGCCTGAAGAAAACAAAGATAAAAATTGCAGTCAGTCGGCTGGGTGCGGTGGCTCACGCCTGTAATCCCAGCACTCTGGGAGGCCGAGGCGGGCGGATCACGAGGTCAGGAGGTCGAGACCATCCTGGCTAACATGGTGAAGCCCCGTCTCTACTAAAAATACAAAGAATTAGCCGGGCGTGGTGGTGGGCACCTGTAGTCCCAGCTACTCGAGAGGCTGAGGCAGGAGAATGGCAGGAGAATGGCGTGAACCTGGGAGGTGGAGCTTGCAGTGAGCCGAGAACCCACCACTGCACTCCAGCCTGGGTGACAGAGCGAGACTCTGTCTCAAAAAAAAAAAAAAAAAAAAAATTGCAGTCAGTCGATAAGCAGTACCGTGGGGCTTGGTGGGGTTAAAGCCAGTGGATACACAAAAGTCTGTCAGTTTCATTTACCTGTCCCTTCCCCACCAATAATCGAGGGTTGGCTCTATTCAGAACTTCTCTGTCCCTTTCTTCATCTCCTGATTTTGCCTGCTGACTAAAATATGAATTGGGTAGTCATTTTCTCTCTTTTTCTCCTTTGGTTTCCTAGGTTTTTGGGTCCACTGCAATGACTCAAAGCTGAATGTATGCAGTGTCGAGGAAGTGTGCAAAACCCAGGCCTACATCCTTTTTTACACTCAAAGAACAGTGCAGGGCAATGCAAGAATCTCAGAAACCCATCTCCAAGCTCAGGTGCAGTCCAGCAACAATGATGAAGGCAGACCACAGACATTTTCCTGAATGGGAGGCATGTATCAAAGACTGGCTTTTGTGTATTGGTGTCCATACATCTTTCCTCTTATAGGAAATAAGGCTACTGCAGGAACAGATTACTAGGTTTGCCTTGCTGGGTCTAGAGTAGAAGGTGCCAGGTGATTCGTGTCCTGTCGTAAATTTTATAGTCTCTTTCTTTTGAATGAGTTTGGGAGTTCCCTCCTTTCCTAAAAACAAAAGAAGTAACTTCTATGAAGATCCTTTCATCAGTTGCTTCTGAATATAGAGGGATCTGGGTGGAGGAAAGCGGGGCGGGGGGGTAAATCAATCATATCCACACAGGAGAGCAGCCATGTTTTCTCTCCATGATGTGATTCCCCTGCTAATCAGGACCTCCTTGCAGCACCAGAAGAACCCTCCGGATGTGAGCAGTCCTGGACAGAGCACGTGAGGAGGGGCCCTGGGCTAGCAGTTTGCTGGATGGGATTGGCTCCAAGATGGGAGATGAAGTCTAAAGGGTTTATTCCCACAAAGGAAGTAACCTTCAAGGGTTTAAAACAAACTTCCTTTTTTGGGGATAGCAGCTGAAGAGTGGAGTGAGATGCATGGAACAAATTTCCCCATGCAAAGTGGGATGGTTTTCATATGTCATACCCTCCCTACTTGCTGCTGTCATATAATCATTCCATACTTCTGAGACTGGCATGAATACCCCTTCATTCTAAAGAAGGGGCAGGTCATATAAAGAAGCAATAGACTAGCACATGTTCCATGCTGAGCCAAAGGACACTCCTGGCTATCTCAGTTCTGTAGCAGATCCCTGGTTCAGGTCTAGGGCAAGCACATGGTTTGGTTTAAATTGATTCTTAGGTTTTCTCAGAACTCAATTGAGGGTGGGCAGAGATAGCTGATGCTCCAGGGCTTATTGAAGGCCTGTCACCCGTTCTCACTTCAGTGCGGCATGCAGCTTCTTAGCCTGCAGCTTCTTTCTTGCTCCTGGAGAGCTAGAACATTCATGTTCACAGGGTTTGGGAGCTTTTGGTTCTCTAGGGTATGTTAACTGCTTAGGAGTCCACCTCGTACATATCTGAAGAGTTGATTACCAATGGCCTTGACCTGTTTCCTCCCAAATCTGATAATCCCTACTGTTGCTTTACCCCCCATACTCAGTCCATCAGAGAAAAAAACAAGAGTGCCCCGTCCTTTCCCCCAGTGCTAGTAAAATACATCTTCCTTTTTAAATTGGGTCAGTTTCTAAACAGAATGAAATTGCCCAGATAAAAACCCTTGTCCCCATCAGGCACCACTTCATTCTTAGTTCTTCACTTAGATTTGCTGGTGAAAGTGAATGCAAACCCTAACTTTTGTTGCTGTGGTCACTGCAGTGAGCCTCACTCAACCTGTCACTATGAATGCTCATCTTTTGACTGAGTATATCATATTAATGTTTGAATTCAGGTAGAAGTACAGTTGTCACTTGAAGGGAGTAGATGTGGAAGGGCGTTCGGGGAGGAGTGGGAAGTGGGGAAAGCCAGGCTAAAGAATGAGGGTTATAGCTTTAGCAATGTTGATGAGCCACATTTCCCACACAGATCTGTAGCATTTGCTGTTGACCTCTTTTGAGATGAACTCTCCCATAGGCCCTGCCAGGCAGCACTGAGACATGGAGGAAATTCAGACAAAAAATGGCTCACCCTGATAGGGAAGGAGTGACTATATTTTAAATTAAACTTGCTTTTTCCAACACTGTGAGGTTTCTGTAATATTTAGCTTTTATTTGGAAGCGATAGCGTATGGCATTTTTTATGCTGTTTGGTTTATATTGTCTACTGCAGGCTTCTTTGTATAAGCTTTGCCTGGGCTCACCCTCTCCTGGACACTGTTTTAAAGTGTCACCGCTGTCCATGCTGCCAGAGGCTCTGATGTGAAGCTGTACTCTCAAGATCCACGTTTTTAAGTCGGCATGATTAGTAATGACTTTTTGTGGCAATAGAAAAGCCCATTAACTCAAAAAAACCAAGGAGAGTAAAAAGGAAAGGAAACTATGAATCGTGCCTCATCTTTCATTGAATCCTATATTTATTATTCTAGAAAAAAAGAACTTACAAGATAGAGAAGAACTAATAGAGCATCTACTTTACCCCTCAGGCTGTCCAGTGGGGATAATTATTAATAAACATTTAATGGAAAATTCAAAGATCTTCCAATTTAATTTTTAAAAATAGTTTTATACCAAATATTATAAGGATTTATTAAGCAGATTAAGGACTTTGTGAAATAAGTGCTTAACTTAGCTGAGCACGCATATATCAAAGTAATAAAAGAAACTAACATCAGAGTCTCCACTGAGCTACACATTTGTGAAAGGTGCCCACTGCAGTTACAGACACCTCAGGTACCCAGAGGCGGCAGCACTGGACACTTAGGACGTTAGTATTTAAGGAGATTTTTATTAAAGAAGAGTTCCCTGCTGCATAAGCCAATGGCTATTGTGAGGGAAATGTCCCTTTGCCTTTAATTTATTTACGTACTGGGTATAGATGAATGTCTCAGTTGCATCTGAAATTGAATCATTCTAAAGAGAAGAAAATAAGAACCAGGTAAAAACTGACTAGATGCTGCCAAATCAAACCCAAGGTCTCCTAACCGAACCTTAATGGGCCTGCTTCTCTCCCAGGGCAAGTAGTTAAGAGTCTCATTCCAGGAACCCTTTGTAGTTAGTTGGCTGGCATGTTTACTTGCTGCTGTAGCCAGCCAAGATGAGTGCACCTAGGCCCTCAAAAAGGATTTTTTTTTACCTCAATCTAGCCTGACCCTCATATCTGTGGTTGCCTCTGAGACGAACATCCATGCTAGTATAAAAATAGTTAGGAATGCCCTTGGCAGAACTGAAGCTCTTATTAAATGGTGGACAGAGCTCTTGCCAGCTTTGATCCAGCCCCTCAGTCTCGGAGTTATGGGGCAGGGTTGGGGGGCAGTGCTACACTGTAAAGAATTTCCAGGCTGGGCGCGGTGGCTCATGCCTGTAATCCCAGCACTTTGGGAGGCCGAGGAGGGCGGATCACAAGGTCAAGAGATTGAGATCATCCTGGCCAACATGGTGAAACTCCGTCTCTACTAAAAATACAAAAATTAGCTGGGCATGGTGGCACGTGCCTGTAGTCCCAGCTACTTGGGAGGCTGAGGCAGGAGAATCGCTGGAACCCAGGAGGCAGAAGGGGCAGTGAGCCGAGATCGTGCCACTGCACTCCAGCCTGGCGACAGAGCGAGACTCTGTCTTAAAAAAAAAACAAAAACAAAAACAAAAAAAAAAAAAGAATTTCCAGATGTCTCTTAAAATGTCATGAATAAAATTGGAAACTGTAGAAGTGTTAATGTGTCCTATGGACTCAATAGCAGAGTTTATTTTTGTTTTTAATGGCAAGGCTTCTAGAGTCAATGATTGTATGAGTTTGCTACTCTGGCTGTGCTTACAGCTTCATCCAAGTACAAGGGAAGAACCAATGAGGTGGATTGGCTGACAGTGGGGCATGCCCCAGCATAAGCCCTAGAGAGGTCGACAGTAGTGCAGAATGAAAACTTGGTCGGGGATGGCGGGTGGTGGGTGGGAGGAGGGTGGGCTGGCCGGGAGGGAGAAATGGAGTTTGTTCTACTTACTGATAAAGCTTTGTGAACTAATTTTATACAATTCATAAAATTTGGTGCCTTGTACTCAATTACGGTTTGCATGGAATTGAAAAGATTAAGGGAAAGGATTTCTTCTTGTCATTTCAAGTGGCAAATGGGTCTGTGTAGTGTTTAAAGGACATCTGGTATCACAGACTTTTAAAAAGCATTTCATGTCTCTTGTGTGTGAATGCAAATTATTCTTACCAGCAAGTTCTGAAATTATGTTACAATGTCCAAATTCTTTGTATTTGTGACTGTTCATCAAATGGCTGCTTTTCAAGGCAGACTGTGTACTCCATTGTTTTTCACTTCCCTTGTCATGTTCCATACATTGACTTGGGCCTTTTTAAATCAGGCTGGGGGGCTACCCCTTCTTAAATGAATACTATATCCCTATCTGAGGTTACCTCTTGTGAGTGGAAGGGTTGCTTTCCCAGGTGGTTGGGAGAGCACAAATGTTGAGAAAAGGCCTTTTAGTCTTTATCAAAACAATGACTAATGCTGGGCAACATATAGCAGAAGTCAAACAAAAATGATTCCTCCTGAAATGGTACCTTCATTGGTTCTGATGTTCTTTTGCAAAAAATGTCCGGAAGCAGTATAGAAAACCCCCTGTATGTGAACCTTAGATTGTAAGGCAAGCCAGTGCACTGTGTAATATGCAAAGGGAGTGGTGCAAAAGAGAAGGCACCCGTCCCAGCTCTCCATGCCCTTTCCCTGGCAGGCGCTGACTGAGATGGCGCTGAGTGAATGTGGAAGGTGCTAAGACCCAGTCTCTTCACTGCAGGGCTGTTTACAGCCAGTTTCTTTTACTCTGACCTTAAGGTTTCCACTGAGCTCATGAAACTTCAACATATGGTGTTTAAAAGTTTCCCACTCAAATGCACACTTGAAAATTGGGTCCCTCAGCCTCATTACTGAACTAAATAAGTGAAGAAGTTGTATCTTTGGGGTAAAACTTTCCAGGGCCACTTAATTTTTTAACCAGTTAAGTACGCATCTTCCTGGTGGTTCAGACTTTTTAAGTCAGTGCTAAAGCTGAAAAGCGCCTTCTAAATATGACTGTGAGTTTAGTTTGTATCTTACATTTAGTAACTGTTCTGTTGGGCCAGGACTATGACTTTAATTACTATGTACTTATTCATCCCACACTCTGCACTAAATACACCATAGCTACTATAGCATTGTGGCAGGCACTCATTTTTGTGGACTCATTCCATACTTCTGCTGGCATATTTCGTTTAAAATCTAGCTAAAGATTTTCATAGTACTGTGTTAACTAGCCAGGGCTGAAAAGTGTGACAGGATATCAAATTGACTTTCCTTGGGGAAAATGTTGCTTTGGCAATAGTGAAGTCCAACTCCTTCATTTACAGAATTAGTGATTACTCATCAATTTTTGAAAGTTGTAGATTAAGTAGTTTTATTTACTAAATTCTTAACCACTTTGAAGATTTAAGCCAGTTGAAATGAAACATTGGCTGGATGCAGTTGGCTAGCACCTGTAATCCCAACACTTTGGGAGGCCAAGGTGGGAGGATTGCTTGAGGCCAGGAGCTCAAGACCAGCCTGGGAAACATAGATTTGAAATCTTTTCAAAAATGTATAAAAATTTAATAAATAAATAAATGAATCCTTACTCAACCATAATTATGGCTTTAAAACCCAACCAACAGTAAACACTTACTTGAAGCCAAAACAGTAAATTTTGAATGAAATTTGAATTATGCTTTTGGAAGCTGCCATGTCTTAATTCTTGCTGGATTTTGATTTTCAATTTTGGAAGTTTTTATCAAAACTGTCCAGTCATGAGTATATCAGGTAGCAGCCTTTAAGGATCTAAGTTTCATTCCTATAAAGAACAGGAGGTGCTGGTATTTCTTGTCTTAGCAAGTGATCTGATGCAGGTCTAAATGGGGGTTAGCATCTATACTATGGCTTAAAAGTTTCCTCCTTGGTCACCATTTGGGAGGTGATGGCTTCAAAGCTAAGCTTTGCTCTCATGTGACCCTTCTTTATCTTAATACCCAATAAGATATAAACCTCTCAGAGTCAACCCAGTGTAGACTCAAAGGGTCTTAGCTTCATCTATCAGATAAGATCTATCTGATTTATACAAAGAATGGTGCTGTTTTTATATACATACTAAAAAAATCTAATTCTCAAACAATTTTCTTAATATTTATGCCAGCAAGGTCAGGAAAGACTATTTTGTCCTGTTTAACTTTAGTAGTGAACAAACTGCTAGAGACATCTGTCATCCTTAACAGGCCACTGTGGTCCTTATATACTGACCCTCCTTTCCAATTAACGTCCTTTAATCCCATACTAGTTCCATAAGAGACTTGGCACATAAAAGCAGTATTTTTTTTAATGCCTAGTAAACTGGCCAGAAAAAAATATTGCCATGGTGGACCTGTTTCTATCCACCTCTTTCTATGGCTATATAAGTCTATACATGCCAGTTCCGTACATACTCCATTTCCAAAGAGCCCCCAAACCCTGGACAGTAGCACTACCATGAATTTTAGGGTCACAAAACATTTCCTTCTGAAGGAAGCAGCTGCCTCAGCAGTGTCACTTTAGTGACCACTGCCCAGGCTTACTTCACTTTGCCTCCCCCTACACATCACTGCCCTCTTTCTGCCACCAAACCTCACTATTCCAGCAATGATGCCTCCCTGGTGTCTGGAAAACCCATCTGGTGCACTAAAATGCTATGCAACACCAAATGGCTTCTTCCCCTAATATTGCTCAACAATGTAAATTCTTCAAGAATAAACTTCATGCTAGGTTAACATCAATGTATGGTTACAGCTTCCTTTTTTTTTTTTCCCTTTTAAAATGAAGCAAACCACCTCCATTAAAATCCATGTTTTGGGGCTTGTTTTTGTCTCTCAAGTGTGAAATATAAATCATGTTTTTATGATTTTTGTAAATCTTTTTACACCTTGTTTTTGTAAGCAAAAGTTTCTTATTAAAAGAATAAAATGACTGCCTTTGTGTGCGGTATTTATTTCAAATGTTTTTTAAAACAGCACTGTTATTTCTCAGGACAAGAGCAAAAATCACCCCCTGCAGAAGCTTGGGAACTATGTACAGAACTTTACAGAATAGAGGCAATACTTTAGCTTAAGCCTGTCTGCTGACCAGAGAATGGAATTCTGCGTGGACTCAAGGAACAAAAGGAAACTAGGCAGGGAAGGGGAAGAAAAGTGCCCATCTGAATCAAACTTCAGCTGCCATCAGGGCACATCTTGTGGTGGTCACAGATTGTAGGCTGTTTTTTGGAAGATTCGGGTTCAGCACAGGATTCCATTTGTCTGCAATCAGATGATAAGACGACAGGTGGCATTAGAACTGTAAAAGTATGGGAGGGAAACTGGTAAGAGATACTTAAATCCCTTTCAACATCTGAAAACACATTTAACTAGGAATAGTTAAGGGTTTTACATCACATTCTTTTGTACATTTCATGAATACTTGACAGAAAACATTGCTTCACCCAGTCTCTAGGTCTCCTAAGACACGCATGGGTGTAGTTCAGTGCTTACCTACTTGGCTACACCCCTGGCTGAGGTGCCATGAGGTCAATGTCACTCAAGTTCCTGGCCAGCCAAACTCCCGCAGCAAAGAGTCCCAAATTTAGTATCAAGTTCCTGGAAAAACAATGTGTTTTATTAACCCTGTGGTCACTGAGTCAGTTGTACAGTTAACGAAATGTACTGGGGGGAAAGGCTTCCATCACCACCTTCCCGAGGCGTTGATACGTGGTTGTGACGGCAGGTTGCTCAAGACCCACGTGGGAATTTGGAGTTCATTTTTGTGCCTAGTAAGTGTAAGGTCAGGCTGGGCGCGGTGGTTCACGCCTGTAATCCCAGCACTTTGGAAGGCCAAGGCAGGCGGATCACGAAGTCAGGAGCTCGAGACCAGCCTGGCCAACATGGTGAAACCCCGTCTCTACTAAAAATACAAAAATTAGCTGGGCGTGGTGGTGCGCGCCTGTAATCCCAGCTACTGGGGAGGCTGAGGCAGGAAAATCGCTTGAACCCGGGAGGCGGAGGCTGCAGTGAGCTGAGGTCCGCCACTACACTCCAGCCTGGGCGACAGAGCGAGGCTGTCTCAAAAAGAAATAAATGTGGCCGGGCGCGGTGGCTCACGCCTGTAATCCCAGCACTTTGGGAGGCAGAGTCGGGTGGATCGAGAAGTCAGGAGTTTGAGACCAGCCTGCCCAAGATGGTGAAACCCCGTCTCTACTAAAAATACAAAAATTAGCTGGGCGTGGTGGCGCGCGCTTGTAATCCCAGCTACTGGGGAGGCTGAGGCAGGAGAATCGCTTGAACCCGGGAGGCAGAAGGGGCAGTGAGCCGAGATTGCGCCTCTGCACTCCAGCCTGGGCGACAGAGTGAGACTCCGTCTCAAAAAAAAAAAAAAAAAAAAAAAAAAAGGCCGGGCGTGGTGGCTCACGCCTGTAATCCCAGCACTTTGGGAGGCCGAGGCGGGCGGATCACGAGGTCAGGAGATCGAGACCATCCTGGATAACACGGTGAAACCCCGTCTCTACTAAAAATACAAAAAATTAGCAGGGCGTGGTGGCGGGCGGCCGTAGTCCCAGCTACTCGGGAGGCTGAGGCAGGAGAATGGCGTGAACCCGGGAGGCGGAGCTTGCAGTGAGCCGAGATCGCGCCACTGCACTCCAGCCTGGGCAACAGAGTGAGACTCCGTCTCAAAAAAAAAAAAAAAACAAAAAAGAAATGTAAGATCAAACGCAAAGCCCAGCTAAAGCACTAGTCCAGGGCCGAAAAAGCCTGTTTACGTGCTAGCACTTCTTCCCTTGATCAGGGTGACATTACAGATACAGCCACATGACAGAAAGATCGCTTTTGCCACACGGGAACTCTCCTGGCCAGGGATCTCAGTGAGGCACAGCCAGAGCTACGAAGACGCCACAATGCTGGTAATGTTAAAAAACAAAAACAAAAAACCCTGAGGCGCCAGCCTCGCAAGAAAGGGGAAATACGGATTTAAGGGCCAGAAAAGGACCAAGTTCCTCGGGCTCGGTTACCTCCGGAAGTCATTCCTATCAGTGGCAAAGCGGTAGACGCCCCGAAGCCAATCTCCCACGTTGTCCGGTATTTCGGGAGTTTCATTAGCCGAGCCAGCAGCGCTCACCGGGACAGTGCTGGAAGCCATAGTGGAAAGCTTCGCATGGGCCTCGGTGGAGGAACCGTATCGGCGTCGCCGGTGAATGACGCACCTCCGGTCTGGCACTTCCGGCTGCTACCGGCCGGCAGTGGGGGCGCTGTTCGCTTAGTCCGACATCCGGAAGAGGGACGGCCCTCTGCTGCGCCTCCACGAACTCTAGGAGGGGAGGAGCGCGGCCCGGTTCTACGGTCCCCTGCTCCCGGTCCCACCTCCGGCTCTCCAGCCGGTAACTGTCACGCGTGCTGTGATCATTTAATTGGCTTGGGAGGAGGATGGTGGGGACGGGGCTGTCCCAGCCTGTGGAGGTGGGGGTAGGGGCTATCTCAGCAGGGGAAGCGTAGCTTTGGGGAATGGGTTTTGCCAAGAAAGTCTCCGCCAAAAGTCTTAGAACGCGCAGTACTGAAGGGGGCGCACTCCAAACTTGTCACCTCGCCGCCTCTTGCGGGCGTGCGCCTGACTGCGTCTCAGTCTAGGATTGTTAGGGGGAGGCTAGCCTTGTTCTCCCGCTTTACAGACCCCTTTCCTCCCACTCACATCCCCTCTCTGAGCTGCGCCACTAGCACATGGTGCAGTGCGTCTTAGAGGCGTTGCTGTCCTCTGCTTGGAGGCTTCCGGGGGTCTTCCAGGACTGGGGAAGGCGCTCGCCTAAGAAAAATCCTTCAGGTTCCGAGTCAGAGGAGGAGGAGCAGGTGGAGAAAGGGGTGTCCTTGGGATCACGAATAGTCTCCAGGCGGCATTGCTCCTGCCCTTTGGGTGCCTCCGCTTTGTCCCCAGGTCGGTTCTCCTGCTGGGGACTGGATCCAGGCAGCCCCCTCTGAGTTTGCAGGCTGGAACCGCCGGCAGCAGCGAGGAGTGTTCGGGAGAGGGTTGCAGAGTTCACCGAGGTTTGGTCCCTTCCTTCAGTTCGGTCGAGTCCAGTCTCCCCTGTTCCGGGCCGGGTCGGAAACGCTGGTCTCAGAGCCGCGGAGCTGGACCTACACCGCAGCTAGTGGGGGTGAGGCCCAGCCTCCCGCCCCGCCCAGCCCCTGGGCCGTGCGCGCCGCCGCCGCCGCCGAGAGTCCTCGCCAGGGTCCCCCGCCTCCACCAGAGGGCGTCCGCCTCCCGCGCCTGGGAGGGAGTCTGGCGCCGCAACCCCGACCGCGGCGCGGGGTGGGTTCGGGCGGCCCTTGGAACGCTCCGGCCAGGGATGCGCGGTGAGAGCTGCGGGCCCCGAGGCTTGGGTCTGGGGGGTGCGGTGGGGGCGCTCCTGGAGGGACGGGACGGCGTGGGACCGGGGCGAGGGTCCCAGCCCGGGAGAACCCCCACAGCCCAGCCCAAGCTCCCTCCCGCTTTGCTCTGCATCCTCTCCCTTACCAAGGAATGCCTGCCCTTCCAGTGCCCCGGCCCAGCTCGAGCCTGCATCCGAGTAGCGGTTCTCGAAGCAGCTGGGGCAGCAGGGGCTTCCCCCAGGCAGGGCATAACGTCCCCCGCCCAGAGGCCCGGCGCAGTCCTGGCAACAGAAGTGGTTCTCATGCCAGCGCTGTCCCTCCGCCTCGGTGCAGCGCCAGGAGAAGATCAGCTGGGAGAGGGAGAGGGAGAGGGGAACGTTTCATTCATTCATTCCCTCATTCATTCATCCAGTAACCACGCCTTTTACCCAGTTAACGCTAAAGCACGTCTGCACACATTCCCATTTAATTCACTCAGCCACTTTTGGACGCAGGGAGGACTGATTGGCTTAGCCAGGATCCCAGCTAGCAAGTGGGACAATCCCCAGTGCGACCTGGGGGTCTGGACTCCCAACCCAGGGCTCCAGGCTTCCTTTTATGCTGACATCAAGGGAATTTCTAGCATGATGAGGCACAGCACTGGGCACTCGGCATCTACTGAGATGAGCATGTGTCCAAGACTCCCTGCTCTAGAGAAATTCGATGAGTCCAGGAACATTTGAGGGACTCTGCAGTGGGGGAGGCCAGAGAGAAGGGCACTGGGTCCTACATGCCCAGAGCTCAAGTCAGAACACAGGGAACTTGGTAGTCCCAGGCTGGTTCCTACTTCTCCCCACTCCCTGATACTGGGAGAAACTGTGGCCCAGGAGAGTGTCCCTTTGTATCCTGCCACTCTGGACTCTGGGCAGACCCCCAGTTCCTCCCCTCCAGGCTGTACCTGGTCACAAGCCGGGCAGCGCGGGCGCAGCAACTCTGCATGATGACGGCCGCAGTAGAGTTGTCCATCATGGTAGAAGTAGATGAGGTTTATCAGGGCCTGGCCACAGGCCTGGCAGGCAAAGCAAGGCTGGTGCCAGCAGCGCTGTTCCCCTGCCCGGGCTGCAAACACTCCGTACTCCCCTGGCTTCAGCAGCTCCCTACACTGTCAGAGGGGAGGTGCTGAGGTGGTCGGAGTAAGCACTACCATCCTAACTTCCCTCCTTGCTCTTGCAATCCGATCCCAACCTGTTCTCGCCATACCCTAGCAAGCCCACATCCACTGCAACCTATACCAAGAGCTTGCAAACTTGGTTTCTGTTTTTCCTGTTTCCCAACCAGAATCCCAGAAGCTAGCCCAGCCCCTTCTGCAGAAATGAGAGGGCAAAGAATAGAGGAAGGGGAATTTGGGGGGAGGGGTGCTACATACCTTCTCACAGGTGTGTCCTTCAAGCTTGGGAAGTACCAGGCGGGCTACCCCCTGTCCCAGGGCTTCCTGCTTCCGCCTGGCACAGAAGAGCTGCAGCTCGGCCCGCTCCTCCTCCCCAAGGGCCAGGCAGTAGCGCTCCTGCAGAAACAGTCCTCTACAATTACTGGGAGAGCTCCAGCAGAAAACATTGAGCATTGGTTGGAGGAAAAAGGGCTTGGCTGCTGGGTCAGAGAAAGGTTGTAGAACCTCAGGGAGATGCCAGAGATAATGGCATAGAAGAGGAAATGGAAAAGGAAAGGAGCTCAAGAAAGCCACCTCAGTCTCACCCTGCCCCACTAGGAATGTCATCAATCAGGTCCTGACAGGCCCACAGCACTTAGCCCTGTCACCATTAGGTCCTTGTTCCCAATGAGCTAAGAGCTCAGTATCACTTCCCATTCTTGCATTTCCTCAAATTATTTCATATACTCCTGTCTTGCCTCCCCAATTGAATTGTAAGCCTTTAGGCTGGACACATGTAGACCCTCAATAAATACGTAACAACCATACTCTCTACATTTGTACATTCCATTATCCGTTTCAAAAGTCGTTCATGTCCATTTTCTCATTTGCTCTTGAACTAAGCATTGTGGTGGGCAGAGCAGATGTTATTGCACCTGCTATTGTTATTGCCAATGTGAAAACTCAGGCAGGGGGAGAATGACGCCCCAACCAGTGCCATAGCTGGGCATTAAATCCACATCCCCTAACTTCTGGACTGAGGTTCTTCCCACAGTAAGAAAAGAGATGAGGGAGGGAAAGGCAAGAGAGGGAAGATGGGGAGAGGAGACCCACATCAATGTCCTGCGGAGGGAGTTGCTGCAGGAGGGTCTGAAGTCCAGTCCAGTTGGGGGCTTGGTTGGTGTCCAGGCAAAGGGAACCCAAGCTCAGAACTGCAGGACCCTGAGGAGACATGGAAGAAGGGGAGGAGTGAAACTAGGTTTTTCTTTCCTTTCTCCTTCTTTCCCCCTCATCATTGCCACCTCTTCTCCAATCTAGAGCAGCTTCTAAGCATGCCCTCCATTTGGGAGGGTCCTCCTTGCAGATCCTCACTGAGTGCAAGGATAGCTGACTGATGCCTGCATGTGTGGTCTTCCTTGAGGGAGGCTGGGGAGGCCCCACACCCCAAAACAGCTTCCCTTCTTATGCTTTCCCTTCTTAACCCCCTTCACGCCTTGGGGCCAAAGCCCCTAGAGTCTGGTTTGACAATACAGACCCCCTAGGAGAGATAATGAATACTCATGTGAATGAGTTTAAAGTCAAAACCCCATGTTCTAAGCAGGTGCAGAGACAGGAATTCCTGAAAAGAGAAAAAGGCAACAAGAGATTAGGCACGAAGTCAAACTACCTCCGGGTTGGTGGAAAAGGGTGGCCACTCCACAGGATAGAGGACATGTTGGTCTCAGAGGAAGGGCACGACTCTACTACCTGAGCATGGGTATCCTCAGGGTCCTCCCCCGGCAGGTGGCCTGAGTCACTGTCTGAGTTGGCTGGTGGACCTGGATCCTGGGGCTTGGGGCTGTCTTCTTGGTGGGGCCAGCCAGAGTTCTGCACTGACATTTGTGGCAAAGCCTACCCCAAAACAATAAGAACACCTCCATGTATTAGGCCGTTACAATGTGCTAGGAAGTGTTAAGTGCTTTATAGATATTATTTCCCTCAGTCCTCCCAACACCCAAACGACTTAGGTAGCATTATCCCCATCTTACAGATGGCCCAACTGAGGATCAGACCTTGAGTAGCATGCCCAAGGTCAAACAGCTAGTAAGTGGCAGAGCCAGGACTTGAGGTCAGGTCTTTTGGTCCAGAATTTCTGAAGTTCAAATTCTGGGGTCTCCCAAGATCAGGATGGAGGTAAGAGGAGGCCCATGGTAGAAGGAGAGGGCACTTTGCCTTTCTGGTGGGCCTTTGGACACTCTCTCCTTACCTCATCAGCCTTAACTTCCACCGTTTCTCACCATGCACCCACAGCCCCAGTGAGCCTCCTTGTTCACAACTTCCTACATGGGCCCAGGTTTTCCAGCTATATAGGCTTGGGCCTCTGGTTAAAGGATCCCCTTACTAGGAAGCCCTTCTCAGCCTCTGTGACCACACCAGCTCTCCCTTCCCTGAGCTCCTGAAGCAAGCAGTGCCCCAAGATTTAGCACCTAATGTTTTTCTCTTTGCTCCCTGCATCTCTCTCGGCTCCTAATCTAGTCTATAAGTTCCTCAAAGACAGAGGAACACCTTGCACTTTTATATATAGCAGCAATTGCATTGGATAATCTAAGTTCATCTCTTCAGCTTTCCTCTCGGCAGCTCCTGATATGACCATAATATCTTGGGGGTAAGAAGTGACTATTGGCTGGGCACGGTGGCTCACGCCTGTAATCCCAGCACTCCGGGAGGCCGAGACAAGCGGATCACGAGGTCAGGAGATCGAGACCATCCTGGCTAACACGGTGTAAACCTCCTCTCTACTAAAAATATTAAAAAAATTAGCCGGGCGTGGTGGCGGGCGCCTATAGTCCCAGCTACTCCGGAGGCTGAGGCAGGAGAATGGTGTGAACCCGGGAGGTGGAGCTTGCAGTGAGCCAAGATCGCGCCACTGCACTCCAGCCTGGGCGACAGAGCAAGACTCCGTCTCAAAAAAAAAAAAAAAAAAAAAGAAGAAGTGACCATTGGCTGGGCACAGTGGCTTATGCCTGTAATCCCAGCACTTTGGGAGGCTGAGGCAGGCAGATCACCTGAGGTCAGTGGTTCGAGACCATCCTGGCCAACATGGGGAAACCCCATCTCTACTACAAATACAAAAATAAGCTGGGCGTGGTAATGTGTGCCTGTAATCCCAGCTACTCCAGAGGCTGAGGCAGGAGAATCGCTCCAACCTACCTGGAAGGCAGAGGTGGCAGTGAGCTGAGATCATGCCACTGCACTCCAGCCTGGGCAACAGAGTGAGACTCCGTCTCAAAAAAAAAAAAAAAAAAGCGACTATTAATGTAGAGAAGAGATGAGCCCCGCCCTCAAGGAGCTCATAGTGGGTAAGACAAAGATGAAACCAGGTAGAATGGGATCAATCAGAGCTCGGGACAGACATACAAAAACCCTGGAGAAAAAAATAACCAGAGCAAACTTTTTAATAATATTTACTCTGTGCCAAGGACTCTTCTAGAATATTACATAATATAGTCCATCCTCACAATAATCTTATGAGGTAATCTCTTTCATTCCACTTGACAGTTGAAACAAGTTAATTAACTTGCCCAAGATCATACCAGAGGCTAAGGGAAGCCTTAGGGGGACCTGGCTTCTGAGAGCTGGGATAGATTCTGAAAGTAGCTGGGCACAGGAGGGTCATCATCAAATCCCTGGCCTCTAAGACTGGGCCAGGGATTCGTACTGGGGTTGAGGTGAGGGTTTGGACTGTAACAGTTAATATTGCTTCCCAGCACTGAACCCTCCTCAGCACCGCCCCTCCACTCCCACTTCAAATGTCCTGTGCCACCCTTCCCTCCTTCCTGGCTTCACACCCACCTGCTTCCTTCCTCTTCTGTCCTTCAGGTCAGGTTTCCTGTGGAAGGTGGCCAGGATGGGCTGTTCACACCAGGAGTAGCCACTAACAGCACTGCCCCTGCTCCAGGCAGCAAGAAAGGAGGGGGCGTCTGGGGCCCCAGGAGGGGACTTGCACCCTCTTCCATTTTGGCTCTAGTTTGCATAGAATTGTCCAACACAGAAACAACACTCAGAAATCAGGCCTCTATTCCTCACCCTTCCAATCTCCCCAAAGGCAGCCAAACTCCACCTCCACCTAGCACTGGAACACCCTTACTAACAGGCCAGCTGGATTCCTTCCATAATTCCCTTCCCCCTCCCACCTCAGATAAGGGACAGAGCTGAACCCCTTGTCTTGCCTCCGTGCAGAGCCTCCGTGCAAGAGGGCTCAGGAGCTGGACATCCCCAACACCCGCTGCCCTGAAGGGCAGAGCCCGAGAGGACTTAGGGCTTGGGGAGGTGGAGGGATGGGAAGATTTCTGGGGACAGTGGGAGGGAGAAGGAAGGGGAGTGCCCAGTCCCGCCAACTGCCCTCTCGATAGATCCCCAGAGTTTTTCTGGAACTTGGCGGGCCCGCCTCCGGGGCTGGGACGCGGTGTTTCCCGAGTCCGCTGGGGTTCCCGGTCTGGCTGCTGGGATTTTAGGGGAGGGGACCAGGACTCCGCTGGGGTCTCACCCTCGCTGTGCGTCGCTGTCCGGGCAGTTCTGGACCGACTCTGCCGTCAGGCCCCTCACCCGGTCCCCACCCCAAGGCTTCAGCGCCCGCCCCCGTCCGCCCCCGCCCGCCCTAATAGCGCGGCCCTTCCTCTCCCACGCCCCAGCGGCCCCCGCCCGCCCCTCCCCGGCTGGTGGAGAGGGGCGGCTCAGGGAGGGGCCTGGAGCTGCAGATTGGGGGGAGGAAAAAAAAAAGGAAAACAAAACCACATTTATGGGATCTCAGGGTGGAAATGTGCGGGCTCCATGGCCTCTGCCATGCAGGTGCAAGGGCTCTCTGGCTCGGACTGCGCCCGGCAGGCATCCAGCAGACGCCGGGAGCCGCGTTTACGCTGGGTTTTCAACCATTCGCTGAATGGAAACGCCTCGCCGGGCCCGCAGCCCTGTCTCTCCGCAGTTCCCAGGTCTCCCCAAACTCTCCCTGTGGTCTCCCAGCCCCGCTCCTCCGCGTGTTTCCCTTCAGTTCTCTCCCCCTTGTCCCCAGTGGTCCCCCTGGCCCCTTCCCCTCCCCTCAACCCTCTTCCAGGTTCCATCGTCTTGCCCTTCTCCTTTCAGGTCCCTTCAGACCCTCTCCCCTTCCCTTCGTTTCTCGCCCAACCCTCCGTCCCCTTTCCGCTCCCCGGACCACCCCCAACTTTGGTGTCCTCAGCCCCGCCTCCGCGCCCCGCCTCCGCCGCAGGCTCCGCCCTGTCCCCTCCGGGCTTGCTCAGCCCCTGGCCAGGAGCGCCCTCTGGCGTCTGCGCATGCTCACTGCTCCCGACTGCAAAGTCCTCCAAAGGGACCTTCTAGGCTGCGTGCCGGTCGCCCCCGCTCGGGTCCGCCAGCCCGCAGCGTCTCGTTGGTGCTGCCGGTGACCTCCGACCCCGCGGCCGCGGGGCGGGGCGGGGCGGGGAGGCCTTAGCTCCGGGCGGGCGGCGGCTGCTGCAGCGGGACCCGGGAGCGGGGCCCGGCGCCGCCCGGGCCGCGGGGCGATGTGAGTCGGGGCGCGGCGGGGCGGGGACGAGGCGGCTTCACCGAGGCCGCGCCGCGCCGCGCCGCGCCGCGCCGCAGTCTCCACTCCCTCCCTAGGAAGCCCCGGGCGGGCGGGCAGGCGGCGGAGCACCGGGGCTGGGGGCGGGGATCCGGGGACAGCGCGCACCCAGACCTCCTCATTCCTTACGGGCATGTAGAAATTCCCCTTGACAGTCCTGTAGCCTGTCCTGCAGCCTCTGGCTCCCCCAACCCACCTCTACCCTCTCCGCCCTGGACACATCATCGCATCTCCTGGAGCCCTCAGAACCCCCTCATTCACTCAACAAATCTCCTGCTATGCCCACGGACCCACCATTTCTCTTGGATGCCCCCAAATGCTTCCACTGCCCGGAAATTCCTAGGATCCCTCATATCCCCATTCTCCTTGCACTATCCAAAATGCCCACATCCAAAATTCTTGCTCATGTTTCCCCAAACGTCCTCATACGTTTTCAGCCCCCACACCCCCCTCTCACTCCTGCCCCTGATCCATACCTATCCCAGACCAGAGGCCTCTCCCCATTTCCACTCAATGCAGTCCCTCCTCAGTGGGCTATCTGATACATCCTGATATCTTAAGGAGAAGAGATGGTGATAGGGAAATTCAGCCCCTCCCCCATCTTGCACCCTAGAGTTCTTCGTTTCAGTGCCCGCGCCGTGCCCCCGTCGGTGGCTCAAGCCCCAGTATTTTCCCAGCAACCTATCTTTAGTCTGTGCACACCTCCCTGAGCCTGCTTCTTCCTTCCAGAAAATAAGCCAGACCAAGGGGATGGGGTCCTTTTACCTGGAAGTTGTCCAAGGATGCAGGGTGCAAGGGGCCCTGGGAAGTGTTTCTCCAGAGCAGGAATGTGGGATGTCCAGGGTCTGCAGAGTCCTGGCTTGTTGACTTGTCTACCTTGGGCTCAGATATCCTGAAATTTTGGCTTACTGTTAACATTTATGTTAAAATTAGGCCTTTCAGAGCTTGGGGAGCAGAAAATCTATCAAGCTTCCAAATGCGAAATTGAAGCAGCCTGTCTTGGAAGATGAACATGTCAATTTTAGTGAAGTTTGTCTTACGTTTTTACCTCTGCAAGTTATTTAAGCTAGAAGCTCCCCAGTTTATAGATGGTTCCCCCAAAAACTAAGGCCTTAGGTGGGAGTTGGGGGGGGCGTTGACTTAAGTCTCCCAGATACTTAGTAGCAACAAAACTGACCGATATATTGGTTTCCTGAGTCTTAAACCAGTGCTGTCTCTACTATATCACAGTGTCCTTTTGAGAAAGCTCTTTGTAGAGTTAAAGTTCTCTGCAAAGGTAAGGTGATGGTTTTGGTGTTTGTTGTAACAGGACTCAGAGGGAGATCTAAAGTGACTTAAAAGGTCTTTGGTCGTCTTAGACTTCAAACTTATTGATGTTCTTGGTGTCTGTCCCTCTCAGGGCCCGTGGGGCTTGGGATTTGTGCTCCCTTTGCCCTTGATTTTACTTTCTTCATTGGTGTTTTTGTCCCATTAGGGCTGGAACAGATACCCAGGTGGGATGGACTGTTAGGTCAGTTTTCATTAACAGTTGGGGGTGAAGATAGAAGGTTTTGTTAATCAGTGTCTCTGTTTCCTATGCTAGGTGAGCCCCAGGTGTATCCCAGAGGGATCCGGGTGACTTCTCTGCAGACTGTTTGCCATGACAGCCCACCAAGGACGGGGGGAATAAAGTGGGAACCCTTCCCCATGCCCCTCCCACGGTCAGCTCCCCGATGGCCTGGGTGAGGTAAGAGCTGTGTATAGGGGTCAGTTTTATGGCGTTTCCCAAGTTGGGAGGAACAGAGGGTACAGGTCACCTGGTTGTTCAAAGCTTTACCATTCAGCAGGAGTTCTAGAAGGATAGCCAATCCTACAGACTTATTTCTTGTGACAAGTTGCAACCCCTTAAAACTTCTGCTTGGTATTGGTCCATGCATTTCTTGTTCCCTTAGGTCATTCAAGCTTGGGTGGTGTCCTCTTCATTCTAGGCACAGTCCTGACTATTGTGACATATAATCCAAGTACTGGAATCCTGGAGGGGAAGAGCCAAATAGTAAGGCCTCTGGTCTCCCCTTCAGAAAAAGGGAAGGAAACCCAGCATTTTTTTTAAATGAAGAAATATCCACTTGAGGTTATTAAAACTGCACTGTTTTAAATGTTCAGTCTTCTGAATATATCTTTATGATCACAATGTAACAACTCATTTGAAGAGGACATCAGAAAGATAAATTTGCACTGGATGTTGGGATGGTAGTAAGGGAGAAGAGAGAACTTGGATGAAGTGGAATGGATGAGGTAAAAAGGGAGGAAAAAAGAGACAGGCACAGGCCAAAGTGTCTGAGACCCCCAAGTGACAATTTCTTTGCTGAATCCAAATAAGGGGCTCGGGCTGGCACCCACCTCCATCTGCTGCAGATCACTTCTCCTGGACCCCTACTTTTCTTCCTGCCTGTGTCCCTGCCTTCCTTGTCATTACATGGGTCAGAATCCTACATACTTCTCAAGGTCCAGATCAAATGTTACCTCTGAGAAGCTCTCTCCAGCCCCCCATCGGCATTCATCCTTAACACATTGTAACTTGAATTAACGTTTATCCAATGTGTGTCTGGCCCTGGATTGAGAATGTGAAGTCTTTGAGGGGGGGTCTGTATCACACAGTCTCTTGGACAGAGTAGGTGATCACAATGACGTGCTTCTGCCCAAGTTCCCCAGAGCAGGGTTTTTTGAAGCTGAAGTTGGTGACCTGCATATCCTGTATGTTTTTCCTAGGGCAGGCTGGCTGCTCTGACACCATGGGGAGCTGCTGCAGCTGCCTGAACAGAGACAGCGTTCCAGACAACCACCCCACCAAGTTCAAGGTACCCAGAGCCCTCTCCTCTCCTGTGTTCCCAACATGGCCTCTTGGGCTCAGACACAATTTAATGGAGTTGCCTCAGCTTCTCTAACAGCAAATCAAATGCCAGGCTGAGGTTGTGGGCTTATGGAGACTTCTTGAGCTCACACCCTCTCAAGTAGCCTGAGGAAAAGAGGCCCAGACCACTGCTGTTTTCATGGCTCTTGATACTACCAAGAATGAAGAAATGCCATAATGGTGCTTTTGGAACTGTTGTCAGTGTATTTTTATAACTTTATATATCCCCCCCCCTTTTTTTTTTAGAGAAAACAAAATTCTGTATTTGTGAGTTAATATACGTAAAGTATTTAAAATAGTGCTTAGTGGCCAGGCACGGTGGCTCACACCTGTAATACCAGCACTTTTGGAGGCCAAGGCAGGCGGATCACCTGAGGTCAGGAGCTCGAGACCAGCCTGGCCAACATGGCGAAACCCCGTCTCTACTAAAAATACAAAAATTAGCCAGGTATGGTGGCACACGCCTGTAATCCCAGCTACTTGGGAGGCTGAGGCAGGAGAATCACTTGAACCCGGGAGGTGGAGGTTGCAGTGGGCTGAGATTGCACCGCTGCACTTCAGCCTGGGTGACAGAGCGAGATGCCATCTCAAAAAATAAATAAATAAATAAATTAAATAGTGCTTAGCACACAGTAAGCACAACATCAGTGTTTGCTGTTTGCTGTGGGAAGCTGAGGGCAGACCCAAGTCGACCTGTGCTCTCCCCTGCCCACCTCTCTGTAGAGGGAGCCTCCTCCTTCCTCATTCTGGGGCATGTTGAAGCACATGTTTCTCCTGCCCACCAGAAGAGGGAGCCCTCAGTAAGGGCACACAGTTGGGGAGGTGGTAGAGGAGATGTGCATTGGTTCTGCCTTGGGCTTGACTTTCCTAGGTCAGGGTGTCCCAGTCTCAAGATTTTGAATTTACAATTGAACCCCTTCCCCATTAACATCTGGCCCTTGGATACTAAGGCATGGGCTGTCTAGGGTCGTCTAACATTTGTTATCTAACAAACCGACCTTGGAAGTCAGCTACCTACCTCTTCCCTCACTGTCCATATGACAAAACTCAGCACTAGAGAAGTAGGATTTGCCCAGAGAACTGCCGTGGGTCCATGGCACTGCTTCATGTAGTTATGTGGCATTCAGTAGAGTCTGTGATAGTCGGATGTGACCTTTGGTTCCCCACCTCTTGTCCTGCATCAGATTGTCTCCCAGTGGCTCAGGGACCCATGCAAACACTTGTTGGACTCACTCATTGACCCTTCTGTCTTCTCCCCTCCAGGTGACAAATGTGGATGATGAGGGGGTGGAGCTGGGCTCTGGGGTGATGGAGCTGACGCAGAGTGAGCTGGTGCTGCACCTGCATCGGCGTGAGGCCGTCCGCTGGCCTTATCTCTGCTTGCGGCGCTATGGCTACGACTCCAACCTCTTCTCCTTTGAGAGTGGCCGCCGATGTCAGACAGGCCAGGGTGAGTACCAGGCCCTGCTCCACCCTGGGATAGGGGCTTATGCAGTACTCCAGGGTTCCTAATGTATAGGTTAGCCCTCAAGAGGTTAGTGTTATCCCCATCACCTGTGGGCAGTAGAGTGTGATGTATTCTCCCTGCAGTCAGAGGTCAGGGGTGGTAGGTTATTCCATAAGGTCAAGGCTAGAGCCAGCCACAGCTCTCTGAAGAAGTGGCATGGTCTGAGTTTATCTCTTAGGATCCAGACTTAAGCTGTGCAAAAGGAATCCTGCATGGGATTGTGTTCAGTGCAGTTTGGGATTATGGCTGTGCAGAGGTGGAATGAACAAGCTTCTCTGATGAGGCTGCCAACAAAATAGTGAGCCTCCGAGGTCATGTTTGCTGGAGGAGACTTCCCTCCATGCATCTTACCTTTGGAATTCATGAGGCAGAGGCAGGGGCGCTGGGTGAGCAGGCAGAGCAGGCAGAGGCATCCTTGCTCCTAGTGATGTTTGATCTACACTTGGGTTCCCAGAGGGGCTACCCCTGGCCCCAACACGGGGTTCTCTACAACTCCAGTCTTTCCCAGTCTTTTCTACTTCTCGTCATATTTTGCCAGAGTAGTTATTTTTCTTCCCTGTTTCCTCCCCATCCTATTTGTGCAAACCATAGTTGTCCCATTCCCCAGGCTAATTGTGTCTTAGTTGTGGGTATATGCACAGGCACACCCCACGTAGCCTCCCCTAGGTCCCAGGTCCCCCTGTTACAGAGGAGTCCATGCTGGCCCAGTACCCCAAGGGCATCTTTGAGTCCCCTGATTGACAGACACTCAGCCCAGTCCTGCTGTTCCTGGGACCTTGAGTTGCAGTGTTGCAATTTGAAGGGCTGTGAGGCTGGCTGCATTGAGGAGCCTTGTGATTGCCTTGCCATGTTTGCCTTTAGCTAGTCTGCCCATGATTTCTTCCTTCCCGTGCCAGAGTTTAATCTATGAGGTTAGGGACCTATATACAGTAGGCATTTGCTTTCTGGCCACACACTGGGCTAATAAGTGAAGAAGCAGGGAACAGAGTAGACCCTCTTGTCATCAGCGATCTGAGGGCTGGTGCTCTGGATGGAGTTTTTTTTCCTAGGAAGCAGGGGGTGTTAGGCAGAGGAAGATGGGGGAAGCATGTGAGGTAGAGTGTTCGCTCACCTGGCTGGGCTCAGTGGCTCACACCTGTAATCCCAGAACTTTGGGAGGCTGAGGTGGGCGGATCACGAGGTCAGGAGATCGAGACCATCCTGGCTAACACGGTGAAACCCTGTCTCTACTAAAAATACAAAAAACTAGCTGGGCATGGTAGCGGGCACCTGTAGTCCCAGCTACTTGGGAGGCTGAGGCAGGAGAATGGCGTGAACCCGGGAGGCGGAGCTTGCAGTGAGCTGAGATCGCACCACTGCACTCCAGCCTGGGCAACAGGGTGAGACTCCGTCTCCGAAAAAATAAAAGAAGAATGTTCACTCATCTAATACTATCCTTTCCACCTTGGCTTTTGGTTTTGTTTTTTTTCTTTTCTTTTTTCTTTTTTTTTGAGACAGAGTCTCGCTCTGTCACCCAGGCTGAAGTGCAGTGGCACAATCTCGGCTCACTGCACCCTCCACCTCCGAGGTTCAAGCAATTCTCCTGCCTCAGCCTCCTGAGTAGTTGGGATTACAGGTGCTCACCACCACGCCTGGCTAATTTTTTGTATTTTTAGTAGAGACAGGGTTTCACCATGTTGGCCAGGCTGGTCTTGAACTCCTGACTTCAGGTGATCCACCCTCCTCGGCCTCCCAAAGTGCTGGGATTACAGGCGTGAGCCATCATGCCCGGCCTCCACTTTGGTTTTGATTCTCTTCTTGTGACCCCTGAACACACACATCCTTATGAAAATGATTTCGCTTCAGAGCAATATAGCTGGAGTGTTCAATGTGGTGTGGGCGTGCTGGGGCAGGGTACCTTGGACCCAGCCTTTCTAGTAGCTCTTGGATTCTAGAGCAGACCTAGAAAGAATGCTCAGGGCCAGGCGTGGTGGCTCACGCCTGTAATCCCAGCACTTTGGGAGGCCGCAGCAGGCCGATTACCTGAGGTCAGGAGTTTGAGACCAGCCTGACCAACATGGTGAAACCCCGTCTCAACTAAAAATACAAAAAATTAGCCAGGTGTAATGGCGGGCGCCTGTAATCCCAGCTACTTGGGAGGCTGAGGCAGGAGAATTGCTTGAACCTGGGAGGCAGAGGTTGCAGTGAGCTGAGATCGCACCATTGCACTCCAGCCTGGGCAACAAGAGCAAAACTCCATCTCAAAAAAGAAAAGAAAAAGAATGCTCAAGATGAGGAGAGGCTCTCCTGCCCCTACAGGCCTGGGACTGGAGTTGAGGGACATTTCCTGCACATTGTGCATCTGTTGAGCTCCTCTGGTCCTTCCCTATTGCCTAGGGTCATTTCTTCCTCTCCTTCTCCAGGAATATTTGCATTTAAGTGTTCCCGGGCTGAGGAAATCTTCAACCTCCTTCAGGATCTGATGCAGTGCAACAGCATCAATGTGATGGAAGAGCCTGTCATCATCACCCGCAATAGCCACCCCGCTGAGCTTGACCTCCCTCGAGCCCCCCAGCCACCCAATGGTGAGGAGACCCCAGTGTACACACACACACACACACACACACACACACACACGCCCAGGAAGCACAAATCTGAGGGACTAGTTAAGCTGGCTGGTTGGGAGAAGGCTGGGTGAGCCAACCTTCCAGGACAGTTGTCCATGATCAGAACCATTCTTGAGGATCGGTAAGTCCTGGGCTGGGCTAGGTGACTCAAACTGAGGTTGTTGAGTTCTGGGCCTTGTATTGACTGATGGTTGGGGAGCAGACAGGAAGACTTTGGGTTTCCGTAGAATTGGCAGTCTGGAGTTTTTTTGCTTTCTTCCTCTGTCTATTGGGTCATCCCCATATACCTTCCTTGCTGCTGGTGCAGGCATCTCTGGCCATGACCGTATTCTGGAGAGGGTCCTACAATTTCTGCTTATTCAGTCATTGAATTCAGATCAGGTACCTGTTTGGTATTCAGCGCTCCTTGGACTGGCCCATGGGGGACAGGAGAAATAGAAGCGCAGTCCCTTTTTTTGAGGAGCTTCCCTGGACCTTACTGGCAGACCTAGAATGAAGCAAAGGGACGGTCCAGTGACAGCAAGATGTGCTTTATGCGTTTCGGGTGAGGCTATAATGGAGACAGTGGTGAGGTGCTTCAAGCTGAGCTTGAGGGAAAGGGCAGGGTTTGAAGAGCAGAGGAAAGATGAAGGATAATGGGGGGCTGGTGGCTCAGTGGGGTTTAACCACTGTGACGCCCTGAGAACATCTGTCCTCCATTAGAGGAGTCCCAGGATGCCACACACACAGCTGCAAGTGGTTGTCAGGTGGCTTAAGTTCCCCTCTCCTGGGCTTGTCTCCCGTGTGCTCAGCTCTAGGCTACACTGTCTCCAGCTTTTCCAATGGCTGCCCTGGAGAGGGCCCACGATTCTCAGCTCCCCGGCGGCTCTCGACAAGCAGCCTGCGGCACCCCTCGCTTGGGGAAGAGTCCACCCATGCCCTCATTGCTCCTGATGAGCAGGTGAGCACGCAGCCGGCCAGCCCCTGCCCTGTTGGTCTGGGTGGGGACGAGGGATAGGAAATAAGGCCACCTCCTCCCAGTAAGGATCACGGGAAGGGGAAGAACATTGTAACGGTCCCTTCCTGTCCCCAAAAGGGAGCAGCTTCCTCAGAAGGGTTGGAGGACAAGGAAGAAGAAACTCCAGGTCTTTTTCTGTGTGCTTCTTTTCTCTCATCCTGTCCCTTCTGTTCTCTTTTCTCCCTGCCCTGGGACACTCCTGCCTCACTTGGACTCTTTCCCCAGTCCCACACCTATGTCAACACACCGGCCAGTGAAGATGACCACCGCAGGGGCCGCCACTGCCTGCAGCCCCTGCCTGAGGGTCAGGCACCCTTCCTCCCGCAGGCCCGGGGACCTGACCAACGGGACCCACAGGTGTTCTTGCAGCCAGGCCAGGTGAAGTTTGTGTTGGGCCCGACCCCTGCTCGGCGGCACATGGTGAAGTGCCAGGGCCTCTGTCCCAGCCTGCATGACCCCCCACACCACAATAATAACAATGAGGCCCCTTCTGAGTGTCCAGCCCAGCCCAAGTGCACCTACGAGAACGTCACCGGGGGGCTGTGGCGAGGGGCTGGCTGGAGACTGAGCCCAGAGGAGCCGGGCTGGAATGGCCTTGCCCACCGCCGGGCCGCCCTGCTGCACTATGAGAACCTGCCCCCACTGCCCCCTGTGTGGGAAAGCCAAGCCCAGCAGCTGGGAGGGGAGGCTGGGGATGATGGGGACTCGAGGGATGGGCTCACACCCTCTTCCAATGGCTTCCCTGATGGTGAGGAGGACGAG
Source organism: Homo sapiens (assembly GCF_000001405.40). Taxonomy (NCBI): domain Eukaryota; kingdom Metazoa; phylum Chordata; class Mammalia; order Primates; family Hominidae; genus Homo; species Homo sapiens. The sequence continues at coordinate 41,770,996 of NC_000006.12, read as the reverse complement.
ACCCCACTGCAGAAGCCCACCAGCACCCGGGCCGCCATCCGCAGCCACGGCAGCTTTCCTGTGCCACTGACCCGCCGCCGCGGCTCCCCAAGGGTCTTCAACTTTGATTTCCGCCGGCCGGGGCCCGAGCCCCCAAGGCAGCTTAACTACATCCAGGTGGAGCTAAAGGGCTGGGGTGGAGACCGCCCTAAGGGGCCCCAGAACCCCTCGAGCCCCCAAGCCCCCATGCCCACCACCCACCCTGCCCGAAGCTCAGACTCCTACGCCGTGATTGACCTCAAAAAGACCGTGGCCATGTCCAACCTGCAGAGAGCTCTGCCCCGAGACGATGGCACCGCCAGGAAAACCCGGCACAACAGCACCGACCTGCCTCTGTAGGGACTTCCCGGTCCTCACCACCCTCTGCCCCACCATGATCCAGCCTCTGCCTCACACTCCTGTCCTCTGAACCCACCCTCCCCAGGGTTCAGGGTTGCTTTGCAGAAGGCATGGAGGTGGGACCAGATGCTTCCCTGTGCTGGCTGGAGTCCCCAGAGATATCAGCCACCGAGTCTCCTGGTCTGTCTCCAGGCTGGGGAGAGAAGGGTGACCAGGCGAGGAGGGAGCCGAGACGTCAACTGTGAAGGGTTCCTGTGATTGCGTTTAGCGCCCTCCCGTTCTGTCCATTTGTCTTGTCTGCCGACTGTCCGTGTGTGTTTTTTTTGGTTGGAATTTTGAAACATTTTGTACCTGTTGATTTTATTTATCAGTTTATTTTTCTATTTATTGTTTTAAATGTAATTTAACATATTTATTATTAATATAATTATTTTTAAATTCTGGCCCAGTGGATATCATCTTCTTAGGGAATCTTTTCTGGTGTGGTCCTGGGTTGGACACAGGGCAGGCCTAATCGAGGTAAGGGCTTCACTCTGGGGAATTTGGGTCAGTTATGGTTTTTGTGACAAGTCCATGATTTTTTTTTTTTTTGAGACAGAGTTTCGCTCTTGTGGCCCAGGCTGGAGTGCAGTGGCGTGATTTCAGCTCACTGCAATCTCCACCTCCCGGGCTCAAGCAGTTCTCCCGCCTCAGCCTCCCAAGTAGCTAGAGTTACAGGTGCCTGCCACCGTGCCCAGCTAATTTTTGTATTTTTAGTAGAGATGGGGCTTCTCCATGTTGGCCAGCCTGGTCTCAAACTCCTGACCTCAGGTGATCCACCCACCTCAGCCTCCCAAAGTGCTGGGATTACAGGCGTGAGCCACCGCGCCCGGCCAGTCATTTATTTTTCTCCTCCAAGAAGCCCTGGTCATGAACCTACAGTTGCCAGGGATGGATGCTCTGTTGAAGGAAAGGGGTGGGATGGCTGGAGTCCTAGAAGCCAAAAGGGGAGCCTGTGAGGACTGCCCTAATGAGGTAGAGCCCAGCCCTCTGAGGCTGGTAACAGGTGAGGAGTGCAGCGGAGCGGGCACAGCTACAGAAGAGACACCTTCGCCTTCTTGGGGAGCCCTCACTGACGCCCCTGCCAATAGGCAGGCCCCAAAGGGCACTGCTGTCCTTTACCACCTTGGCCCAGAGATGGATCCTGGATCCTCCTTAGCTGCCCCCAGCATGGCTGAGTCAAGACCAAACCTTTAAACAGGACTTTACTAAAATCCTAGGATTATAGCAAAATGAAAAAATACAGTGTAATGTGTAACTAGATAATCTGGCTTGCTAAGTGTCTTTCCTAGAGAACGTCCCTTCAGGAATGGACTGTTAGGATGCCTCTACCCTGCCACAAGGCTGGGCGCTAACAGAGCCGCCACATTGGAGCACCTGCCTGGAAGCACAGGGTCCAGCGGGGCTGTGCTGCACACACAACCTAGTGCTGATCTGTTCCAGGAGCTCCTTTCTCTGTCATGAGGCTGCCTCTCTCCTCCTCCTCCTCCTCTTGCTGGCTTCCTTTCCTCCAAGACTCCATTTCTGTCTGAAACCCCAGTGCGGTTCATCTAAAGGAAATGCTGCTTTTGTGATAAGCCACTCAGGGCCCAGGTGAAGAATGAGAGTTGTGTTTGTCCAACTTGGGGAAAAGCCTTGTCACTGTTTGTGCTCCAGCTCCCTGTCCTGTGGAGCAAGCAGACCTGTCCTCTTCGTCACCAAGGAAACAAGCCCAGGCGAGACACCCCACCCAGTTCCCTCCCCCTCCTACTGTCCAGGACACTGCTGCCTGGGCCTCATTTCCTGGATCCTACCTCCTCTGAGTGGGGGTTGGACTGGAAGCTTTCAGACCCCCCGACCTCAGGTGTCACTTTCTGTCAGTGAAATGGGCAGTGACGACTGGCCACAACAGGATGTGAAAAGGCCCTTCGAGTGGGGCCCAGCAGAGCTCAAGAGGGCAGCTGCCACAACCCCAGAGCTGGCACCAAACCCTTCTCCCCCTTATATCCTTTTGATCTCTGGACCAGAGGGGTCACCTGCTGCAGGCTGGATTCATTGCAGTTTTCCACACTGTAGTAGGGAAATGCTGTCTTCTCTCTGCAGCCTTACCAAGCAGCTCAATTCTGTTTGGATGTCCACATACACTACCCCTGCTACTACTCATGACCTCCACAGTTGGGGTGGTGGGTGTCTCCAAACAGGAGGGTGGATATGTGGGGGCAGGTATGGCTATGCCGGGACCAGGCTTAGGGGTCCTGGCCGTGTTTGTGACTCATGGGTCAGTGCAGGCTCCGCCTTATCGATGGACAGATACTATGATGGGGTAGCCAGAGGCTGGCTTAAGAGACCTGTCCTGACTGGGTCATTATCTCTGCTACCTTAAGCATTTGGTTACCCAATTGGGCTCGGCTTTTGTACCTGGAAGACATGGAGCTGGTATGAGAAGTAGCCAATGAAACGATGAACATGGCCCCACTTTGGAAGTAGACAAGGCTCCTGCAAGCTGTGTTAACAACTCAGCTGTTCCCTTAGAAGTCACAACTCTTAAGTCCCCCTAGGCTGTCGCTTTGCTGAACAAATCAAGAAGGGGCAGTTATTCTCATTCTCTGGGTCGCCAGATCCTGGCCTGACCCCTGGGGTCTCCCTAGAGCAAGTCATAATTGCTTCGATGATCATTTTGTGGGGCTTGGGGGTGTCGAAGGAGTCGACTTCCAGCTCAGTGTGGCCCCCAACCTTTCCTGTCCCCTCCCCTGGTCACTGCCTCTGGCCCATGAGGTCTACTACAGGAATTTTCCTCTCGAGGGAAGGACAGGGTGTGAGTGGACAGCTTTCCTGGCGGGAAGGGGTGGGTGGGAGCGATGCCCAGGAGGGTAACTGCCGCCCCTGTGTTTGAGCCCGCCCTGCCGTCAGGCTGTGGTGCACAGATGGAATCAGTTTCCATCACCATCATCATCCAAAGATCATCACCAGCATCAGTGCATGTTTGCCGAGTGCTGGGTTCTCTTCTTTAGAAACAGGCCCTACCCACCCCTGGGCTGCCCTCAGGAAAGGACAGGATCCAGCATCCTGTCTGGGAGTGACATTTCAGGTCAGACCAGGAGGGGCCCTTCCCAAGGTCCCCCCGGGTAATAATAGCACTTTACAAGGGTATAAACACAGTCAGCTTTCCACAGGGCCTTGTCGAATATTTATCAGGCCTCACTGGCGGGATGTTATCATCACTGTACAGAGGAGGAAACAGGCCAAGAGGTGACGTAACTTGCCTCAGGCCATGAAGTTAATTGGTGGCTTGGGCTAGGGCTGGATGCCTGTCGTGTGTCTCCTCCACCCCCTGCTCCCTGCCTGGCCTGAAGGAGCCTCATTCTCTCAGGTGGGCTGCAGGGAGACTGTGTTGGGTGCTTCTCCCTGGATTGAGTCCCAGCAGGGGATCACATTCCAGTGCTCCCACTCAGGAATCCTGAAATCCAAGCCAAGGCCTTTCCCAGTTAACTATAGGGTGAACCTGCTCTCCCCTGGGGCCTGCCCTATGCCCACCTACCAACTCTGCCCCTCTACTCTCATTTCCTCAGAAATGGCTCCTGGTTGTGTCGACGGGAGAGGCCAGAGCAGGTGTGCAAGAAGAGGCTTGACTTCACTCGCCCCTGCCTGCCTCTCCAGAGAGCAAATCAGCCTCATGGGAGGCCCTCAGAGCTTAGGCTTCCTGAGCTCTGGGGCGCTCTCTGACCAATATCTTCAAGGGGTGTCCTACTCACAGGTGGGGGGTCTTGTAATGAGGCACCCGTGGGCTTTCAGAAAGGTATAGGGAGGGCGGAGGCAAGGGTGGGGAGGGCCTGTGTGAGCCCTTCAGGGCTCTGTATAGTTCACAGGGTCCAAGATAGAATCTCAGAGCTTGTAGGGCAGCTAAGCTAGGACCCATCCAGGGATTTCTGCAACAGGAGTCCTGAAGATACTTACATTTCCAGGACAGGGAGCTCACTACCTAACAAGCCCTCCCTTGACTCAAGTATTATGAAGTCCCTATAATTCTTCCCACTGGGTCCTAATTCTGCTCCTGGATCACAGCATGGCTAAGTCTAGTCTCTCTGCCAGGGTGCTGAACTTTGAAAGTTGGCATCACCACTTACTAACAACTTGACTCATGCCCCAGTTTCCTCATCTGTCACACAGGGATAATAACAGTTGTTGTGAGGGTCAAACAAGAGAATGTCTACCCAGCATGAAGCATGGCGACTGGCCCATAGTAGGTGCTCAGTAAGTGGCAGATGTTATTTTTACCTGAACGTGGTCTCTTTCTTTCTTTCCTTCTTTCTTTCTCTTTCTTTCTTTCTTTTTTCTTTCCTTTTTTCTTTCTTTCTTTCTTCTTTCCTTTCTTTCTTTCCTTCCTTCCTTCCTTCTTTCTCTCTCTCTTTCTTTCTTTCTTTCTTTCTTTCTTTTCTTCTCTCTCTCTCTCTTTCTTTCTTTCTTTTTTTGAGATGGAGTCTCACTCTGTAGCCCAGGCTGGAGGGCAGTGGCATGATCTCAGCTCACTGCAACCTCCGCCTCCCAAGTTCAAGCGATTTTCCTGCCTCAGCCTCCTGGGTAGCTGGGATTACAGGTGCCCACCACCACACCTGGCTAATTTTTCTATTTTTAGTAGAGATGAGGTTTCACCATGTTGGCCAGGCTGGTCTCAAACTCCTGACCTCAAGTGATCTGCTGTCCTTGGCCTCCCAAAGTGCTGGGATTACAGGCATGAGCCACCACACCCAGCCTTGAACATGGTTCTTTCCAGCATGGCTAGGTGTCTACTGCTTTGTGTTCTAGTTTGACCCAGAACTGAGTACCCAAGTTAGCATAAGTATCATGTCTGAGCTAGCACTTTACTGGCTCTGTTGGCTCTTGGGCCCTTAAAGCTGACCCTGACCTGAAATCACCAGGTCTCCACTTAAACAACTGCAGTATTCCTCACCCCCAACCCCTTCTGTATTGGAGTCCTTGGCTTGTTAACTGTCCGTTCATTCAGGTGACATTTCTTCTAGGTGATTGGAGTCTGTTCTGGAATTTAGAGGTACTAAATTGTCTCTAAGACAAGTGAAGAGTAGAGAGGGGTGGCTGGGGGTGTCTGAGAGAAGTGTCTGGGAGGAGGGTCTCTGCTGGGGGTGGATGGTGAGGCTGGAGTACCTGGAGCTCTCAGCCAAGTGCTTCCGGGAACTTGGTTCTGTGAGCCCCCCTGACTAAAAGGTCTTCTCGCCACTTGTTTTTTGTTTGTTTGTGTATTTGTTTGTTTGAGATGATCTCGCTGTGTCGCCCAGGCTGGAGTGCAATGGCATGATACCGGCTCACTGCAACCTCCGCCTCCTGGGTTCAAGTGATTCTCCTGCTTCAGCTGGGATTATAGGCACCCACCACCACGCCCAGCTAATTTTTGTATTTTTAGTAGAGACAGGGTTTCACCATGTTGACCAGGCTGGTCTTGAACTGACCTTAGGTGATCCACCTGCCTTGGCCTCCCAAAGTGCTGGGATTAAAAGTGTGAGCCACCATGCCCGGCCTCGCCACTTGTCTTGCTTCACCAGGTGAGTCACTCTCTGGGTCTCTCTGGGCTCCCGTTTCTCCAGGGATGGTCATTCCTTGCAGAGTTGCCTGTGGAGAGGAGTTGGATGAGTGACACAGGCAAGTGAGAGCATCACCTGTGCTCCAGGTGCAGGTTGTCATTAGGCTCACTTTTTTTTTTTTTTTTTTTTTTTTTTTTGAGATGGAGTCTCGCTCTGTCGCCCAGGCTGGAGTGCAGTGGTGTGACCTCGGCTCCGTCTCCCAGGCTCAAGCAATTCTCCTGCCTCAGCCTCCTGGGTAGATGGGATTACAGGCTCCCACCACCACGCCTGGCTAATTTTTGTATTTTTAATAGAGACAGGGTTTCACCATATTGGCCAGGCTGGTCTGGAACTCCTGACCTTGTGATCCACCCGCCTCGGCCTCCCAAAGTTCTGGGATCACAGGCATGAGCCACCTCACCCTGGCCATTAGGCTCATTTTTAAGGGATCATTAGTATAATGACTGAGTTAATGGGTGGGGGCAGGGAACCATTAGCCCTGCTGATGAAGGAGGGTATCTACAGCTGTCTCCTTCTCCCTGCACTTTACCCCCATAGCTGGAGAGGCATGATCCCTTGGGGGACCCTCCTTGTTGCCTCCCTCTACCTGCCCCTCTTCAGCCTGGCCTGGTTGCCCTCTGGGTAATAACGTCCCAGAAAAAGTGTGTGAGGTGACAAGATGGAGAACTGGGGGCTCTGGCTCTCTGGGGGAAAATAAATGTAAATTGTAATTAAATTGTTCATCTTGACTGTGTGCTGCCTGGGTTGGAGAGAGCTGGGCAGCTGCTGGGGAGGAGGTGAGAGCAGCAATGGCAGGCAGGGTGCAGGACATCAGGCTGAGGGGTGTGTGGGGTGGGGAAGAGTTACCAGCGATCCTTTGAGGCTCCTTGTCTCTCTGGTCCAGTGGGCTGGTGCTGGCCATTTTCCCCAGTGAGCTCCTGTCCCTGGGATTAAATAGCCTGAGGAACATATCAATTTTTTATTCATGGGGGGTGGGGGAGGGGAGACACAATGTACAGTCACACAGGTTAGTGACTTTGATTTCCCAAACACTGGACACAATGGGCCCAGGATACAGAATCTGGGTTGTGTGGGCTGAGTCCAGACAAAGCCCTGACTCCTCAAAGCTTGCAGTCTAGTTGGGGGAATGAGGATCACACCAGACAGGACTATGGGACACGTGCCTCTGCCATTTGGTAGCTGTGTGACCTCAGGCAGATCACTCAACCTCTCTGAACCTGTTTCCTCATCTATTAAAGGGAACTAATGACTTACCCCATAATGTTGCTATGAGTTCAGTAGGAAAACACACATAAAGCTTTCAGTGGGTACTTGGCACAGAGCCCAAGCTTAGCTTTGTTATGGTTGTCACAGTAATGAGTGATGTGGAGAAGCTTCCTGAAGGAAGTGGACCACGAGCATGAGGAGGACTTGGGGACCAAGAAGGGAGTGTGGGCTTAGCAATTAGCCTGGTGGGAGGGCAGTTGGGAGGGGAAGGACTGGGCTGTTGGGAGGAGAGAAGCAGATGGGCCATGAGGTGGGAGGGCTGGGTTAAGGGTGGTCAGGGAAAGTGGAGGCGACTGCACTTTCCAGGCTATGGAATGGTGGGCTGTGCGCCTGCATGTGGATTGCATGGGCCAGGCTGTGGATCATGAGGAGGCGTGGCTCAAACTAGGTGTGGACATTCACTCACCACTCATCCAACACATATTTTTGTTTTGTTTAATTTTTTGTTTTTGTTTTTGAGACAGAGTCTCGCTCTGTTGCCCAGTCTGGAGCTCAGTGGCGCGATCTCGGCTCACTGCAACCTCCACCTCCCAGGTTCAAGTGAGTCTCCTGCTTCAGCTGGGATTACAGGCACGCGCCACCACGCCCAGCTAATTTTTGTATTTTTAGTAGAGACAGGGTTTCATCATGTTGGACAGGCTGGTCTTGAACTCCTGACCTCAGGTGATCTGCCCACCTTGGCCTCCCAAAGTGCTGGGATTACAAGCGTGAGCCACCGCACCTGGCATAATTTTTTCTTTTTTTAAAATCTCAATCTGTCTCCTATTCATAACCAACACATACTTATGGAGAGCCTGCTAATGTGCCAGGCACTGTGCTGAGTGCTGGGGACAGAGCAGCAAGGAGGACAAATACAGCCCATGCCCACGTGAACTTACATTCTTCTGATGGTGAGGCAATTAACTGGCAAGTATTCATACGTTAAGTTTAGGGAAGAGATAACTTTAAAGAAAATTTAAAAGGAAGCCAGATGTGGTGACTCCTGCTTGTAATCCCAGTGACTTGGGAGGCCAAGGTGGGAGGATCACATGAAGCCAGCAGTTCGAGACCAGCCTGGGCAACAGAGCGAGACCCCCATCTCTAAAAAAATATATATTTTTTTGAGAAAGGGTCTCGCTCTGTTGCCCAGGCTAGAGAGCAGTGGCAGGATCTCAGCTCACTGCAATCTCTGCTTCCTGGGTTCAAGTGATTCTTCTGCCTCATCCCCAGAGCAGATGGGATTACAGGTGTGCACCACCATGCCAGGCTAATTTTTGTATTTTTTGTAGAGACGGGTTTCGCCATGTTGACCAGGCTGGTCTTGAACTCCTGACCTCAAGTGATCCACCTGCCTCAGCCTCCCAAAGTGCTGAGATTATAGGTATGAGCCACTATGCCCGAAATCTAAAAATGTTTTTTTAAAAAGAGGCTGGGGGCCGGGCGCGGTGGCTCATGCCTTTAATCCTAGCACTTTGGGAGGCTAAGGTGGGTTGATCAGGAGGTCAGGAGATCGAGACCATCCTGGCTAACACGGTGAAACCCCGTCTCTACTAAAAATACAAAAAATTAGCCAGGCTTGGTGGTGGGCACCTGTAGTCCCAGCTACTCGGGAGGCTGAGGCAGGAGAATGGCGTGAACCCGGGAGGCGGAGCTTGCAGCGAGCCAAGATCGTGCCACTGCACTCCAGCATGGGCGAAAGTGCGAGACTCCATCTCAAAAAAAAAAAAAAAAAAAAAAGAGGCTGGGTATGGTGGCTAACGCCTGTAATCCCAACACTTTGGGAGGCTGAAGCAAGAGGATCACTTGAGCTCAGGAGTTCAAAATGTGGCTGGGCAACATAGCAAAACCTCATCTCTACTAAAAATTTAAAAAAATATTAGCTGGGCATAGTGGTATGCTCCTGTGGTTCCAGCTACTCAGGAAACTGAGGCAGGAGGATGGCTTGAGCACAGGAGATTAAGGCTGCAGTGAGCTGTGTTCACACCACTGCACTCCAGCCTAGGCACAGAGGGAAACCCTGTCTCAAAAAATAGAAAGAAAAAAAGAAAAGAAAAATGCACAAGGAGTAATGTGGTTGAGTGTCGGGAATGGGCATGTCAAGGAAGACTTCTCTGGGGAGGTGACATTGAAGCAGAGATTTGAGTGCAAGACAGAGGCTGAATGAACAACTGAGGGAAGGAAATTCCAAGCAGAAGGATGACAAGTGCAAAGGCACGATAGGGAGAATGTGCTGGATGGGTTCAAGGACAAGCAAAAGGGTGAAAGGAGGCCAGTGTAGCTGTCCGAGGGAAGAAATGGAGTGAGTAGGGGATGAGGGCATGAGGAGGATTCATGCCCTCATGAGGACCAGGACCTGGGGGAAGCATGTAGATTTTACTTTAAGATCAATAGGAAGCTATTGGAGGGTTCTGAGCAGATGAGATCCGGCTTAGGTTTTTGTTTGTTTGTTTGTTTTTGAGACAGAGTCTTGCTCTTGTTGCCCAGGCTGGAGTACAGTGGCGCGATCTCGGCTCTCCGCAACCTCCGCCTCCTGGGTTCAAGCGATTCTCCTGCCTCAGCCTCCCAAGTAGCTGGGATTACAGGTGTGCGCCACCATGCCTGGCTAATTTTGTATTTATAGTAGAGACGGGGTTTCTCCACGTTGGTCAGGCTGGTCCTGAATTCCTGACCTCAGGTGATCCGCCTGCCTCCGCCTCTCAAAGTGCTGGGATTACAGGTGTGACCCACCACGCCCAGCCAAATGTTTATCGTATAAGCACCCCAGTACTTGGTAATTTGCTACAGCAGCCCAAACTAGGATAGGAGGCTACTGCTATAATCTAGAGGGAGATGATGGTGGCTTGGAATTGGGTGGTGGCAGTGGAAAAGGGGAGAGGTGGACAGATTTGGGATGTATTCTGAAGGTGGACCCAATAGGGCATTGACAATCGAAATATAAGTAGGATATGGGAAAAGGAAAAAGAGGATTAAGGAGGACTCTGAGGTTTGGGGTCTGACAACTGGAAGAAGAGAAAACTTTTACTAATATGGGAAAGGAATTTGGGGGTAAGAGGGGCAGATTTGAGCTGGAAGCCTGGGGGGACAGTTCCCTTGACACTGTGACCCATCCCTGGAGCCAGAGATTGCAGAGCAGGGTCCTTCAGGCACCGCCAAGCACTCCACCAGCCCCGAACTCCTGAGGGCAAGGCCAGGCCTTGTGGAGGCCCCATCTCACTGCTCCTGTCCCTGTGATTTGGTCTCTGCTGTCTGCTGGACCTGTGATCAAGTGTAACCTGGATGCCAAGCCCCACCACACACCCAGGGCTTTGGGACATGCAGCAGCAGTGCTGTGGGTGGAAGGGCATATTCATGTCCAGAGCAGGTCTGGGGAGTCAGCAGAGAGAGCACAGCAGAAGTGAGACAGACTCCCTGGAGGACAAGCCCCTGGGGCCTCGGTCCTAGCACTAGGCAGCAGTGAAACATTCTCCTACAAAGGGAAAAAGTGGAGATTCTCAGAGATCCTCCTGGAACTTTAGGATCAGAGACTCAGCTCCCTGGAATCTGAGCGGGGCTGGGGGAGGGTCCCCAGACTTGGCAGGAAACAGGCACAGTCAGACACACACCTCCCAGGTAACCTCAGAATCAGCAAAAGGGGATCTTCAGGCAGGAAGTCAATGCAGGTGGCTTTAAGGCTCATCTAAGGCCTCTGGATCCTTTCTCTTCCCCATCACTGTGGGGTGCATGAAGACCCCCTGAGGCTGGGGTTCCCCCTATCTGCTCTAGTTCTCAGTTTTCCACACTGTACAATGGGCACACAGAGCCAGTCCCTCTGGATGTTGGGATGTTGGGAAGAGTTGATGTGCTATACATACCTACCAAGGGGCATCCCTCTGGAGGCTGCTCAGCCCCAGCCCCCGTCATGGGCCCCTGGTGTCCCACACTAGGAGTCCCTGAGCACAGGGAGAGCCGTGGCCAGTGGCACACTGCTGCTCACAGGCACACCTCTCCAGAACCCAAACTAGATTGGCCAGGATCCGAGCTGGCTCCAAGGACCTGGGACTGTAACCGTATCCATATGAGGCTTGACTAGGGGCCACGGGGTGGAAGCGTGAGGTCCAGGCCTAGAGCCTCCTGAGCCCATTATCAGTGTTTGGTTTGGGACTTTTGCATTAGGCTCGGTTCCTGCTCCTTATCCAGGCCCTGGTGATTACGTTCTTTGGCGTTTGATGTGCCGGAACCTGGACACTGGACTCTCCCCTTTCTGCCACCCAATTCTCAACCCCACCCAGAGAGACCTAGTCTGGGACCACATCCAGCTCAGTCCAAACAACCCCTCCTTCATGGCCTCTCTTACCTGCATTGCCTCCTGCTGCCCCTCCAACTCCCACAGGGTACTGGGAGAACAAGGCAAAGGAGCATGGGTTCCTCCTGGCGCCTCTGGAACAGGTCTGGGAGCTCCCTACAAAGAGTCCTATCCAGACCCCCGCCAGCCCACACTCCTCCCCTGCCTGGATCATTCCCCCTGCTTTCTTCAGGGCTGCTCCTGCCTTCCCATTTCCTCCTCAATAAAGGCCCCTCTACCCTGATCTGCTGCTTCCTAAGCTCATGGCTGGGCTATGGTGGGGTCTCTCCCTCCAGCCTTGGTGAAGAGGTAGAAGCTGCCCATGAGCAAGCGGCTGCTCCTTGCCGTCACTGGCTTCCATTTCTCTGAAGGGCTGCTCTGGTACAGAGTCAGGGGGTGATCAGGGGTGGGGACAGGGGTGTCAAGTGTGAGTGTCCTCCAGGCCTGGTCTTTTTTTTCTGAGACTGGGTCTTGCTCTGTCATCTGGGCTGGAGTGCAGTGGCTCAATCATAGCTCACTGCAGCCTCAACCTCCTGGCCTCAAGCAATCCTCCTGCTTCAGCATCCAGAGAAACTTGGACTACGGGCGCATGCCACCATACCTGGCTAACCTGCCGGGTCTTGAAAGACATCAAAGTTCAGGAGTTCCTTCCTTCCCTGGATCCAGGGATTAGATTAGATTTCTCTTGGAGCAGATTAGATTTCCTGCTCTCGTACGTCACGTTCAACCCTGTCTCTCCACTGAATCCATCACTGATGGCAGCAAGAGATGATTAAATAAAGCAATGAGACTGTGGCCCATCTCAGCCCCAGGCCTCATGCTAACCTTGGCTGGAGAGCCTTAACTCGTGGTTGGCTGGACTTAAGAGAAACTGGGCTATGAGTGAAATCAGCTGAACTCCCACCTGCCAGGGTCCTGCTAAAGAAATGCAGGAGCGGCTCTCACTCTCAGACTTCCTGAAGAAACTCCAGCCTGACCCTGCCAACAAACATCTCAACTATGTCAGGCATCAATGAGAGAGGCTTATACACTGCAGTCCCGTAAGATAATAATACTGTATTGTTACTGTATCTTGTCTAAGATTAGACACACAAATGCTTACCGTTGTGTTACAGTTGCCTAAGGTATTCAAGACCATGACATGCTGTGCGGGTCAGGGTAGGAGCAACAGGCCCTACCACACAGCCTAGGTTTCTGTAAGTGCACTCCATCATGTTCACACAAAAATGAAGTCTCCTAATGACCCCTCTTCTCATAATACATTCCTGTCGTTAAGTAATACATGACTGCCTGTACACCTGAGTGGGTCAGGCTCTGCCCACCCACCTGTCACCACCCACCTCCTCACAGGGGTGACTCACTTCTTACTGTGTCACCAAAGCTGAATGAAGCTGAGTCCTGAGAGGACACAGCCCCATCCTCAGGGAGCCCCAGTCTGAGGGGAGACACAGCCCCGTCCTCAGGAAGCCCCAGTCTGTGGGGAGACACAGCCCCATCCTCGGGGAGCCCCAGTCTGAGGGGAGACACAGCCCCATCCTCGGGGAGCCCCAGTCTGAGGGGAGACACAGCCCCATCCTCGGGGAGCCCCAGTCTGAGGGGAGACACAGCCCCGTCCTCGGGGAGCCCCAGTCTGAGGGGAGACACAGCCCCGTCCTCGGGGAGCCCCAGTCTGAGGGGAGACACAGCCCTGTCCTCAGGGAGCCCCAGTCTGAGGGGAGAGATCTTAAAGACTCAAGACAGTGGGGAAGTCATCTGTCAAGGTCAGAGTCATCCCCCGTGGGAGCTGCTGAAGAGTGGGACTAGGGGTCACTGTGGGCCTGGGGCCCAACTCACCTTCAGTGGCTGAATCTCTCTCCCCAAATGTATTACTCTGGGGAGATCAAGCTGGGGACACCCTCAGAGCTATATGATCCTCTTTGGCATGGACTCAGCCAACCTGGCGGTGCTGTCATTCTGTGAATGCCCAGCTGTCGTGCGTGCTCATCTAGAGCCCACAGGAGGGAGGTGCCTAGAGCTTGTGGGAGAAACAGTCCCTCCCTCCTGTGAGCTGTAGCAGTAAGTCCCAGAGTGGCACAAGGCATCATTCTTGTCCTCCTGAAGCTTCCAGTCTCTCCAGAAAGGCCAGGAGCATAGGCGGGGATGAGCAGTGCACATTATAGGCCGTATGTTTCATGATGTCCAATATAGAGTCCAAAAAGAGGCCCCTCGGCCGGGCACGGTGGCTCACGCCTGTAATCCCAGCACTCTGGGAGGCCAAAGCGGGTGTGGATCGCCTGAGGTCAGGAGTTCGAGACCAGCCTGGCCAGCATGGTGAAACCCCCATCTCTACTAAAAATTCAAAAATTAGCTGGGCCTGATGGCTCATGCCTGTAGTCCCAGCCACTCGGGAGGCTAAGGCAGGAGAATCGCTTGAACATGGGAGGTGGAGGTTTCAGAGAGCCGAGATCGCGCCACTGCACTCCAGCCTGGTGACAGAGCAAGACTCCGTCTAAAAAAAAAAAAGAGGCCCCCTTGGAGGGCTGGGGATTCAGGCAGGGGCTACATGGAGGAGGCAAGGTGGGAAGAGCCACCAGAATTGGAAGTGGCAGAGGCAAAATGTGAGGGCACCAGGCAGGAGAAGCCACAGGAGCCAGTGTGGCATTCGGCTCACCATTTAGGAGAGCACAGGGTCCAGGGTGGGGTGTAGGTCACCACTGGGACCAGATGGCGCTGATGTGGGGGTGAGGGGAGGGGAGGGGCAGTGTGGTCCTGATGTGCATGCTTCGCTCCTAACAGCCAGGCACAGGCACTCCCTGGAGGGCCGTCTGTTCTCCCTGTCCGCCGTCTCGGCAGAGGCCTGGGCTTTGATGTTGTGACGATAGGTGGGGGCAGGCAGCCAGCCGGTGCCCGAGTGAGCTGAGAGTACAGCTAGCTTCCTTCCTGCTGAGGGAGGCTCTGACGTCCTGGTTCTCCTGAGGGCCACCCCCAGTGGATTCCCCTCCTCTCAGGGGAGCAGACCCAGGGTTTGGCCATCACCAACCGGGAGTACGGCCTAAGCCAGAGGGAGCTGGCACCACCTTCGAAAGCATTCCCTTTGATGTGATAATAGGGCTGTCCTATCCATCTGTCTCTGTACTTGGGGCCACTGCAGTCATGGACTGCCTTGTTAAGTGGAATCTGATTCCAGGGCCGTGGTCAGTTTCTGTCTCAGCAGGTGAGAGAACCCTGCCCAGGAGCCTCCTCCTCCTCTCCTCCATGTTGATCTATCTCTGAACAGAAGCTTCTGTTCACAGTACCACAGCCAGGGACTGTGTGGGTACAAGAGAAGCAGGAGGGTGACAAAGTGGGCCAGGACTGCTGGGTTGATTCACAGAATGGGTTCCTGAAACTGGGGTCTGATCACCCTGCAGCTGCCTCTTCCCGAGTCTGTGTCTTTGGTTTCATAGCCAACAGGATGAAGTTACTTCGGGAGAAGTCACCTTTGGGAACATGAACAGCCAGCTGTGCACAGGTAAGGCCGACTGGAGCCCTGTGAATGCCAGAGTTATTGGCAGGTCCCTTTGTTTTAACCCATTGTGTCCATAAAATCACAGGTGAATGCACCTGTTATATATGTCTGCTGAAATTTATTACAATAAAAGCGTGGCTGTTCAAAGGAGGTCACTCATCCCTATTTCACCTGAACTCTCCTCTGCATCTTTGCCATTGTGGGCTATGTTATGATGGGTGAATGTGTAGTCTCCCCAGCAGCCCAGGACTCCCTGAGAGCAAGGACTGCCTCCCCTCGTTGCCATTGGGGTTCTCTGAGGACTAGTGTTCTGTCTCCTTTCTTCTCTCCCTTCTCCTCCTCCTCCTTCTTATTCTATCTGTCTGTCTGCCTGTCTATCTATCTATCTATATCTGTCTATCCTCAGAGACCTTTGTTCTGATCTTCTTTTTAAAATGTGATTGGCTGGATGCGGTGGTTCACGCCTGTAATCCCAACACTTTGGGAGGCTGAGGTGGGCGGATCACAAGGTCAGGAGTTCGAGACAAGCCTGGCCAACATAGTGAAACCCCGTCTCTATTAAGAATACAAAAATCAGCAGGGCGCGGTGGTGGGTGCCTGTAATCCCAGCTACTTGGGAGGCTGAGGCAGGAGAATTGCTTGAACCTGGGAGGCAGAGGTTGCAGTGAGCCAAGATCATGCCACTGCACTCCAGCCTGGATGAGAGAGCAAGTCTCCATCTCAGAAAATAAATAAAATAAAATAATATAAAATAAAATAAAATGTGATTTTGGCCGGGCATGGTGGCTCATGCTTGTAATCCCAGCACTTTGGGAGGCGGAGATGGGCAGATCACTTGAGGTCAGGAGTTCAAGACCATCCTGGCCAACATGGTGAAACCCCATCTCTACTAAAAATACAAAAATTAGCTGGGCGTGGTTGTGCGCGCCTGTAGTCCCAGTTACTCGGGAGGCTGAGGCATGAGAATTGTTTGAAGCTGGGAAGCGGAAGTTGCAGTGAGCCCAGATCATGCCACTGCACTCCAGCCTGGGTGAGAGAGCAAGACTCTGTCCTGAAAAAAAAAAAAAAGTGACTTTATAAAGCTTTTGTATTGAAGTATAATGGATATACAGAAAGTAGCATCTATCAAGATTACAGCTCACTGACTTCTCACAAACTGAACATACCCACAAAACCAGTACACAGATCATGAAACAGAATGTTATCAGCGCTCCCCAAAGATCCTTTTTCCTTTTCATGCCCTTCCTCTAGCCCCCCACCCAATTTAAAGAAAAAGACTCATACTCAGCTGATAGTGAGGGCCAGCTTTGTGCTGGCACATTCATAACCAGGGCCTTATTGAATCATTATAGCAAGACTGCAGGGTAGGTATTATTCCACTCTACAGTCAAGGAAACTCAGGCTCAGAAAGGGTAAGTGAATTGTCAGGGTCAAAGCATTCACAGGTGGTGGAGATTGGCCTTTTAAGTCGATTGCATGTCACACATCACATTCTTTAATATGTGCAAAGAAGAGTGAGTGAAGAATTTGAATAGAGTCCACAAGTCATCAGAAATAAATCTATGTGGATATATCCAATATTATTTTCCCAGAAACATCCCTTACTTCTTCTGGGAACTCCTCCTGTCCACACTCTTCAAAATGCTTCCTGAGGGAGCCACCAAATTCTTATATGATCCTACCTGCTGGCCATAGTTGACTGATTCAGGAGAGGACACCTGACCTAGGATGGGCCAATCAGAGAACTTTCCTGGGAATTTTGGGTTAATTATTTCTCTGGAAATGTAAGACTCAGCTGCTGTTGGTCAGTTAGATGGAAAAAGCCAACCTACAGGAGGAAAGAGAGAGAGAAGAGAGGGCAAAGCAAAGAGAAGCAGGAATGAGAAATGGAGAAAGGGTCCTGGTAGTGTTTGCATCTCAGATTCTAGCTGATCCTAAGGCTCCACCCTATCCCTCCCCTTCCTGAAGCTGGGCTGCCCTGCGAAATGTGCCTTCATCCATCCAGTACACCTCCTTTCCACCAACCCAGAAAGGAAGCAGTCATCTGCAAGCAAAGGTATGTTAATCAAAGACCAGAGAAAAAATAGTCAATCTGTCTATTCATGCATTTAGATATACAGAGATCTATTTCCAGATGTTTGAGATACAGACAGATAAAATGGACTCCTCTGTATTCTATCAGGGTAGAATGGGGATAAGGTAACCTATGTTGTGTGATCGTTGTGAGAATTGCAAGATTAAACCCATAGAAAGTACCCTGCCTGGCACATCCTCAGTGATGGAATATTTTGGCAGGAGAGTAAGAGCTCATTTTAAAACCCTGGGTTCAGTTCTTCCTTACAGTAGAGTCCCAATGAATAAATATAGAAGGAATGATGGGAATAGAAAAATCACCAACACCACTGTAATAACTATTGCAGGCATGAACCATGAAGGGATGTTACAATTAGTGGGCAGAATGATGACAAACAGTATACTTGCTTAGCCTCAAAGTATCTCTCCTGAAGATATTTAATCATTACCAATGGAAAAATGGTAATTTTACTGCAGAGAAATCTGGTAGACCTCACCTCACCACGTGATCCAGGTTAAATTAGCAGTAATAAGACACATCAATATCATGTACGTCCTGGTACGGTGCACTGAGAAGGGTACATCTCTGTGGCATACTTCCCAAAATGAATGCCCTTAATCTCATATGAGCACACATGAGAGTAACCTAATTGAGAGGCATTCTACAAAATAACTGATCAATACTCTTTAAAAGTAGCAAGATGAGGCCAGGCACAGTAATTCTGTAATTATGAGTTACAGGCATGTAACTCATGCCTGTAATTCCAGAACTTTGGGAGGATGAAGTGGTAGGATCACTTGAGGCCAGGAGTTTCAGACTAGCCTGGGCAACACAGTGAGACCCCGTCTCTACAAAAAAACTTTAATTTAATTTAATTTTAGAGGTAGGGTCTTGCTCTGTTGCCCAGGATGGTCTTAAACTCCTGGCCTCAAGTGATCCTCCCACCTCAGCCTCCCAAAGTACTGGGATTATAGGCATGAAACAGTATGCCTAGTCAAAAAAAAGTTTTGTTTTTTTTTTCTGAGACAGAGTTTCACTCTTGTTGCCCAGACTGGAGTGTAATGGCACCATCTCGGCTCACTGCAACCTCTGCCTCCCGGGTTCAAGCGATTCTCCTGCCTCAGCCTCCCAAGTAGCTGGGATTACAGGCGTGCATCACCATGCCCAGCTAATTTTTTCTAGTTTTAGTAGAGATGGGGTTTCACCATATTGGCTAGGTTGGTCTCGAGTTCCTGACCTCAGGTGATCCACCTGCCTTGGCCTCCCAAAGTGCTGGGATTACAGGTGAGCACCAACACGCCCAGGCAATTTTTTTTTTTTTTTTTTTTTGAGATGGAGTCTCGCTCTGTTGCCCAGGCTGGAGTGCAGTAGTGCGATCTTGGCTCACTGCAAGCTCCGCTTCCCGGGTTCACGCCATTCTCCTGCCTCAGCCTCCACAGCAGCTGGGACTACAGGCACCCGCCACCACGCCCGGCTAATTTTTTTGTATTTTTAGTAGAGAGGGGATTTCACCATGTTAGCCAGGATGGTCTCGATCTCCTGACCTCGTGATCCGCCCGCCTTGGCATCCCCAAGTGCTGGGATTACAGGTGTGAGCCACTGCACAGGGCCTTTTTTTTTTTTTTTTTAAATGGGCTAGGCATGATGGTTTGTGCCAGCTACTTGGGAGACTAAGATGGGAGGATCACTTGAACCCAGGATCAAGGCTGCAGTGAACCATGATTGCGCCACTGTACTCCAACCTGGAATACAGAGTAAGACCCTGACTCAAAAAGCAATACATAAATAAAAGAAAGAAAGCAAAAAGAAAACCAAATGCCATGTGGAATCCTAGACCAGATCCTGGACCAGAAAGAGGGCAGGAATGGGGAAACGGGGGAAATTTAAATAAGGCCTACAGAATACTTAATAGCATTATATCAGGGTTCATGAATGTATTTGGTTAACAGAAAAAAAAAGTAATCTATCAGGGTTAATTTCCTGGGTTTGGTAATTATATTATGGTTATTTACATAAGATGTTGACATTGGGGATGTTGGATGGAAAGTATGTGGGAACTCTCTGTACTATGTTTATAACTTTAAGTCTAGAATTTTGTCAAAATAAAAATTAAAAAGCATAAATTTTTGAACTTGAGAAAAACAAACCTCAGGTCCAATATGTCCCCAATAGGTTCAGTTGAACTAATGGTATAAGTATAAAAGACACATACAACATTTAAGGGAAAAAACTATAAAACCAAGGCAATAGCTGAAATTGTACCTAAAAATTTATGTAGACAGCCGCCAAAGACTTAAGGTTTTTAGATCACTTGTCTCCTGAGCTAAGGTAACAAACTCAGGGGTTAGAATATACAGGGAAAACTCAGATACGAGGCCCAATCTCACACCCTCTGCAAGAGACCCCACTACCAGTATTCCTCAAAAGGTGGTCCTTTGACCTCTGCTTGAGTGACTCTGAGAATGGAGGGCTCACTATTGTACTCCTTTGGGTGATTTTTAGCTTGTAAGCCCAAGTGCTATTGATAGCAGTGAGAAATTGGAAATAACCCAAATGAATAGAGCCAGGTAATCTTAGCTACCAAGATGATAGAGCACTGCGTGGCCACTGAAAGTGACAAAAATGTGGCCTATCTTAATGCACAGAAATGTGTATATGCAGTAATCCAAAGTGACAAGGGCAAAACAGAAGTTGCCTTTACACAACGATCACAGCTATGTTCAAATCTCAGTGTGCACAATAAGAGCTGGAAGATAATTTAGAAGGCCACAAATAGTTGTAATTTTGAGTTGCCTTGATTTTTTACAAAGTGATCTATGTATAGAATTTTAAATGAAATTTAGTAGGCAGAATTTTATTTATTTATTTATTTATTTATTTTTGAGACTGAGTCTCACTCTGTTGCCCAAGCTGGTGTGCAGTGGCATGATCTCGGCTCACTGCAACCTCTGCCTCCTGCGGGCTCAAGTGATTCTCGTGCCTCAGTCTCCCGAGTAGCTGGGATTGTAGGTGCCCACCGCCATGCCTGGATAATTTTTGTATTTTTAATAGAGACAGGGTTTCACCATATTGGCCAGGCTGGTCTCAAACTCCTGAACTCAAATGATCCGCCCGCCTTGGCCTCCCAAAGCCCTGGGATTACAGGCATGAGCCACCATGCCCAGCCTAGTATGCAGAATTAAAAAAAAAAATCCTCCATTAAGGGACTTGGAGATTGTCATGTCAAGATTCATTGAGCATGTCTTCATGGAACATTAGCTAGGGAAGGATTCTAAGGCCATGTCTGAGCCCTGTGGGAAAGTGACATGATTGATTAGTGATGTCTGCCAATGATGATGAATGAGCAGTGGTAGTGTGCATGCTATGTAGTTGCCACCTCTTCCAAAGACATTCCCATTCCTATTGTCATTTTGTCATTTTTGTAGATCTTCTGAAAGATGAGTTTGTGATACCGAAGGTACCATGTGCAGGAAGAAACCTCTTTCAGTTAAAAGCTATAGGATTTTGGGCAAGTCACTGGGATATAAGATGGTATGAAATAAATACCTGAAGGGAACAAAAGCAAAATTCTCCACAATAACAGTCAGTTTGAGAATAGGTGGGCTCAACAGAGAAGACTTTGTGGCATTCGTGCTGGGTCTTGAAGGATGAGGAGATTTTACAGGTGACTATGCTCGGGAAGGGTATTTCACATGGAGGGCATAGCATGGATAAAGGCATGGAGGTGAGGAAATAAGAGGCCTCCTGGGGAGAAAGGAAAGTGTAGGTTAGTTGTAGAAGATGATTTTGGAAACGTAGGAAATGGAGAATGTCCTGAATGCCAAGATAACAAGTTTGAGTTTTATTTAGTTAGCAGTGGGCTTCTGATGAGTTTTGATGCAAGTGATGCTTAAAGGAAATGAGACTAGAAGGCGATAAGAAAAAGCCTGGGCACCACCACCATGAGGGGACCTGAGGACCCAGAATTTGACAAAATCTCCTGGGGGTGTAGGCTAGCAATCAGAGCCCTGGGATAACGGGGTGTGGGAGCTATAACTAAGCCCCAGCAAGACAATCTCCTGAGCTCTATCTATTGTTCAGAGATTTCCTGAGCTCTGAGCCAGGCACAGGGATGCAAAAGCCATGGGCTCTGCTCTCTGGGAGCTTCTAGTCATGTGGGTTTTTTCAGATATGGGGGGCAGCAGACAGGGCAGACCACAGGCAGGAGAGGACTTGGGATCTGACCGAGCTGTCAGAAGATCAATTGAGTAGGCAGGGGCTGTAGGCCCCAGGGTCTGGCAGCCAAGCTGGGATGCCCTAGCTTGATGCAGTCGATCAGGGACTCTCGGAAGGGATTTGTTGTGACTTCTTGGGTGTTTGCGGAAGGTTAGCCTGGCAGCAGCCAGACTCCTGGAGTCCTACCAGATAAGAAAAGGGTCCCTGAAGCTTTTGTTGGGGAATCTGGAGGCCTCACATGACTTAGGGGATCCCATGAATTCTGCTATATTAAAGGATTTGGCAAGATTCCAATGACCTGGGCCAGGCGCGTGGCTCATGCCTGTAATCCCAACACTTTGGGAGGCTGAGGCTGGCGGATAACGAGGTCAAGAGATTGAGACCATCCTGGCCAATATGGTGAAAACCTGTCTCTACTACAAATATAAGAAAATTAGCTGGGCGTGGTGGCACGCACCTGTAGTTCCAGCTACTTGCGAGGCTGAGGCAGGAGAATTGCTTGAACCCGGGAGGTGGAGGTTGCATTGAGTCAAGATCGCGCCACTGCACTCCAGCCTGGTGACACAGCAAGACTCCATCTCAAAAAAAAAAAAAAGATTCCAATGATCCTATAATTTTATTTACCTGCTTCCCAAATATGGGGACTCCCCTCAACCCAGGGAAGGCACTCCCTATCTTGTCTTTCACCTCATAGTCCAATGTACCTCTGGGGACCACAGGGAGGAATGGAAGCTAAGTTGGCTTGAGACACCATCAGGTAGGGACCTCCCTCTCTGTGCCAGGCCCAGCTGACTTCTAGTCCTCCCTCCCCTCCCCCATTATAAGGCTTGGGGAAGCTCCAGGGCTCTGGCTGGGCAGTGGGTAGCAGTGGCTAGAGTGGAAAATCCCCCACCAGCTGGATGATATCAGTGTTTACAGATCTGGTCCTGGCCTTCTGCCTGGGGCCTGAGGACCTGACAAATCTGCCTGGAGCCCTGAGTGTGGGGTACGAGGTCGCAGAGAGGCTATTGGCACGGGGATTTTTTTCCCACTCACTCCAAAATGGAGAGCTGTCCTGGGCCAGGTGAGCAGGCACTGGGCCAGCTCCAGGTCACCTCAGGCAATGGGAAGCTGGTAGCTGGGAAGTGGGGTGGGAGTTGGGGGAGGTGGGGGAGGGGGTGCCGAGATGAGGGATAGAGGAACTAACAAATCAGACTTGGGGGCTGCACAAGGGCTTGGGAGTGGGTCATGGGAGACATAGGCACTTTAGGAGAACTGAAGACAGAAGCAGGGACGCAGCGGGGCAGAAGAGAGAACGAGGAACAGCAGCAGGGCGCAGGCCTGTCCCTCTTCATATGCCCCTGCTCCAGGCCTCTGATCTAGGTCGGTACAAGAGGCACAACCAGAAGCTGGTGTGGCTTACTCTGTGAGTGTGTCCTGAGCATTTGCTGAATTATGACAAGCATTTCTCCAAATGTCCTGTTTGACCTTGAAAGCCTCTGAAGCTGCTCAAATAGCTGTGACTTCAGCCATTGTCATCCCAGCCCCACCACCAGCACCAGAACTCCCGACACTGCCATCAGCACCACCCTCACCATCACCATCATTGTAACCAGCATCCTAGCTACTAGCTACTGACCTCTTGACCCCCTGACACCCCTATCTCCTCCCCTGAGGGTTTGAGGGTGCTAGGAGTTAGGAGTGGAGTCAAAGCTTCAAGTACATAACCTAGAGACAAGCAGTTCTCAATGATTTTGCCCATCCAGAAGACACTTAGCAGTGCCTGGAGATATATTTGGTTGGCACAATGGGTGGACTGCTCCTGGCATCGAGTCGGTAGATGCCAGGAATGCTGTTAAACATTCTATAGTACACAGGATGGGGCCCACAACAAAGAACTATTTGTTCCAAAATGTCGACAGCACTGAGGTTGCGAAACCCTGGCTATAGATCCTATCTATCCCAGCACTCTGCCTCTACCTTTTTCTGGCCCTCGTCCCTAAATGCACACATTATGCCTCTGGTTTGGGAACAAGACGTAATCTTCACCACTCCATCTTACGGCAACTTTCTCTCTTATCGCTTGCACCTCCTGGCCTCCGATGCTTGAACCAAAAAGTCAATAAGATGAAAGTCTGTTGCGGCCACCCTCAAGAAGGAAAAATACACAGAAACGATACACGAAGCACAGGGTACACCCTGGGTTGAGGTCATGGCTGCCCAGGGCAGGGAGGCAGCGATTAGACTAATCTTGGGCGTATAAAAGAGGAAAGAGTGCCCAGGTCTTCACTCCACTGCGACTGCAGAACTCAGAGCTGCTCTTCCTCTGTGGCCAGTTGGGGACCAGCATCATGAAGTGGATGGTGGTGGTCTTGGTCTGCCTCCAGCTCTTGGAGGCAGCAGTGGTCAAGTGAGTCTGGGATCTGGCTGCTGGTGCAGGGAGCCTGGATGGGAGCCTAAAGCCCTGCAAAGGGCAACTGGGCCAGGGGACACCCTGCCTGTCTCTACTCTGGGACTTCTGCTAGGGGAAGGGAAGTCTCCCTTTGCTGATGTTAGACAGGACACATGGGTGGAAGGAGACACAGCCCCTGCCTTCAGGAAACTTCCTATCAAAGGGAAAAGCACGATCCCTTCCCCCATCTGATGAGGAAAGATGGACCTGAAACAGAGGTGGTAAGGGTGACTACTGCCCAAGCAGCCCTTGAATGGCAGGTGTGGATTCTTCTCACAGAAGGGAGCAATCCTTTTTGGATAAGGGATATCTTATCCACTATCCTCTCTAAAAGTTGCTTTAAGGCTGAAAATTTACTGGCAGATGCCAAAATCATCTAAGCAGAAACACCAGTAAATGTAAATCTCTACACCTGAGGGGTCAGGAGAAAACTCTGGAGTAGATGGCATGGCTCACAGGCCATCAGGAAGGCGCCCAGCCTGCCATCCTGCCTGTTATTTCTCTACCCAAGAGTACTTCCTGAGGCCAAGAGCTGGCTCCTCTCAGAAACTCCTATCAATATGCATATTTGGTAGAGGTGGTTAATTAGTCTTCATAGCTCAGGGTGAAGGGGTTTAGCAGAGAATTTCTGGAGAATGCAGAGTCCCCAGGGAATGGGGATTAAGCAGAATTCTGGAGCCTAGAGCAAGGCCAGAGTGGACCCCTAGAGACTCCCAAGCAATGGCAGCAAGCAAGTCTGGGAAGGAGAGTGCCGAGGGTGTGACTGAGCCCATAGGATGGGACAGAAACGGTGATTTATAAGTTCCAACTCCAGAGCTGATCTGTGCTCCAGACCACCCAGGCCAACTTCCCGTGGTCCTGGTGTCCTGAGAGGAGCAGTGATGGGGCCTAGGCCATGCGATTAGCAGCTGGGACAGAACTAGGACTCTGTGTCCTGAGTCCCAGCTAGTGCTGTTGCCGTTGCTCCATGCTCTGTCACATCCAGCTGGTGCCAGGTGCCTGAGGGCTGCCGTAGAAAGGAACTCTGGGGTGAACTTTGCCATCTCTGAAATCTTCTTTGTTTTTTTTTTTGAAACAGAACTTCGCTCTTGTTGCCCAGGCTGCAGTGCAATGGCGCGATCTCGGCTCACTGAAACCTCTGCCTCCCAGGTTCAAGCGATTCTCCCACCTCAGCCTCCCGAGTAGCTAGGATTACAGGCATGCGCCACCATGCCCGGCTAATTTTGTAATTTTAGTAGAGATGGGTTTTCACCATCTTGGCCAGTCTGGTCTCGAACTCCTGACCTCAAGTGATCCACCCGCCTCGGCCTCCCAAAGTGCTGGGATTACAGGCGTGAGCTACCGTGCCTGGCCTGAAATCTTCTGTTAAAAATGTGCATTTCCTGGGCTGGGCGCAGTGGCTCACGCCTGTAATCCTAGCACTTTAGGAGGCCAAGGCGGGCGGATCATTTGAGGTCGGGAGTTTGAGACCAGCCTGACCAACATAGAGAAACCCTATCTCTACTAAAAATACAAAATTAGCTGGGCATGGTGGCCCTTGCCTGTAATCCCAGCTACTCAGGAGGCTGAGGCAGAAGAATAGCTTGAACTCGGGAGGTGGAAGTTGAGGTGAGCCGAGATCAAGCCATTGCACTCCAGCCTGGGCAACAAGAGCGAAACTCTGTCTCAAAAAAAAAAAAAAAAACTACATATCCTGGGCCAGGTGCGGTGGCTCACACCTGTAATGCCAGCACTTTGGGAGGCCTAGGCAGGCGAGTCACGAGGTCAGGAGATCAAGACCAGCCTGGCCAACATAGTGAAACCCTGTCTCTGCTAAAGATACAAAAAATTAGCCAGGCATGGTGACAGGCGCCTGTAATTCCAGCTACTCGGGAGGCTGAGGCAGGAGAATTTTCTGAACCCAGGAGGTAGAGGTTGCAGTGAGCGGAGATTGTGCCATTGCACTCTAGCCTGGGTGACAAAAGTGAAACTGCGTCTCAAAAAAAAAAAAGTACATATCCTGAAAAGGGTAAAGCCTAAAGTCCCTCTTCCTTTCCTGGGGAGGAATCTATGGGATATTTGACAGCAAAGGGCCAGGGAGATAGGAGGACCCTTGAGATGAGGTGAGGAGTGCATGCATGGTGAAATGAATGGTTTTCTGAATCTTAGAGCAAGTGCTGAGAAGAGCTTTGTAAGAAAGAGGGGAAGAGGCAAAGGGAGGAAGAAACACGCGCGCGCGCACACACACACACACACACAGAGAGACAGACAGACAGAGACAGAGAGCAAAAGGCTGAGAGAGAGAAAAAGACACACACAGACAAGGGGGAACAAACAGAGTGGCAGGGAGGTTGAAGCATGCAGTTAAGAGAAGGAGAGAGAGAAAGAGAGGAGTGGGAAGAGAGGAAGGAGGGAGGGCCTTGCCTCATATGCAACCTTTCTGTAGAGTGCCCCTGAAGAAATTTAAGTCTATCCGTGAGACCATGAAGGAGAAGGGCTTGCTGGGGGAGTTCCTGAGGACCCACAAGTATGATCCTGCTTGGAAGTACCGCTTTGGTGACCTCAGCGTGACCTACGAGCCCATGGCCTACATGGATGTGAGTCCTGACCCTTTCTGGCGGTAGCCTTCTCTCTGGTGTGGGCTGGAGGGAAGGGGCAGGTCCCTTCACTCCTCTGCCCATGGAGGAGCCTGGGGCCCCTGGATCCCTCTGGAACTAACAGCTTGCTCCATGGCCCCCAGGCTGCCTACTTTGGTGAGATCAGCATCGGGACTCCACCCCAGAACTTCCTGGTCCTTTTTGACACCGGCTCCTCCAACTTGTGGGTGCCCTCTGTCTACTGCCAGAGCCAGGCCTGCAGTGAGTGCTGGGCTGGGCAGAGAGGGGTGGTTGGCAGGGCAAGGCACTGATACCCTCTGGGGAGGGCCAAACTTCCAGAGGGAGCTCAGGACTGAGGGGAGCTCAGTCCTGGGGAGGACCAGGGACATGTGCAGGGCCACACAGCATGCCCAAGCCAGAGGAAAGATGCTGGTCCTGCAGCTGGATGGCCCCTTTGCCTTCCCTGCCAATATGTATCCCTTTGCTTATGCCAGCCCCTAACTCCCCACTCCCTTTTATTCCACTCTCCCCATTCTGTTTACTCTGGGCAGTGCCATTCCATTCCATGTGACTAATTTCCAGTCCATTCCATCCCACTCCATCCCACTCCATTCTACTCCATTCTATTCTGCTCCACCTCAGTATTTACTAAGTTCTCACTGAGTGTCTCCAAGAGACACAACAGAACAATATAGGATGTGGGCTCCGTACTATAGTGGTTTTGGGAGACAGGCAGTGTTTGCTTTCTTAAGGTTGCCTTGGTCCCTGCTGAAGCCTTGGTGTTTGGGTCCTGATACCTTTGGCCCAAGGGGTCCCTTGATGTCCCCACCCTATGTTATGACTGGCTTCTTGATGAGTGAAGGTGGGGAGTACTTGGGGATGCCCTGGAGGGCTGGGGGGAATGCTGGGATGTGGTGCAGGCCCATTCACTTCTTCATCTGATGAGTAATTACTCAGCACTGCTGTGAGCCACGTGCTTTGCTGGGGACCAGGGACTCAGGGCTGGGTTCTCTGCAAACCTGTCCACAGGGAGGCCACAGTCCTGAGGCATCCCAAGATTCTGTAAGTCAGAAGGGGCTTTGGGGACAAGGCTGGCCAGCTCCCATGGGCCTTCCAATGCCACCCCTTGACTTGGCAACCAGGGGTGCTGAGGTCCCAGGATGTGAGCGCAGCCTGAGCGAGAGGCTGAGGTGGGAACCCGGCAGGCCTGAGAGCTGAGCAGCCCTGCCCCAGCCGGCCTGACTCCCCATGCCCTGACTCCCCTGCAGCCAGTCACTCCCGCTTCAACCCCAGCGAGTCGTCCACCTACTCCACCAATGGGCAGACCTTCTCCCTGCAGTATGGCAGTGGCAGCCTCACCGGCTTCTTTGGCTATGACACCCTGACTGTGAGTGGGCATGGGGAGTGGAGGCTGGGGCTGTGAGCTATAAGCTGGAGGGGACAGTTAGATGGACTCTCCTGAAACACGGTGGAATGCTAGTGTTCTGGTGTGCAGGACAGGAAGGCAGGACAAGACAGGTCCATTCAGTCACTCCCCCAACACTCACTGGTGGCCACCATGTGCTAGGCACTGGGGCACCATACTGAACAAGAGGGACATGGTCCTTTTCCTTAAGAAGCATAAGGCCTGGGGAGCTCAGAGAAGAAGGAGACGGGTGAGGAGGTGAGCTGTGGCAGTCAAGGAAGGCTACGCAGGAGAGGTGGCTCCTGCAACACCTGTCAAGAGGCAGAGGTGGCTGGCTACGGTGGCTCACGCCTGTAATCCCAGCACTTTGGAAGGCCAAGGCGGGCAGATCATGAGGTCAAGAGATAGAGACCATCCTGGCCAACATGGTGAAACCCTGTCTCTATTAAAAGTACAAAAAATTAGCTGAGCGTGGTGGCACGCGCCTGCAGTCCCAGCTACTCGGGAGGCTGAGGCAGGAGAATCGCTAGAACCAGGGGAGCAGAGGTTGCTGTGAGCTGAGATTGCGCCACTGCATTCCAGCCTGGTGACAGGGCGAGACTCTGTCTCAAACAAGCAAACAAACA
Organism: Homo sapiens; assembly: GCF_000001405.40. Lineage (NCBI taxonomy): Eukaryota > Metazoa > Chordata > Mammalia > Primates > Hominidae > Homo > Homo sapiens. The sequence continues at coordinate 41,742,626 of NC_000006.12, read as the reverse complement.
AACAAGAAAACCAAAACAAAAAAGAAGGGGGCAGAGGTGAGGAAGGGATGAACAGAGGCTTGAGGAGTCTCTAGGGGAACCTGGAGGAGGTGAGTGGAGTCAGACTGGTCACCTCCCCTCGTTTGTGTCTCCATTAGGTCCAGAGCATCCAGGTCCCCAACCAGGAGTTCGGCTTGAGTGAGAATGAGCCTGGTACCAACTTCGTCTATGCGCAGTTTGATGGCATCATGGGCCTGGCCTACCCTGCTCTGTCCGTGGATGAGGCCACCACAGCTATGCAGGGCATGGTGCAGGAGGGCGCCCTCACCAGCCCCGTCTTCAGCGTCTACCTCAGCAAGTGAGCAACCAGCTGGCCAGTCCCCACCTCCCGGGATGCTCCCCCGGCCGCCCTGGACGACTGAGGCTCAGTGCTCAATGCTTTGGGGTTTGGAGGCATCCCAGCGGGCATCTGGCTCCAGTCAGTCTTGCTCCAGGGCCTTCCTTCCTGGGCTTCCTCTCGAATCCTCTCCCAGCCACCCGACCACACCCCATCCCTGCACCTGTCCCCAGTCCCCTCCGACTTGTCTTTGCATTCCATGGCCACGATGGAATGAATCTCTTCCACAGCAGCTGAACTTTGCCCTGAGTTTTGCTGCTCTGATTCTCAGCACCCCTTGGACAGGCTTCCTGGTGGAGAAGCGGGTGGGGCAGTTCGCTCACTTCCTTCTGACCGAATGTTTTCTACCTGTATCCCTCTTTTGCATAGTAATGTATTGCTTCATCTCCTTTTATCTATTGTTCTAGCCTGGTCCTGGAGTCTTCTGGTCTAGGTCCACTGCTGACCCCTAGCAGGTTGTTATCCTTGCCAGTCAACACAAGCATGTGCAGGCATTTAGTGAGACAGGCAGTGGGTGGGGGTGAGCGGCCTGGGGCCTGCTTTTCTTTGTTCTTCTTCAGAATTAACCAGCAACTTGCTTTTGTTTTGTTTTGTTTTGTTTTTTTGAGATGGGGTCTCACTCTGTCACCCGGTCTGGAGTGCAGTGGCGCAATCTCGGCTCACTGCTACTTCTGCCTCCCGGATTCAAGCTATTTTCCAGCCTCAGCCTCCCAAGTAGCTGGGATTACAGGCATGCGCCACTGTGTTCGGCTAATTTTTGTGTTTTTAGTAGAGACGGGGTTTCACCATGTTGGCCAGGCTGGTCTCAAACTCCTGACCTCAGGTGATCCACCCGCCTCGGCCTTCCAAAGTGTTGGGATTACAGGTGTGAGCCACTGCGCCCGGCCTTAGGCAGCCACTTTCTAGAGACAGTTAGCTTCATTGGACTAATCTGGGGAATCTGAAGTTCAAGGACCTCACCCTGTTACTAATGTTGCTAACTTCCTCTCCACCTCTGTTTATGATTCCTCTGCGTGTAAACAGAGCAGCTCCACCCAGCTCCACACTCCAGCTACCAGAGAAGCCTCTGGAACAAACATGGAATATCCTTACCCCCTTCACCAAGACCCTACCTGTCTCCAATCTCAGCAGAAAAGTAACAAGCTGGGCCGGGGTGGGGATCCCGGTGACATGTCTACCAGAGGCAGGAAGCGGAGGGGAGAGGAGAGCAGAGTGTGGGCTGGGGGTCCCAACCACTAGGGGACCCCCCAGAAGTCAGCATCATTCGGGAGCCTGAGGCGCTGGGAATTCCAAGGCCTGGCCAGAAAGCCCCAGTCTAAGGGACGCATCCCAGTCCCCAGGGAGCCCCAATCTAAGGGATACAGCCCCATCCTCAGGGAGCCCCAGTCTGAGGGAGACACAGACTCGTCCTCAGGGAGGCCCAGTCTAAGGGACACAGCCCCATCCTCAGGGAGCTCCAATCTAAGGGATACAGCCCTGTCCTCAGGGAGCCCCAGTCTGAAGGGAGACTCAGTGCTCTCCTCAGGGAGCCCCCGTCTGGATCAGGGAAGGAGCTCTGTTTCCCTGTGGAGGTGACTGCTCAGGAGGAAAGTCCTTTTCCATGGCACTCCCTGACTTCCCCTTCCCTTTCTCTCCTGCAGCCAGCAGGGCTCCAGCGGGGGAGCGGTTGTCTTTGGGGGTGTGGATAGCAGCCTGTACACGGGGCAGATCTACTGGGCGCCTGTCACCCAGGAACTCTACTGGCAGATTGGCATTGAAGAGTGAGTCTGCGGTGGGGCCCTGGGGATGTGGCACTTCCTTGGAGTGGGCTTCCAGGCCATGTCACACACACACACAGTCTGGCACTGCTCTGGGATGGGGCAGAGGACCCCTGAGGCTTACTCCTACAAAGCCACAACTGTCCTCTGCAGGGGTGACAAAGCCCAGCTCAGCCTGGAGAAGAGAGTGGATGTGGACAACATAGGGAGGGGCAGGACCTGGACTCCCGAACATTAGGGACCCTGCAGTCCAGCCCCATCATGGGCTCACAGATTAGAAACGAAGGTGTGTTAGCAACTAATTTGCTCAAAGTCCTTACAATGAATCAGTGGACCTGGTTTTCAGTGTTTTTAGAAACTTCCTTGACACTTTTAAGGACTAGGTCCCATGGCATGATGCAGGGGAATAGCCGGATTGATCTTTGCAGGGTCCTCACTTTCCTCAAGAAAGTAGCTGTAGCTCTTTGTCCCACAGTGGTGGGGAAAGCCCGCCCCAGCTGCCCTGAACTGGGGGAGTCCTGAGGCTGCCTGTCTTCTCCCCATACAGGTTCCTCATCGGCGGCCAGGCCTCCGGCTGGTGTTCTGAGGGTTGCCAGGCCATCGTGGACACAGGCACCTCTCTGCTCACTGTGCCCCAGCAGTACATGAGTGCTCTTCTGCAGGCCACAGGGGCCCAGGAGGATGAGTATGGACAGGTGTGACTGGTGAGGGTGTCTCTCTTCCCCAGGAGGCTACTCCAGAGGCATTCATGATTTCTCCTGGGAACACAATAGCCAGCTGGGCGCCGTGGCTCATGCCTGTAATCCCAACACTTTGGGAGGCCAAGGCAGGCAGATCTTTTGAGCCCAGGAGTTTGAGACCAGCCTGGGCAACATGGCGAGACTCTGTCTCTACAAGAAATACAAAAATTAGCTGGGTGCGGTGGCATGCGCCTGTAGTTCCAGCTACTTGGTAGGCTGAGGTGAGAGGATTGTTTGAGCCCAGGAGGTGGAGGCTGCAGTGAGCCGTGATCTCACTATTGCACTCCAGCCTGGGTGACAAAGCAAGACCCTGTCTCAAAAAAAAAAAAAAGCCTAACTCTTGACCTCCAAGCCTCTATCTGCCCAAGGCGCTGGAGGCAGGGGGACCTGGGACGACTGGGGCTGTGTGCAGGATGGGGGCCTGGAGGCTTGTTCAGGCGGGGCCAGTTGCTTGTGCTGAAGGGGAGAAGGAGGTTACTATTAGGCAGGAATTTCTTCTGAGCTGCAGTCACTCAGCAGAAACAGAGGAAATGCTTGCTGGACTTTGGGATAAGAGCAAAATGACTGGAATGTGGGGCTGAGTATGTGAGCAACCAGGGCTGACCCTTTATCCCCACCTCTCTCACCTCCACAGGGCCATGCTCCCCTGCGCTTGTCTGTCTTGAGTCCAGCCAAGGGTTTGTTTAATTAACCCAAGCCCACTACCACTAATTTTAATTTTGGGAGACCAGTGGGGTACTCATTATGCAGATCTGTGTTTTTCTTTTTTTTTTGTTTTTTGTTTTTGTTTTTTTGAGACGGAGTCTCTCTCTGTCGCCCAGGCTGGAGTGCAATGGCGTGATCTTGGCTCACTGCAACCTCCACTTTCCTGGGTTCAAGCAATTCTCTGGCTTCAGCTTCCTGAGTAGCTGGGACTACAGGTGTATGTCACCACGCCTGGCTAATTTTTTTGTATTTTTAATAGAGATGAGGTTTCACCATATTGGCCAGGCTGGTCTCGAACTCCTGACCTCAAGTAATCTGCCTGCCTTGGCCTCCCAAAGTGCTGGGATTACAGATGTGAGCCACCACGCCCAGCCATCTGTGTTGTTTTTGTCGTTGTTGTTGTTGTTGTTATTGTTGTTTTGAGACAGAGTCTCACTCTGTCACCCAGGCTGGAGTGCAGTGACACAATCTCAGCTCACTGCAAGCTCCGCCTCCTGGGCTCAAGCAATCCTCCCACCTCAGCCTCCTGAGTAGCTGGGACTACACGTGTGTGCCATCATGCCCAGCTAATTTTTGTATTTTTGGTGGAGGCGGGGTTTCATCATGTCACTCAGGCTGGTCTCGAACTTCTGGACTCAAGCAATCTGCCTACCTCGGCCTCCCAAAGTATTGGGATTACAGGCACGAGCCACCATGCCCGGCCAGATCTGCGTGTTTTAAAATGCCACTTGCAAGCTGGGCATCATGGCTCATGCCTGTGTATGTGTGTGTGTGTGTGTGTGTGCATATATATATATGCATATATATATACATATATATATGCATATATATATGCATATATATATGCATATATATATGCATATATATATGTATATATATATGCATATATATGTATATATATATGCATATATATATGCATATATATGTATATAGGCACTTGCAGAGAAAGAGCAGAGGTTCGATCTTTAATATGGGAAATCGAGGCAAGAGGAGTTAGGAGGCTCTGGGATCACTCCAAATCACACCCATTCTATGAGTCCATGGGATAATGCCAGCATTACCTACACAGGACTTTCCCTTGGAGCTGCATTCTCTAGTCCAAAAACAGGCTTAGGGCTTGGGCCCGGAGCTCAGGCCTGGGATCCAGGGGCTGAGATGATGGGGCTGGTGGGTGCTATCAGGGGGAGGATGAGTTAACCAGGGACCTATTCCTCTTGCAGTTTCTCGTGAACTGTAACAGCATTCAGAATCTGCCCAGCTTGACCTTCATCATCAATGGTGTGGAGTTCCCTCTGCCACCTTCCTCCTATATCCTCAGTGTAAGTCCTGGTCCCTGCAGGCTGAGCCACCATGATTGGGGTTGGGAGGAAGGGCTGGGGAGCCAGAAATGCTGGGTCTCCTGCCTTGTGCCATTTTCCGACTCCACGCTTGTACTCATTTATCTTCCCCACTCATTGATTCTAAACCCCCTTCTCTGGAACAAGGCTATGAAATAGAAGATTGTCATCTATGATCAATTATTATTAATTAGTGGGGAGAGGCACTGGGCTCTTTGTTGAGCACTTACTAGGGCAGACCACTGTGCAAAGCACTTTGCTTCATGATCCCATTTAATTGTCACAGTATTTAATGAGGGAGATACTCATTTCTGTTTTACAAATGAAAACTTGGAGGTTCAGAGAGGTTGAGTAACTGACTCAAGGCGACACAGCTAAGGTTTGAATTCAAGTTGGTTTGGCTCCAAGGTTTAACCACCAGGCTGATCTGCTCCAAATTGGGAGCAGGAGGGAGGTCTGTGGGAAGAGAAGTTTCCCATCATGGGGAGAGGAGACCCTGCTGAGGACCACGGCAGCCTGAATGTACCTGTTCCAGAAATCCTCCCACCCGCTCTGCTCTGGTGGCTCAGTTGGCCTATGAGCCCTCAAGGCAGAGACCCTGGCTCCCTCAGCTCTGCACTTGTGCTCCCAGCCCAGGGCTCAGAGCTGAGCAGGGCCCAGCTCATGTGTGGACAAATGAATGAGTGCTGCCTTTCTTTGTTGAGCAGAACAACGGCTACTGCACCGTGGGAGTCGAGCCCACCTACCTGTCCTCCCAGAACGGCCAGCCCCTGTGGATCCTCGGGGATGTCTTCCTCAGGTCCTACTATTCCGTCTACGACTTGGGCAACAACAGAGTAGGCTTTGCCACTGCCGCCTAGACTTGCTGCCTCGACACGTGGGCTCCCCTCTTCCTCTTGACCCTGCACCCTCCTAGGGCATTGTATCTGTCTTTCCACTCTGGATTCAGCCTTCTTTTTCTGGACTCTGGACTTTCTCTAATAATAAATAGTTCTTCTTTATGTTGGTCATCCTGTTGTTTTTGGAAGGGAGTTTTCCCTGAGTGGCTACAAGGTTTCCTGGTGGGTCACTGTGATTCTAAGAGAAATGGGACCTAAGGCATGGCTTGGGATGGGCTCTGTAACCCTCAGAGCTTAAAGTTCATACTTTTCCCCTGGAAAGGGAAGACAGTGGTAGCGCCATCATGGGTGGGTGGGTGGCGGGCCGGGGGAGAGTGTTCCTACTTGAGTCACAGAGAAATCGAGCCTATTTGCTGGAACCAACTCAGCAAGGGATCTTGTCCCTTTGGACTTCATCCCTGTCCTCCTCAGGAGCCTCTTAGCAAAAGATCCAGAAACCAGGAGCAACATTGTATGTGGGGAAGGAGGAGAGAGAGGAAGAAAAGGAGGAGGGGAAGGAGAAGAAAAGCAGGGGAGGGGCTGGGGGAGGAGACAGGGAAAAAGGGGCGGGGAAGAGGAGAAAGTAGAGAATGATGCCTCCGCACCCTGTGAACTTCCAACAAGGGAAGGTGACATGAAAGGAGCTCAGACAATTTCTGTCCAGCAACATGACAGCAAGCTCAGGCTGGTGAGTGGGGCGTGAATGTAGAACCCATAATGGGGGCAGGCTGCCTTCTACTGTCATATTTTACCCTGTACTTCGCCAGGCTCACCCTGGCCTTGCCCCTTATGATCGGGGCAGGGATAAAAGTGCAAGATCCAGGTCCTGCACCCTACTCCTGAAGAGAAGCTGGAATTTGCCACAGGTGGAGTTTCTATGGCAACAGCACACCATCTGGGACCCTCTCTTTCTTAGACTGCCGAAGGACAGCAGGCTGCAGGTTCCTTTTAGGGGGTCGGACAGGCTACAGAATGTATCTTAGTGAGCCCTGGTTTGGGACTTTACTGAGAGGAGAAAGAAAACTTGCAAAGAGGTAGAAGTGGATCAGAGGTTCCAAGTCAAGAGCCTCTTTCCCTGTAAGCCTTAGTCCGCTGAGCGGGACTACAAATCCCGGCGTGCCTAGCGGGACTGCAGCGAGAACTACGCTTCCCAGTGGGCGCCGAGGCAGAGCGGCTGGGAGGCGGGGCGGGTGCTGCCCTCTGCCGGGCGCGGAGGGAAGTGTGCGTGGAGTGACAGCCGGAGCCCGGGCGCCGGGCGCGGGGCTCGGTGACAGCGGAGGCGGCGGCCCGGGCGGGACGCAGGGAGCGGCCGCGGCGCCGACGGCGGCGGGAAGGGCGGACGGGGCGGGCCTCCCTGGTGGCACGGGGCCGGAGCAGGCCGGGAGCAGGTGGCGGGCACAGCTTGCGGGCCAGGCACCCGAACTTGCGACAAGTTGCCGGAGCCGCGGGGCGCGGGCGGCGGACAGATTGACCTTCAGAGCGAGGTGAGCGGGACCGGGGAGCGAGAGGCACGAGGAGGGCCCGGGACCCCCGACCCAGGCTCCCTGGCCCCTATCCCGTGGGTCCCGGAGACAGGTGGGAGGGTGGGGGATGCCGGCAGGAGAGGGAAGCAGGACCGTGCGCGCCGCCACCCACCCGCAGTCCGTCCGCCCCCGGGCGCCCAGCGCGTGGCCCGAGCGGCGCTGCCCGCCGAGCCGGGAGCCCCCTCGGCCCCTCCCTTCAGGCGCGGGCCGGGGGCGGCTTCTCCGCGACCTTATGTAACCGGGCGGGAGGGGCCGGGCGGGCATGGGCCTTCCCGGCCCGGAGCTGGGAGTCGAAGGGGCGGGAGGCGTGATGGTGAACTCGCAAGAAGTTTGAGGGACGCGCGGGCCCCGCGCCCACTCCCCCTCCACCGGACACGGCTGGGGCCGGCGATGCCTGAGAGGGGGTCGGAGGTAGGGGAGGTGTGCGGGGGCTGAGTCTGGCCAGGCCAGCGGGGGGAGTGGGAGGGCCAGAGCGGCGCCACGCCCCGGGGGCTGGGCTGATGGGGGGGCGGGTGGAAGTACCATCTCTCCCTCCCTTCCCGTCCCTTCCTCCAGCTCGGTCTCTTGAAGAAGCCGCCCCTGGCCCCGTCCCCTCGAGTCCCTGGGCAGTCTCTTTCTCCCCGTGGGTTATTCTATGACCCTGGGGAACACCAACCCCGGAGCGCTCCCTCCGTGCGCCCCGTTGTCTGCCTCCCCCCGGGTTCCCAGCTGCCTGCCCGCCCCCCGAGTTTCCCCCTCCCCCCGTCTCGGTCCCGAATCCCGGAAAACACGCCCCCTTCCCCCCGATCCCCCGAGTCCGTGCCGCCCACCCCTGGGCTGTCCCGACCAGCTCTGGCCCAGCGCGTCCGCTCGCCTCCTGGAAGGGAGCGGGCAGATGCCAGCTCGGCCCCCTCCCCGCGCGGGGTTCCGGCTTCACGCACGGCTGCCCCGAGCTGCTCCGGGCTGCGCGAGCAGGTTCGCGCCGCAGCCGCCTGGCGCGCCCCAGCCCCGCGCCCCGGGTGAGGAAGGGAGGGAGCCCGGGGCGGGGCTTGTCTGCGCGAACCCCGCTGGGCCCAGGCCCCCGCCCTCCGCTCTCCGCCAGCCCCTGGCCGCTGCGCCTTCCCCCGAACCCCCCTCAGCTCCAGCCGTCGTTCTCTCGCCTGTCTGTTCTGGGGACGGTTCAGCGCGGAGCTTCTGCACTCAACTTGAGCGCAGTTTTTGGCTTAGAGCTCGCTGGGGAAGTGCAGGTTAATTACTGCCCAGCTCCCATCCTCTGCCCTCCCCCCATCCCGAGTGAGGGGCTGCTTCATCCCTCAGGGAAAGGGACAAGACGGATGCAGGCCCCCAGTGACACCTCTGGGGTGTGGCCTCAGGCCCCTGCACCCGCCCTGGCCGAGATTCCATTGGCCCAGACCTGGCACTGTTGGGCAGCTGGGGATGAGGTTGGAGGCTGGTCTCTGGTTTCCTTCTGGGTGGACAGATGCGGATGCGCTCGGTTAGAACGCAGTTCTTGGTGCCACGACTGGGAGACAGTCCTCAGGCCCTCCCCTCAGGGAGCTCACTGTCCGGGGAGGGACAGCCAGCAATAGTTCCTGGCCGGCCAGGAGAGGCAGAGGCAGAGGAAGGGAAGGGTCAGCTGCCTTGAGGTCCCTGCCTGCTAACCTGACGGTATGCTTTCACCATGCCGGTGACCCCAGCCCCAGGACCACGAGCAACTCGCCTGGCTCCCTTCTCTCCGTCTGCCTCCTGGCCGCGGGGCCCGGAGAGCTGGGAGCCAGAGGGTGTAAATGAAGGGCAGAGCTGTTTGGGTGACTCCATGCTCTGCTTCTCCCCGAGGGAAGCCAATGGTGCTTACCATTTACAAGGCTTGTTACAGCTGCAGGGTTATTTTGTCCTCAACTCAGCTCTGGGAGACGGAGCCAAATGGGGACCCAGGTATCTTGGTTCCGGGTGCCCTGGAAGGAGTTCAGGGGATAGGGCAGGGGACACCCTAGGTGGGCACTGAATCTAGGGAGAGCCAACTGGGCTTTTACGGGCTAATGGCCTGGTGACTCACAGTCAGAGGTGGGCAGGGAGTGGGCCAGGGCAGGCAGGAGCCCTTCCAGGGTCCCACGTGCGCTGTCACAGGCCTCCTCAGCCTGTTTCTGGAAAGCTGAGAAGTAGGTGGAAGGGGACTCCCACCCCTCAAGTCTGGCTGCCCTTTGAGGGTCTAGCTCTTGGCCCTGAGCCCTCCTGGGGCTCTGTTTATGACTGTAATTGCATCATTAGCCAGAGTTAATAGAGTTACTTAGCACCTGCCCCCACAGGGAGTAGCCCAGCCACCCCCTGGGTTCTGTCTCTTCCTTTTCAAAGTCAACTCGGTTTCTGCAGGCAACAGGGGTTTCCCCAACCACAGCTGTCATGAAAACCAGGTTGGGCCTTTGTCCTGGGGATGGAGGGCAGTCAGCACTTGGGGCCTGGCTTGGGGCTGCCCTGGAGATGACCATGGAAATTGGGTTGGCCTCCTCTGATCGGAGGGTGGGAGTTCAGGGTTCCCAGAGCTGCCAGAAATGTTCACGTCCCAGGACGCAGTGAACATATATGCATGTACAGTGTGGATCCTCATCTGAGAGGAGGGAGATGAAAACACACCCACCTCACAGGCTGTTGTGAGGACTAAGGGTGCGGCAGTGCCTGGTACATGGTGAGTACATGATGTTGCTTTCTGGGTTGGTGTGGGGTTTATGTAATGGTTGTGAGTTTGTGTGTGTGGTTAAAGTGTCTAGGAATGTGGGTAGAGATGAACTGTGCATGTGTGTCTATGAGAGTGTAACAATAAAACAAGATTATATTAATAGAATATTCATCTCTTCTTTTATGCTATACTAGAACAATATTATAATAAGATTGATTATACAATAGTTGCCAACATTTATTGTGTGTTTAGAGTGAGGTGGGAATTACTGTTTGCATTACACTTACTTACTCAGAGAGGTTAAGCAAGTCACTTAAAATCACACAGCCTGGAAGTGACAGGATTGGAATTTTAACCTAGGTCCAATTGACTCCAAAGTCTGTGTTCTCAGTCCCTAAAGAAGACCACTTCTTCAAGGGGTTTCCCAGGAGTTCTCTCTTAAAAGGTGGGGGTGTGGTGGTCTGGGGACCTTCTTTTCTCTATCCAGGGTTTCCTGCTCTAAGCAGATCTTTGGGAGGCCTAGGTGGGAGGATCACTGGAGCTCAGGAGTTCGAGACCAGCCTGGGCAACATAGCGAGACCTGGACTCAATTGAAAAAAGAATTTGTATGAAAAAAATAAAAATAAAAAAGCAGGGTGGGAACTTGCTGAGGCCCCTGTCTGAGCACCATACCTGTTTCCTGGCCTTTCTTCTGAGCTGCCAGCATGGGTGACCAAAGGACCTCCGGCTGGAACCTGTCTTGACTGGCCAGGGAAGGAGACTGGTTCAGGCAAGACTTCCTGGGCTTCTTTGGAAGCCCCAGACACCCAGGAAGGGAGGAGGCATCCTTACTGATGGCCTTCTAGGTGCCCGGCTTTGTGCCATGCATTCCACGTCCATTAACGTACAGTGCAGCCCTCAGCAGGCCCTTGTTTAATCAGATGTGCAGAAGAGGCTGTGGGGATCATTGGGTGAGAATGGGACGGCAGTAAAGTCATAAGAGCACTGGACCAGGAGTCGAGAGACCCCACTGTGCCTCTCACTGGCTGTGTGGCTGGGCAGGTCTCTGCTTTGTTCAGCCTCAGTTTCCATATCTGTGAATCTGGATCATCTGTGGGATTCCCTCCAAAGCGAACCTTCTACAAATCTTTGCCAAAGGCACCGGGGAGGAAGAAAAAGGAAGAGAAAGCAAGGGGTGGTGGGGGTGGGTTGTTAGGGGTGTTTGGGAGATGCTGCAGTCCGCAGAATTGAGCTTTAGCTAAAGACTGGTCCTGGTGAAGCAACCAGGAAGTTTTTCTTGGGACAGCCATAGCCACTATATATTGAGCACTGGACCAGTGTCACCTGGTCAGGGGGTTGTTGAGAACGTGGGCTCTGGGGCCAGGCTATGTGGCTTGCACAGCTCTGCCACTTAACACTGTGTGAGCCTCGGCAAGCTGCTTAACCCCACTGTGCCTCAGTTTCCACACCTAAAAAGTGAGGGTTCTTGCAGCACCCACCTACTAGTGCTGTCGTGAGGGCTGAGTATGCCGATATTGATGCACATGTAGTACTTAGAATAGCGCCTAATGAACTGTTATGACTCAGTGAGTTATTTATTTCTCATTCTTAAGTGAGGAAATAGAGGCATGGAGAGCTCTAGGGAAGGAATAAAGACCTATGGGTTGCAAACAGGCCTCTCCATGTGTCTAATGTTCTCTGATGTAATGCTTTACGTGGGGCTTCCCACCACTCTCTGTCCCACCACACCAGCCTCCTCTCCTTGTTGAATAAGACGGTGCAGGGGGCTTGGCAATGCCTGAGGCATCTCTACCACCCCTGCCCTGCCACTTGGGTTTCCCTGGGTAGCATCTGGCCTGGCCACTGACCATGCACTCCTAGCTGTGGCTGTCCCCTGCTCTCCTATCATCTGTCCCTCCTCCACACTGCACCAGAGATACAGATCCCCTTGGCTGTGATGTCATTGGGGACAGAGATAAAATCGCAGTGATAGGGTAGGATCTGGGACTTATCATGCCCACAGGAAATGCTTTGCTGTGAAATGGCAAAGCCGTGGGTGAGAGCCAAGAGGAGCAGAGGCAACAGGCAGGGTCATCACCAGCTTTCCTTCCTGGCTCTTAAGTGTGGGCTTAAGGAGGAAAAATGAGGTCTGGCCACCCATCTTTTGTCCAGCTTTCTTATGGGGAGAGCCACCTGGCCCCATAAGATCCAGCACCTGCTTGCCAGGCCATGCAGGCCACCTGGTTGGCTCTTATGCATTCAGCAGTGGTCCCAGAGTAAGATGCGGTGCTGTAGGGATTAATCCAGGGATTCCACCAGACTCTCCATCCAGAAACCCATGGCTCATATTCCCTCCTCGTAGCCCTTCCTCACTCCTTCCCTATAAGCAAATCTTTCCCTCCATCAGGGCACACATTTCAGAGAGACCGGGGCACTGTTCCATCTTACTGCAGCCTGGCTGGGTATTATGATCACCTGCGGAACTCTTAGACAACACCATTGCATCTGAATCTCTTGGGGAGGGGCCTAGGCATCTTTATTTAATTTTTTTTTTTTCTGGGATGATTCCAATGCCCTTTCTCTAGGGCAGTGGTTCTCAAATTTGGGCATGCATGAGAACTCCCTGGAGGAATTGTTTAAACACAGATGCTGGGCCCCTCCCGGTGTTTCTGCAAATTCCATGTGGTCTAGAATTTGAATTTCTGACAAGTCCTCTAGTGATGCTAATGCTGCTGGTCCCCAGAGCACACCTGGAAAACCACTGCCTTCGGGTCCTGCCGCTTTGCAGCTACCCAGGTGAGAGCCGTCCTTCTCCTGGGTTCTGTGTCTCTGACTTTGGGCCTGGTAGGCCTGTCCCCTTTTGAAGGCAGGTCGCCAGGGGCATGGACCACTTCTGAGAAAATTTGGTGTCCCCTCTACAGTCAGTCCTTCCCATTTCTCCACCTGTCCCCACCTCCCCTGAAACTATCCACTGTTCGGCCTTGCAGCTCTTGGTCCCACTCTCTGGGACAAGTGCTTAAAACTGTGCACTGGTTGATGAAGGCAGGATGAGGCGGACAAACAAGGATGGCACTAGCTGAGGGGCCTCAGAACATGCGTCAGGGTCTGAAGCTGCTGTGAAGGTGCTTGGAGCTAAAGTAGCATTATTGCAATAATTGGGGAGGTGTTCAGAGAGGACCCTCACTTTGTTGAAGGGAGGCTCTTAAAATACTTCCTGTTATTTCACTTTCCCACCCTATGGAGGGCAAGTATTTGATTCCAGCTTGAATCGTAGTTGTTGTTAACAATAAAAATGATACAGACACACACAGAAATAAGCTGTTCCCTTTTCCTTTCCTCTCCCAGACCAGAGATGTAGGGAGGGTAGGGGGAGGGTCCCTGCTGGAGGTAGTGGAGTCTCTGTCATCTTCTAGGTGGTCCTGGGCCTTGAGAGAGTGGATGGTTGGGAGAGCCTGGGGGCTGGCCCCTGGGGGCAGGGGTGTGGAGTTGTTTGTGGAAACTGGAGGGAGTTGGGGTGAAGCCTGGTAGGAGGTGAGAAGAGGTGGCAGGTCCCACAGCCCTGCTGCAGGGGAGGCGAGGCGGGGCCGGGAGTGGGGGCGAGATTGGTGTCTGAGCCCGCCAGTCCTCAGGTGACTGGGCACAGGGGTTTGCTGTGTTTTGGTCCGTGCCGTACCCCTAGCACCTAGAAGAGAGCCTCATATATAGTGGCTGCTCAATAAATCTTTGTGGAATGGATGAGAGAATGGGATTGAGCCCCCATTGTGTGCCCAGAAATGCAGACACCAAAAAAATGCTCTGTCTACCGTCTCTACCCTGCAGGTGCTTCACCAGCTGACACCCAGGGGCCTCGCCCACAGGTCCACAAGGCGCTGAGCCCTCTGCCTCTGCCCTGTCTCCCTCCCCGCACAGTGATCCAGGCCCAGCCTCCTCCTGGTGTAGGGCTCACAGTCTGTTCCTCCCCACAGAGAGTCTGCCAGCACCTCCCCCAACCCCCCCTCCCCGAGTTCTACCAGTGGGTCTGTGGGGTGGGGCTCCGGTTTGTTTTCTCCTGTTTGCCAAGGGAAGTCACAGCCTGTCCTTTGCCTTGTTTATAATTGCTTTGAGGACAGCACCTGCCGCGGCCCCCCACAGTCCCTGAGGGGTGCAGAGTGGCCAGGAGGTGACACACTATACTGTCCACCCCCTGCCGCCTCTTGTCCCCTCCCAGCTCTAGCCAGGTGCACTTTCTGCTGCCTTGCCAGGACGGTGCTGGCTGGCCTTGCTTTGGGGCTAATTGGAACCGTAGAGCTGGGGGTGTCAGAGGGCAGCTGGCGCTGCCCCCATGTTGTCAAGAGGAGGGGATCGAGGCCCAGGGATTCAGCAGCACAAGGCCTTCAGTGTCAACAGGCATGTACTGAGCACATCAGAGGTACCTGGCACTGGGCTGGCCAAGCAGGGCGGGTGGGAACAAGATCACAGCTTCTCCCGCAAGGTGCCGATGTCCTAGCCAGGGAATCTTAGTAACCACAGAGGGCAGAGAGGAGCAGAATGCGAGAAGCTAGTGTAGACTAATGTACTAAACAACATAAGCGCGGTGATACCTGCCCTTTGCCCTGAAGAGCATTCTCCTTGGGCCTCTTGCTGGCACAGAGACCTTGACTCAGCGTGGTTTAGGCCCTCAGCCCTTTCCACCTTCTGGGCCCCAGGAAGGGCTACTCTACTGCTCCCTGGGCCTTCTCACCTGGGGGTCACCTCTGCAGGCTACGTTCTGGACAAGTCCTTCCTTCCAGGAGGACTAGAGGCTGCTGGAGCCTTTGAAAGGAGGCTCTGAGCCACCCACCTGCCACTTGGAAGCTCTGGGGCCAAGGGGAGATGTGGTGCTGGATCAGGGCCGACAGCTCAGGCCTCCTTGGACCTGCCTGTGACTGAGCCTCCATGCTTGGGCCTGGAACCTGGGGGCAGTGCCTCTGTTCCTCCCACCTCCAGAACCTTCTTTTTTGTTTGTTTGCAGACAGGGTCTCTCTGTGTTGCCCAGGCTGGAGTGCAGTGGCACAATCATGGCTCACTATAGCCTCAACCTTCTGGGCTCAAGCAATCCTCTTACCTTAGCTTCCCAAGTAGCTGGGACCAGAGGCACGTGCCACTACACCTGGCTAATTTTTAAAATTTTCTGTAGAGATGGGATCTCACCATGTTGCCCAGGCTGGTCTCAAACTCCTGGGCTCAAGTGATCCAGCCGCCTCGGCCTCCCAAAGTGTTAAGATTACAGGCGTGAGCCACCTTGCCTGGCCACAAGCCTTTTTTCTCCCCTCCACCCTCCGCCACCCTCTGAGCCTCCATCTAGTTCCACAGCATCTGCAGCCTTGGACTATCTCTCTCTCTCCTGCTCTTTGTCTCCCCTTCTCTCCTTCCTCTTTATTTCCTTCTCTGCCACCTTCCTTCTTTTGATGTGTTCAAAGGATGACCAGGGCCCACCCCACCAGTACCTTTCTCACAGTCAGCCTCCAAGTCCTGCTGTCAGGGGCCCAGAGGAATGGTCCACGGTAGGGTGAGGTGGCTGCGAAGGTGCCCAGCCTGACGCAACCCCCTACCCATGGCCAGGAAGGGGTGTGTGGTGGCTGGGACATCCTGGGCGGGGTGGCGGGTGAAAGAGGCTATGGTAGTCGGCTCCTGTGGGTTGAGGGGCAGCCAGCAGCCTGGGCCAACTGGGGGAAGGGACCCTCCCTAGACAGCCCCAAGCATTATCACTACTCCAGACCTGTGCCTAACTATAGGTTGTCATCCACTTCTTTGGATCTAATTATAGTGTTTTGCGAAACTAGGTATGGGAAGAAAATACTGTATCTATTTACTTATATCTCATTCTTTTCTTTCTTTTAAAATTGTGAAATATAGCATAGTTGCTTAAAAAGCATAAACATACACATATAATGTAGTAAATAATTATAAAAGTGAACCCCTGGCTGGGTGCGGTGGCTCACGCCTGTAATCCCAGCACTTTGTGAGGCTAAGGCAGGCAGATCACGAGGTCAGGGGTTTGAGACCAGCCTGGCCAACATGGTGAAACCCCATCTCTACTAAAAATACAAAAATTATCCAGGTGTTGTGGCACGCACCTGTAATTCCAGCTTGGGAGGCTAAGGCAGGAGAATCGCTTGAACCTGGGAGGTGGAGGTTGCAGTGAGCCAAGATCGTATCAATGCACTCCAGCCTGGGTGACAGAGCAAGACTCCATCTAAAGAAAAAAAAAAGTGAACCCCTAGGCAACCATCACCCAGGTGAATAAACAACAGAATGTAGCTTGTACGCCAAAATCAACTCATGTGCCCTCCACCCCCAGAGGTAATCACTATCCTGACTGTACGATAATCAGCTCCTTGCCTCTTTTATTATGTAACCACCTATGTCTGCATCCCTTAGCTGAGTTTAGTTTTGCCTGACTCTGAATTTAATACAGATGGAATGGCGCTGGACATGTTCTTTTACGTCAGGCTTTTCCCACCCAACAGTGTATTTGTGAGAGTCACTTATGTTGTGTATAGCCGTAGTCTGTTAATTTTCTTTCTTTTCTTTTTATTATTTATTTATTTTTGAGATGGAGTCTGCTCTGTTGCCCAGGCTGGAGTGCAGTGGCGCGATCTCAGCTCACTGCAACCTCCACCTCCCCAGCTCAAGCGATTCTCCTACCTCGGCCTCCCAAAGTGCCAGGATTGCAGGCGTGAGCCGCCGGGCCTGGCCTTTAATGTATATTTCAACTTCAGTAAATATTTTATTAAGTGGTTGTACTACTTTACTCCTTGCTAGTGGCCCACAGAGTTCCTGTTGCTCCTTAGCCTTATCAACACTTGGTCTTGTTAGTTTAATTTCTGCCATGATGGTGAGTGTGTAACATGTCTCATCCTGGTGTATTGCATTTTCATTCTCATTTTAAAAATATATAATTTTGGGGTATGTTTGCTGACATCTATAATATATTCATGCATCGGGGTATATATAAGCAATTTACAAGGAAAGAAGCATATATTGAGAGTGCTCAAAAGTTTTTACTGATAGGAATATATGATCAAAACGGTTGAAAGATCAGGGTAATATTGAATGCCAGGAAGGGGGTTGGCATGTAGCTTGGGAGTTGGAAGGTGATATTGGTCTTGTGGGGAGACCCCCTAAGTGGCAGTGCCTGCTGGGGCTAAGAAGCCTCTTCCCAGAGGGTACTGAACCACAGAGTACCCATCACCCTTCAGGCCCTCTTGCCTAGCACATCTGGTGGGGGAGAGGGGGAGACTCTCAGGCTAGAGCCCTCAGCAGGTGTACCGTTCAATTTGGAATTGGCAGGTGCCCATCTTTTAGGTGCTTCTAGGGCAGTAGTTCTCCACTAGGGGTGATTTTGTCCCCCTAGGGGACATTTGCCAATGTCTGATGATATTGGCCAGGGATACCACTAAACATCTTAAAATGCACAGGACAGCCCCTGTAACTAATTACCTGGCCCTGAGTGTCTGGTGTTGAGGTTGAGAAACTCTGATCTAGGAAAAGAGCCAGGAAACAGATTTGCCATAAACTTGCTGCATGGCCTCGAGGAAGTCACTTAAGTGATTTGAGCCTCAGCCTCCTTGGAATCTGAAAAACGGATAGCAAGCGTTGCTGCCCTTCCCCTTCATGGGGCTCTTGTCAGGATGGGGGAGATGGTGAATGTGCAGGCATTTTGGGGGAGGCGTCCCTGCAAAGGGGCCTTGTGGCTGTTGCGTTCCAGTAGAGCCAGGCCTTTTCAGCACTGGCCCTTCTTCCTTGACTGTGTTCCCTGTCCACCAAGCTGGAGGCATCAGGTGACCGCTGTGAACCTCAGTCCTGGTTCGTGCTGCTGCAGGGGCTGTGAGGCGCTTCCCCCACAGTCCCTGCGGGCCCCAGCCTTTTGATGAGGGCTGCAGAAATGAGGGGTTCTCTGGGAGCCTTGGGGCCCAGGACAAAAACATTTCCAACTTTGTCCTTAGCTGGATGGGAGTCCAAGGTTGTGGGGGTGATAAGAGGTATTTATCATGTTCCTTATCTGAGGCCCCATTGCAGGTCTCGGGCGGCAAGGGGCGGGAGCCAGAGGTCCTCCCTGGGGGCTCTGCACACCCAGGCCTGGCTCCTACTCATCCTTTGTGTCCTTCCAGAATTTGCCAGCCCAGGGAGGCCCAGGGTTGGACCAGAGTCTGGGTCCATCCTCCCTGGGCCTCTCTGGCCTCACTGTTCTGGGCTTCCCTCACATTGCTGGCATCTCCTGCCTTCTCCAGGAGCCACGGCCTGCCTCATCTCCTCTCTGCTGCCCGCTTCCTTCCTGAAACCTGCACTCACGAAAGGGCCCAGTAAACTCATCCACCCTGAGACGCAGACGACCGATAATAGCTTAACCTTTCTTAATACAGGGTATTTGCTTATCAACGATGGGAATCCCTTGGCCACCAGAAAGAAGCACTAAGTGAAATCTCTGCCCAGTCTCTTTGGCAGGCTGCTAAAAAAGTGCTGGGGGGCTGAGGAACCACTGAACTTGCATGTGTATCAAGAACAGTTTCTGCACAAGTGAAAAGTGTGCGGTGGTGTGGATCTTCCCGGAGCTGCCCAGGGCTCTGCTTGATCTCAGGCTCCATTTCAAGGTGGGCTGTAGTACGGCCTCGACCTGGGTGTCTGGAGGCCCTGGGAAGGCCCAAGGCCAAGACTGCAGGTGTATGGCCAGTCAGGAAGATGGTGAGCTGTGGGGCTTCTGGCTAGAAGGACACATGTCTCTAGGAAGCGGGGCTGGGGTTAGGGTTAGGCCCACCCTGGACCTGGTGGGATTGGGACTCTGGCGAAATTCTTGCTGCTCTGTGTCTCTCCATCTGCCTAGGGCCCTCTGAGGTCAGGCTGGGGTCAGGGCGGCCATGAGAGGCCTCCTGTGGGAGGACCAAGGAGCGCTGTGGGCGCCTGGAGCCGGGCGGGTGAGATTGAAGCAGTCTGTGTTGGGTAGGCTGCGGTGTGGGACTGTGCCGTCGGGGCGCAGTTCCCTCTGTGCTGTGAGTAATCCTCGGCCGCATTTGCAGCTCCCAGGGGATTGTGCAACTTCCTCTCCAGCTGAGGTGCAGGGGGCTGGGTGAGAAACAGCAGCCGCCGGGGAAATGAGGAAACTGAGCCCGGCCCTGGGGCTGGGGTGCGGCCCTGGGCTCCGGCCCCTGGAGGAGCTGAGCATTCCAGGGGCCTCCTTCCAGGGGGCTGCCCTCTCGAAGGTATGAGAGCACACGCGTGCATGTGTGTGAGTGTGTGCATGTGTGTGAGCATGTGTGTGAATGTGTGTCCATGTGTGTTAGCCTGTGTGCATCTGTGTGAGTGTATGTGCATGCGTGTGGTGTCTTTGGGGAGGTGGGTGGGTAGGGATGAGGCCCCTCAGGCTGCACTGGCATTGGGATGTCTTTGGGGAGGGGTGGGGGTCTCTGAGCATGGCCAAGGCTGGGGTGAGGGAAAGAATGGGGAAGAAGGTGGCCAAGCTCTGGAGTGCAGGTTGGACAGCGTGGGAAATCAGGAGTCAGCCAGAGTTGTGCTTCAGTTTCCTCATCTCTCCAGGCTTATTTCAAGGGTCGAGTGAGAAGGTCATGGGCAGGATGGGCTTAGCATGTCACTGGCCAGGCCACAGTGAATACCCATTTACATTAGGGGCTGGGAGCATATGCTCTACATCCACCTGCTTGAATCCTGGCCCTGTCGTTTTGCAGTTTCATGATGCTGGCAAGTTATCCTCCTCTGCTTCCTCATCTGTAACATGGAGATGACAGTTATAGTGCCCACCTTGTGAGTTCTGAAGAGTAAAAGACTTTACTCACATAAAGTGCTCAGAATAGAGCCAGCCTCCCACTAAGTGCCTGCACAGGTTAACACTTCACCAGGACATAGCATGTTTGTGTGCAGATGGCAAAAAACTGCCCAGGGCTCCTGACGATCATTTTTGATGGTGGAAGTTTGAGCTGGAACTGAGATTGATAGTAAGAGCTCATGTTTACCTGGCCTTATTCCATGTCAGGTACTGTGCCCAGTGATTCATCTGTACCAGCCCCTTCACCCTCAGTCACCCCATGAGGGGGATGCTGCTATCATTCCCATTTTGCAGATGGGGACATGTAGGCCCAGGGGCTAGAGTGACTTGCTCCAGGGCAGCTATATCAGTGAGGGAGAATGGCAGAATGGTCCACTCAGCCCACAGGTGGGCCCCTCACCCACACCCCTGCCCCTTTTCTGGGTTCCAATAGAAGTATGGGAGAGGAGGAGGATGGAGGGTCTGCTGGGAGGGGTGTGAGGGCTGGCCTTGCAGCCTGTGGGCTCTGGCCAGGGAGCCCTTTCTTTTCTCTGTGCCATCCCCAATTAAGTAATCAAAGTAACCCACAGCTATAAAGAGTTAAATTAATATAGCGAATGGAGCCAGGTGCGGTGGCTCACGCCTGTAATCCCAGCACTTTGGGAGGCCGAGGTGGGCGGGTCCCCTGAGGTCAGGAGTTTGAGACCAGCCTGGCCAACATGGTGAAACCCCGTCCCTACTAAAATACAAAAAATTAGCTGGGCATGGTGGCATGTGCCTGTAATCCCAGCTACTTGGGTGGCTGAAGCAGGAGAATCGCTTGAACCCAGGAGGCGAAGGGGTTCAATGAGCCTACATTGCACCACTGCACTCCAGCCTGAACGACGGAGGGAGACTCTGCCTTAATAATAATAATAATAATATAAGGAATGGTTTATTAGTAGTTGGAGTTGGAAGAGACTTCCTAGGAGAGTGAGCTCCCTGCCAGGGTGTAGTCTTGAGAGAGCAGTTGAAGGCCACTCATCTGTGGGCATGAGGGTGCAGTGGTTCTGAATCTGGCTTCAGATTCACACAGGCCTGGTTTTCAGCTCTGTCTGAGCCAGTTACTGTTTGGCCTCAGGCCTCAGTTTCACCACATTTAAAATGGGGGTGATAGCAGTTCCTATCTCCTAGGGTGATGGTGAGGATGAAATAAGACACCATAGTAAAATGCTTAGCACAGGTCTGGCCTGGAGTAAGTGTCTGACAGATGGATGCCATTATTAGGCGCCTGTTGTAGAGAGGGCCACGCGCCAGGCAGATAGTTGGGCTGCACAGATACTTTTGGAGGGAGGTTTTTCAAATTGTGGATCAGGGCCACTAATTGGACCCTAATTCAGCCATGAAATCAGTTTGGTGGGTCTCCATGAATTTTTTTTTAATGAAAAAGAAGAGACTAGAAAATATTCAAGTGTATTGCTCAGTATCAGTAAGCATTGTTGTGTAGAACATGTTTCGTGTGTGTGTGTGTGTGTGTGTGTGTGTGTGTATGTGTGCCTAGTGTCAAATAAAGTATATTTTTCTGTGAGCCATGGTCCAAAACTTTGGTGCCACTGCATTAGAGATTCTGTCCCTCCTGTGCCATGTTTATAGAGCACCTACTGAATATAAGGCGCAGCAGCAGTGCTATGGCCAGGGTGCCTGTCCTCAGCAAACCTCATGGTCTGACTGGAGAATCAGGGCCCAGTTCTTAGCAAGGTGGTTACCAAGACTGTGGGTCAGCAGAGGAGGGAGCAGAGTGGTCAGAGAGGGATTCCTGGGTGATGACCCTGTGTCAGGTGGGGACGATGAGAGGGGGTGATGCCTGGGGTGAATGGTTGGCCTGGGTCCTGGGGGCTGGGGCTGGGGGCTGGAGAGCTACCTGGAAAGGTGGGAGGCTGCCGTCAGTGGAAGGCTGCAGGGTCAGGCCTGGCAGGAGCTGCCCATGCTTGCTGGAGCAGGGGGTTGGGTGGAGGTTGGGGTCTCAGGATTATTCAAGAACATTACATTTATTGTGTACTTTATTTCTATGATTATTACATTGTAATATATGATGGAATAATTATATATGGGTGAGGGCTGTGCCAGTCTCCCTGGCTGGGGTGGGGTGGGGTAGAGAAGGACTCGGCCTTACTGATGCCCCCTCCCCCAGCTTGCAGGATCTGTAGTCACTATGGGTGAGACCCACGTGGGCCTGGCCTGCAACCTGGCTCTCAGCTTGAGCCCTATCCAGAAGCCAGAAGACTTCCCACTATTTAGATCCCTGCCCTGGGAAGTGCTTGGCCTAGTCAGGACCTCAGTTTCTCCATCTGTAAAGGAGGCACACTGTCTCCTGAGCGGCCAGCCTCCTGGGTGGTGATGCCCATCTTGTGACCTATTGTGGATGAACCGGCTGCAGGAAGTATGAAGAGCTCTGGGTGGGTTATGATTGTCGTCTTTAAGGCTGGGAGGACTGGGGAAGGTCATGAGGACATCAGCTGCCTGTCTGGAGAGCCCCTGGCCTCCCTACCCTGTGACCTAGGGCAGTGGGAGGAGAAGCCTGTGACCCATGGCAGGCTGGGGATATCCCCAGCTTTGAGTGCAGGCAGCCCAGTAGGGGCCTCAGATGATGAGACCCAGATCTGGCCTAAATCTGGGAACCCCCAACCTCTAAAGCTCCACTCTTCATTGAGTACCCCAGGAGTCCCAGCTTAAGGGGCTGTGGTGGCAGGTGGAGAGGCAGTAACCTAGGACTGATTGGCAGGGGCCAGTTTTCAGGAGGCTGTGGGTGGCTTCCAACCCACTGAGCACAGAGCCCAGAGGCTCAGGCATGAGCTCCCACAGTAGAATGTGGTGTTTAATGACAGGTCACATATATTGGCACTCCTGTGTGCCAGCGCTGTGCTAAGCACTTTTATATATTTGCAAACTTTATACAACAACCGAATGCAGGTCTTTTTATTATCCCATTTTACAGGGATAATAAAATGGGCCTCAGGAAGCTGAGGCCCAGAGAGGTTAAATCTCTCACCCAAGGTTACCTAGCTAGTAAATGGGAGAGCTGGCCTGAGGGCCTGAGTTCTGGATTCGGGATACTAGAGTTCAAATCTGGGTAGTGCCACTTTCTAGCTGTGGGTCCTCAAACAGTGACTGAATCTCTCTGACCATTGGTTTCTTCCTCTGTGCCTTCCTCAAAGGGTTGTTGTGAGAGCTATGTGAGATAAAGACTGAGAAGTACATAGTACACAATAAGGGCCGAATAAATGGGACCTGCCACATGACCTGCATGCCAGTAACTGCCGTGTGACCCTGGGCCGGGTGTCTGGCCTCCTAGGTCTCAGTCTCCTCAGTTGTGTGACACAGGGCACTGACCCCTTCCTTGCTCCTCTCAATAGGGTTGTTGAAGATGTTGGATGGGTCCTGAAGGAGACCTTCAGTGAAATAGAAGTGGTAGACCAGCGGTCCCCAACCTTTTTGGCACCAGGGACTGGTTTCGTGGAAGACAGTTTTTCCATGGATGGATGGCAGGGGAGGGTTTCAGGATCATTCAAGAGCATTACATTTATTGTGCACTTTATTTCTATTATTATTACATTGTAATATATGATGAAATAATTATACAACTCACCATAATGTACAATTGGTGGGAGCCCTGAGCTTGTTTTCCTGCCACTAGACGGTCCCATCTGGGGGTGATGGGAGACAGTGACAGGTCATCAGGCATTAGATTCTCCTAAGGAGCATGCAACCTAGATCCCTCACATGCACAATGCACAATAGGGTTTGCACTCCTATAAGAATCCAGTGCCACTGCTGATCTGACAGGAGGTGGAGCTCAGGTGGTAATGTGAGCAATGGGGAGTGGCTGCAAATATAGATGAAGCTTCGCTCACCTGCCTGCCTGCCCACCACTCACCTCCTGCTGTGTGGTCTGGTTCCTAACCGGCCATGGATTAGTATGGGTCTGTGGCCTGGGGACTGGGGACCCCTGTGCTAGACTACTTGAATCTCCAGAGCTGTCAGGAATTCTTTAGGGTTTGCAGCCAACCGCAGGTCCCAACGGATTGTGTTTGGGCCTGCTTCAGGCTTTCATGTTTCCTGTTGGCCCCTGCAGGCATTTGAGTTGGTGGCTCCAAATCTATTCCAGGGTTTCCCAAGATGTTTTCTGTGGAAAGGTTTAGAGGTCAAGCAGGCACAGGAGACTGTAAGTCAAAGAAAAAAAAAAAAAGAAAAATAGGGGTTGGGGGAATGGGGAGATGATAGTCAAAGGGTACAAAACCTCAAACAGGGGGCATAAGTTTTTTCCTTGAGATGTATTGTACGGCATGGTGAATATAGTAAATAGTAATTATTGTATATTTCAAAATCATTTAAGAGTTAATTTTAAATGTTCTAGGCTGGGTGTGGTGGCTCATGCTTGTAATACCAACACTTTGGGAGACTGAGGCGGGAGACTTCAGCCTAGGAGTTCAAGACCAGCCTGGGCAACATGGTGAAACCTGTTACTACAAACAAAAAAATACAAAAATTATCCGGGTGTGATGATGCATGCCTGTAGTCCCAGCTATGGGAGAGGCTGAGGTGGGACGATCAATTGAGCCTGGGAGGTTGAGGCTGCAGTGCGCTGTGATCATTCCACTGCACTCTAGCCTGGGTGACAGAGCGAGACCCTGTCTCCAAAAACAAACAAACAAACAAAATAAAACAACAAAAAAAAACACCCCCAAAATTCAAATGTTCTTACCACCCAAAATGACAAGTATTTGAGGTGATGTATATGTTAATTAACTTGATTTAATTATTCCACATGGTGCTCATAAATCATAGCATCACCTTGTACTCCATAAATATATACAACTACACAAAACCCCAAATGGTTTTCTTTGCTGTAGGGCTTGTCAGAGCCTGTGATATGCTAATTTTTGTTGTACATCTCCAATATGTGGTCATGATATATACTCTAGGGTATCTCAAAGGCCTGGTGTTTAAAGCCCCATTTTCCAGATAGAGAAACTAAGACCTGGAATGAAACTTAGGAAGGGATTTTCCCAGGTTATGCAGTTACCTGTTACAGAGCTAGGGCCAGACTCCTTGCTCCTGACTCCATGGCCAGTGCTCTGCCCAGGATACCTCTTCCTCTTCCTTCTTCCTTTGTCCTCAGAGAAGTGTTGTGTGTGCTGCTGTTTCCTCCTGAGAGCTCCTTACCTTTTTCTGGCCCCCTCCTGCTTGCTCCCAGCATTAGAGGGTGTCTGTTTCCTTCTGGGCATTGCTATGAGATGGAGCTATGCCTAGTTTATGGCTGCTGGGAGATCCTTCTCAGACTAATAGATGGCAATAAGGCTTCATCCCAGCTGCAGGGCCCCTAGCAAGTTAATTCCATTTCCTGAGCCTCATTCTCCTCAGTTGTGTAATGAAACTCATCATCTTGTCTGTCTTCTGGAGTTTTTGAGAAGTTCAGCTCTGATATCATACATGAACGTGCTCTACTAATTTTCAATCCATATGCAGATATCCATGAGTCTGACAGTTCTTATAATTTCTGGGGGCAGTGAGGACATGGGAAAAGGAGGCCCTGGCTGTGGGAGCTAGCATGGTTGGGGCCCTAAAGTTCTGATCCCCTCCCCCGGCCACAGTTGATGTCTGCTTTTCAGTGTACTGCTGCCTCTCTCTGCTCTCAGTTCCCCTGAACATGTCTGAAGTGGGCCGGTCTAGCTGACTCGAGGGACCCATGTCACAGGTGAGACATGAAATGAAGCACGATTTTCGAGCTGGGGGGCCCTATTTTCCTAGTTTCCTGCTGGGAGTTGGTGTTAGAGTGGGGAAACAACTCAAGTGACTTGGTGCCTCAGTACAGCTCTGCCTGGAGCAGGGAGTTCCCACCAGCTTCTGCCCAGTCCTTTGATGCCCCCACCCTTCATGGAGGGTGGCCGGTCACCTGGCTTGTGATGTAGGGTGCACGCGGGCATGCCGATGCCTCCATCAACACAGCAGTTAGGTTCGAAATGCTCCAGGTCCTCTGCTAGCTGTGGGGGACTCTGAGTGATGGGCCAGGGGGTAGGCCAGGCTGGGTTGTGAGGTGGGAGGAGGTGGTGGCTCCCTGTCAGAGAGTGTCCTCTCCTGGAGGGCTGTTTGCCCAAGTTATTCTTAGCACAGACTCATTATAGAGTCTATTTTTAGCCCTGTTTCTAAGTGTTGCCAACATCTGGTGCAGCCAGCACTAAAGGGGGTGGGGGTGGCAGGGGCTACTCCTTTGGACATTTCTGGGGACTGGAGCCTCTGGCAGGAGAGCAAGGACAGAATCTTCTACTTCCTGCACCTGCCACAGCTTGAAGCTTGGCATGCAGTAGGTGTCCTATTCATGCTTGTGCGTTGATTGCTCTCCCAGGATCTCATCCTTCCAGCTCTAGCTCCTGTGAGTGGGTGGGTGGTGGGGATGGTGTTACCACAGCTGGAGAGGATGAGCTGAAGGTGCTCATCAGATAGGTTTCCCACATCCACCCCTCAGGGGTCCAGTTGGCCTCAGACCCCTGCAGAGAGGCCTCAGAGGAGGGAGGCAAGCCCCAAACTATGGTGCTTGTGACAGCTACCGCTGAAGGAGGAGCCAGCAGACATTATAGGGAGGGGGTGTACCACTGGGGTGAGACTGCCTGGGGTTGAATCCTAGCTCGGCTCTTTCCTAGCTGTGTAAACTTGGGCAACTCATCAACCTCTGTATGCCTCAGTTTCCTCCTCTGTGAGATGGAGATGGGAGTGTAGTGTTGTGAGGATTAAGTAAGATAATACTGTATGAACTGCCTAAATAGAAAGTGCTGTATAATAGAGAGGTGGTGGTATTAGTAGCAGTGGTAGTGCTATATTACTGAGAAGCTCCGTATGTGACATCCTGTTGGGGTGAGTTGGGTAGGAGACCTCTCAGCTTTTCTTTGAGTGAGATGAGGCTTGCAGTGGGGCTCAGAGGAAGTTGTTATAGCCAGGCACCACGACAGTGGTGATGTCTGCAAGGCTGCAGTGGGGGTCAAGAGCTATGTGCTGGGTTGGAATCTGGGCTTTGCCACTCACAGGTTGGGTGACCTTGGATGAGTCACTTAATCTTCCTGAACGCCCACTTCTTTATATACAAGAAAGAAATGATAATACCTGGGTCATAGGCGTGATGTACGTGGAGCTTTTTGCCCTGTACTGGGAGCATGGGAGGACCTGAATCCGTGAGACTTTTTTTTTTTTTTTCTTAATTGAGACAGATTCTCGCTCTGTCGCCCAGGCTGGAGTGCAGTAGCGTGATCTCGGCTCACTGCAAGCTCCGCCTCCTGGGTTCAAGCGATTCTCCTGCCTCAGTCTCCCGAGTAGCTGGGATTACAGGCATCCGCCACCACACCCGGCTAATTTTTGTAATTTTAGTAGAGATGGGGTTTCACCATGTTGGTCAAGCTGGTCTCGAACTCCCGACCTCAGGTGATCCACCCGCCTCAGCCTCCCAAAGTGCTAGGATGACAGGTGTCAGCCACTGCGCCCGGCTCATGAGACTTTTTTGGGAGTGGGGGTGTTGCTGTGTCCCTTTCCCATGTGGAGGATGGGGTCCTGTTGTCTTGAGAGTCTTGGGAAACAGCTTGGCCTGGAAGTTGGGAGGGCCAGGGCTGTGGTCCTAGCTCTCCCTAAGCTGTGTGGTCCGCACATACTCCCTGCTTCCTCCAGACTTCCGCAACATGGAGAGGCCAGAGAAAACTGTGGTTTTCAGATTCTTCGTCACAGTCCCAGAAGGTGCCTTGGGTACTATCTGGGAGCGTGGGGGAGGCCCTGGTTGGAGGCCAGGTGGGGTGGTCCTCCCACTCCCCATGCTGCTCTCCTGCTCCTCACACTGACTCCTGGTGCTCCATGGAGCGGCTTCATCCTCATGTTTTACATATCAAGGGTCCAGGCCGACTTTGTCTGAAAATGGGAGTGCTGCTGCTAACATCAACCTGGGACTTTCTGGTAGGTGACTCCCAGGCTCCTTGTCGTCTGACATTTTGTGCCCTCTGACTTGGCATGGACTCCCGGAGGAGTGCCAACCTGTATATCAGGGTCTGGAGTGCTGTGGTCACTGGATTCCCTGAGGGCTGGAGTCCCTTGGGGTGTGGAGGGCAGAGGAGGCTGCCTCCAGGGCCTCTCTGGGGCCGGGCCGCCACTCAAGGGTAGAGCTTCCAGCGCTGCCCCAGTCTCCCCGCACCCTCGGGATGGGGGTCCCCTGAAGACAATAGTCCGTCTCAGAAGCAGTGTCTCACAGGAGGGAGGGGTGATATGGGCAGAAAGGCCCTGCCAGAGTGCTGGCATGTAGTAAGTGCTCAAGAAATATTTGAAATGAATGAATGGAATGATACCATCAAGGCCGCACCTCTGATCTGGTGATGAATTTTCCCTCGCCTCCCTTTTCTTCCTTCTCGCCCCTGCTCCCTCTTCCCCATCCTCTGCTTTGTCTGACTAGCCATAAGCTACCCCAGCCTGGGTTCCAGATTCAGCCTTATTCATAATCTAGAACAAAGACACTTCCCCAATGTGAGTTACAGTTTGTTCATCTGGAAAACAAACACGATGGGCTCAGGTTCCGAAGGCCCTTTGGTTCTCACCGTCTCTTTTCTCAGGGCATGGGAGTGATTTCTCAGAGTAGGGGTGGTAGAAGCACATGCATACACACACGCACACACACAGACACGCACGCACATGCACGCACATGCATGCACATGCACACACACGCACACATGCACACGCATGCACATGCACACACACGCACACATGCACACGCACACACACACACACGTGCACACACACACGCACACACAGGACTCAGTGCAGTGGTCTTGGCTGGGAAAGGTCCTTGCCCTCTGACCAGGAAGGAGCCCTCGGAGCTGAGGTGCTCCCAGACTCAGCACTGTTTGGGGCCTACAGGATGTGGTGTGGCCCACTCTAGCTCAGGCTGGGGGGTTCCTGTGGGTGTCAGGGGATGGGTGGCCATCCAACTGTGTCCACTGGGCTGGGCTGCCACAGTGACTTTGTGTATGACCTTCAGGGAGTGTGGGTGGCATGCATCAGGACGCCTATCTGTGTCGTTATGACTGGGCGTGAGGGAGGGTGCCACATGTCTAGCCAGCCAGGGAGCAGGGCCAGTTAGCTCCTGTTCCTGGGTGCCTCCTGGCTCTGGGGAGAATAGAAAATGATTCATGCAAAGGGGCCCTCCCTGTTTTGGCCACAGCCTGAGGAGTAAGGTGGCCTGGCTGTCTGCCTTTCCCTGCTGCCCACCAGGTGCCTGAGTTCTCCCCTCCTTCCTCGCCTCAGACCGCGTTTCTCCCTGGGGGTAGGTGGCTGCCCTTCCCTGCAGCCTGACACCCTCTCAGAGACAATTAGAGGAGTAGGCTGCCCATGCCTACAGCTATAAGAGTGAGTCAGCGTAGGGACCGGAGGGGATCAAGTCTCTCTGAATCCTGCGGCCAGACGGTCCCTGCACCAGAAGAAGTGGCCCAGTGAGGCCTGGGCTGGGATGCTGTGGTCAGCACTGATACCAGCTGAGTGGCTTTCCAGCTTGAGAAGACCTGCCAGGGACAGGAGAGGACAAGCTCCACCTGCCCACCACCCGCCTCGCCATCCTGGCTGCAGCCAGCTGGTGACTCATTCTCCTGGGGAGTGAGCCAGCTCCTCTCCTGGGGTACCCCAGCACCCTGGTGCAGGCTGGGTGGCCAGGAGTCCTGGGTGCCTCAGAAAACCTGTGCTGAGCCCAGGGCCCTGGTAAGCTGGGGAGGGAGGACTGAGGCCCTCTGTATGGGGTGGGGGTCGCAGCCAGACTTCTCTTGCTCCTTCTCCTGGCCCCCGCAGACTTCACCCTCCCTCTGGCCAAAGAGGAGGCTGCAACCCCAGATTACGTAATAGGTCCAAAATGCCTCGCAAGCGAGCAGCCCAGCCAGTGGCTAGACTCAGGAGTCCCCATTTCCCAGTACCTGCCACCAGAGCAAGTTCCCATTCCCTTCCTAGGCCGGGTGGGGGAGTGGGTGGTGCTTGCTCACCCCTGGAAAGAGCTGTGCTGCCTGGGAGGGGGTGGGGAGGCTTTCTCCAGAGACATGAATTCTTGGCCTGACCCCAGATGCCAGCCTGCCTGCCCAGCTCCACTCCAGAGTAACGCTGGGTGCACACACAGCCCCATTGTGTGCCTGGGCCCCGTGCCTGCCCAGGGCCTGGCACCGGCTCTATCAACAGCAGTGGCTCCGTCAGCTCCTCAGCAGCCCCTGCCAGTGCTTGAGCCCTTGGGCCCCTGGTGAGGAGGAAGAGGGAGGACTAGTGATTAAGGGTATGAGTCCTGGGTGGGGTACCAGGACCTTTTGGATACTATCAACTATGAGAGACAAGAGCAGGGAGACTTAGTCCTGTTCTCCGAGGAGGAAACTGAGGCCCTGAGAGGCTTCAGTAACTTGCCCAAGGCCTCATGGCTAGTGAGAAGCAGAGCCGGGGTTGGAGCCCAGAGCTGTGGCTGAGCCCCTTACTGGTCTCGTCACCCAATCCCAGACCAGGACTCAGGAAAAGGCACGGTGCCCTCTTTCCACAGCCCCACTTTGGGGAGCCTCTTTCTCGAAAATATATGTCCCCAGGGTAGAAGAGGACCCTGAGACGGTAGGATCTGGAGTCCTGTAGGACCCTGGAATGGTAGGATTTGGAGTCCTGTGTGCTTGTGAGAAACATGGGGGTTCATTTTCAAGGATGGTGCTGGTGGCCAGACAGGCAGAGCAGGTTTCCAGAGCTGGAGGACAGGCTCTGTGCCTCAGTTTCCCTGCTCTACCTGCACTGTACATCCACTGTGCCTTCTAGGAGGGGATAGAAATATTGAGGTGAGGTATGGCCGGGGCTGGGGACTGGACCCCCACTGCTGAGCTCTATAGGCTGTGCGAAGCCCCCTTCACCAACCCAGAACCCCACTCAATGCCTCATGATGGTTCTATTCTAAGTTGGGTCTGAGCCATCCACCTCCTCAGCTTTCCCAGCCTGAAGAGGCCTCTGAGCTGGGTGAGCCTGCCAAGGGGGCAGCCCAGCTCGGTGCCATGAGGGCCCTGCCTCTGCCGCAGGCCCATGTTCCCCCACCCCCCTGCCAAGGTGAGGGTGCCCAGACATGACCCTTTTGGGGCCTGCCCTGTGTTTTACTTTCCAGGCTAGGCTTATTCACTCAGAGAGGCTTGACCCCCTGGGGCTTGGGGGAGCTGAAGGGCTCCTCCCTTCTCCAACAGCCCACCCTTTTGTTCCCCTGTCTGTCTTGGGCATGAAGCCTGGCTCCCTCCTTCTACACCACCTCAGCGCTCTTAGCAAAGGGACAGGGAATTCTGCAGTGACTGCAGGATTGTGAAATGCCAGGGCTGGACCTTGGGGACAGGCAGGGAAGAGAGATGCTGGAAGGGGACACCGAGACTGTGTCCTTTCATACCCCACCTGGGAGGCCAGTCTCCTCCATTCTGCTGGCGCTCATTTTCCTGCATGTATACCATTCCCACCCACCAGTCAGCACACCTTCACCTAAGGCCACAGCGGTGGGGACGTTGAGCCCAGAGGGCCATGTCCGAGTGTCCTCTACCTGGAGCCTGTGTGGGAGAGGAGGAAACCAAGGGACAGCCCTCAAGGAGTTCACACTGCAGCTGAGAAAACCAGAGAGGTGACTTCTTTGTACCTGTTTCTCATTTGTAAAATGAGTACAGTAGTATTTCCTACTTCCTAGTGTTATTGGGAAGGCCAAATGAATTAATACATGATAAAGCCAAGGGCCTGGCACTGGCTCTATCACGGCTTTAGAAGCCATCCTTGATAGATGGTTTTACAACTCAATACAAGTTTTAGTATTATCCATAGTGGTAGAAGAAATACAATATATGCTATCAGGTGATGATGTTTTTTCCAAGCTGGATTGTAAAAACCATAGGGCAAGGGCTGTCTTATTCATCCTTGTATTCCTGTTTCAGACACAGAACCAGGCTTGGAACAGAGTAAGTAATTGTGCCCAAATGGTGATTAGAGGTGGGTGAAGTCAGGGTGTGCTGTCGGGAGGAGGAGGAGACCCTGGAGCAGGGCTTCCAGAGAGGAGGAGAAGTTGGATAATCTGTGGGAGAGGAACTGGGGGAGGGTCTGGGGGCCCAGATTGGGTTGGCGTGAGAGAGCAAGGAGGTCCCCTTGGCTGCACCCAGTGTTTGTTTAGGGAGAGGGATCCTGCATGCTTTGGAGGCCCAACTAGAGCGCTTGGACTTTATCTGGTAGGTAGTGGAGAGCAATTGGGGGTGATGGAGCAGGAAAAAAATGGTCTTTCTATGTTGCTCCATCTGTTTCATTTTGTTTTTGCTCCCTTGTTCTCTGAGGAATATTTTCTTTCTTCATTTCTCCAAAGACAATAAATCCTCTCTGCTCTTCAGCCTCTTCTTTCTGATCCGTAGTTACCCCTGTCCCAAATCCCTGCATTCTGTTCTTGGCTTCTTCTCCTTGGCCATCCTGGCCTGTTGTCCCTGCTGTGCTTTTACCTGGCTTCCCCTTCCTTTATCTGGTCCCTGACCCACCTTCTCTGGAATAGGAGTTGGGTGGAGTTGGACTTGCTGAGAGATGGGTACTGGCATGGCATGACCACATGGTGGGAGCTGGTATGAAGGCAACTGAGCCAGGAGGATATCCTCTATTCTGATGTAACTCTATACATCCTTCAGGGAATGACTCTGCCCCAGTTATGTGGCTAAGGCCCATTAGAAGGATCTTACTTTATATTTGTCAACCTGTTTAATGAAAATGTAGATTTCCAAAATAGATAAATTAGGGAGTGATGGAATCTTATTTTCTCGTTTATAAATTTAGTGGAAAGATCAGCACTTTGGGAGGCTGAGGCAGGAGAATCGCTTGAGGCCAGGAGTTCAAGACTAGCCTGGGCAACATAATGAGACCCCCATCTCTACAAAAAATAAACAAATTAGTGGGGGCATAGTGGCACACACTTGTGGTCTCAACTACTTGGGAGGCTGAGGTGGGAGGATCGTTTGAGCCTGGAAGGGTGAAGCTGCAGTGAGATGTGGTTGCGCCACTGCACTCCAGCCTGGATGACAGAGTGAGACCCTGTCTCAAAAATAAAAATAAAAAATAAATTTAATGGAAAGGGATATTGAACCAGATGGGAACGATGCAGACAACTAGTGCCTTTTTCATCTCCTTTTAAACATCCATCCATCTATCCATGCATACATCTATCCATTATATCCACCTTTTCATCCATTATATCCATCCATCCATCCATCCACCCACCATTATATCCACCTTTTCATCTGTCCACCCGTCCATTTAGGCATGCATCCATTATATCCATCCATCCATCCATCCATCCATCCATCCATCCATCCACCAACCATTATATCTACTTTTTCATGCATCCACCCATCCATTTATGCATGCATCCATTATGTCCATCCATCCATTATATACATGCATCCATCTAATATTTATTGAGCACCTATCCTGTGCCAGGTACTGCATTAGATACTTTATGTTTAATCCTTACAGAAATTCTCCAGGGTGGATATTGTCCTAATTTTACACATGAGGATACTGCGACCCTGGGAATTTAAGTAAGTTGATGAAGGTCACACAGCTAGAAAGTGACAGATCTGGGATTCAGCTTGACTAGGTTCAAAACACACACTCTTAGTGTTTAATCAAATGGCCTCTGTTGGTGTCACCAGTGCCTAGTTCTAAGTGCGGAACATAATAGCTGTGTTATTGAATGAACAGGCATGCCAAGGTTCTGGAATGCTGGAGCTCTATAGCTCTATCCTAGGAGCAGCCTGGGGGCAGAAGGCAATGCTGGGCTTCTAGTCCTACTGGCATTTGCTACCAGCAACCTAATGTTGCCATCACTACCCCCGGTATGGAGGTTTCTTCTCCATGCAACTTGCAACTCTGGCAAGTCCTGTTTTCTTCTCTCTACCATCCCAGCTCTCCTTCTGAGGGCAGTCTTAACCTTCCGCCAAGTGGGGAAGTTCCAAGTACACATTTGGCCATTGCATCCAGCTTGACCAGTCTCCCCAGTGACTGGTCTTCCCCTAGCTCACACCTGCCTCTCTCCTTCCCTGTAGGGTGGGCTAGCTTGCATTACTCTGACCCTTTTATTGGCCCCTATTTCTAAGCTTTAGAGTTAGCTATTCAGTATCAGGTCATAACTGCCTCCTCAGGGCCCATTGGGTGAGGCAAGGATATGAGTGCAAACAGTTTATTTGGGAGGCTCCCCCAGGGAGCACCAGTGGTAGAGTAGGATTCATGAGACAGGAAGGCAAGGAAGCTGATAAAATGTGTGTGAAGGAGCAAGGTGACTGTGGGCATCTGAGGCTCACTGCCATTGGAGGCCTCTGCAGAATATGCTTTAGAGTTCCCCAGTCAAGTGATAGGTGTCTTTGGCTAAGAGGTGGTGGGGAAGGGAGGGAGCTAACTTCATTGGTTCAGGCACCAATTCAGGTGCTGGCACCTGGAAATCTTCAGGTGGGCACTTTTGACATCGTGAGGGCCCAGAGCATGTGGCTGGGGCCCTGATAGCTTTTGCCACCTCATCAAGCCCAGCCCTGGGGGTCTGCCAAGCCCTCTTCCCACATCTCCCTTTCTATGTCCAAGAGGCTTCCCCAGGCAGACCCTTCCCCAGTCGCCAGTTCCACGCTCACTGTGTTTCACAGATACTTAGGGAGCATCTACAAGGTGCCATGGACAAAAAGAGGAAGCTGTCAGGATGCCTCCAGGCACTCACAGCAGAGGAAGGTGACCTGTGCGGCTGAGGCGCCTGCCATGTGGCAGACACTGGCTCGCCCATCCCAGGCCTTGTGCAAGGCCAGCAATGCCCCTGTGGCATGGCATCCTCTCCTAGAGGGAGGTACAGACGTGCTGAGCGCCACAGAGCCTAGAGCCGTCTTCCACTTCCCTCCCAACTCTAGCATCCTGAGGCTGTGATTGTAGTGGTTTTTCTGACTTCCTTTTCCTTTCTGTCACTGCGCCTGCCTCTTCCCCTAGCCCCATGGCCGCCACGTGGCTGCCTTTTAGTCAGCCGGGAACTGAGCCTCCTAGTAGCCTCCCTCTGTGTCTCTGTCAGGAACAGGATACAATTCAGGGACATTTTGGTGGGGGAGTAATTTCGTGCGGTGGCATACCTGTTTGCCCTGGCACAGGCTCTGTCATGTCTGCTTCTTGGAGAGGAGCCTTCTTCCCCTGGGCTCCACCTGTTCCCATCCCCAGCCCTCCCAGCTTCAGGCTACAGGTCTCGCACCCTATAGGGCTGAGGGAATGGGAAGAATTAAAAGAGGGAAGTGGCGTGTAGGTAAGGCCTTCTGGGGTGGGGGCTAGGGGAAGGGCAGGAGATGGGGATGGGGCAGGGGCTGGGCCTGGCGGTGTGCTTCCCCTGGAGACGTGGTCCTGGGCCACAGGCAGGCACGCCAAGTCACAGCCCCTCTGACTTCTTCCTCCAGCCACCAGCCCCAGCCTTTCCCCTTGATGTTTCATTTCCAAACCAGGTCTGCTCTGGGTGCGTGTGCTGGGGTGGCAGGGGTAGGAGTGTGTCTGCCTGTGCCATTCCCTACCCTGTGGGCAGGCCCAGCCATGGCAGCCCGAGTCTATCATCTCCCCACTCCGCCACTTGGATAGGAAGGTGGCTGCACTCACTCCAGGCAGGTGTGTTGTTGGGAGGAGAACAGAGAGGATTGGTTCAGGCATTGGAAGATGGGGTTTATGTCTCAGGTTTGAGCTCAAGCATCTTGGGTCCAGGGAGAAGGTGTAAGGCAGCTGCTGCCTGAGTCTCAACTCTATGGGGGAAAGCAGAGCAGCTCTGAGCCTTGGGGCTGGGCAGGCAGGAGGGCATGGAGCCCAGATGAGTGGAAGAGAATGATGATGAAAGAGCAGACTTCCCGATGCTCCTCCCCCGACCCCATCACATGCAGAGTTCAACACACCCCACTCCTCGCTCTGTCCTGGTAAAGGCAGAGTGCTTCTTATGGTGTTTAAGGACAGGAAAAGGGCTGGAAGTGTGTGTGTGTGAATTTTGCTTCCTGTTCCTTTCATACCTGGGTGTGGGCGGGGGGAGATGGGGGCAGGTTGGGGGACAGCTCACTCACTCCATCCGGTGGGTGGGTGACTTGGTGGGCTGTTGGAATGTTGCCATAGGAGGCCATTTCTCCTCTATGGGGGGAGATGGTGGCTTCCAGGTCAGGTCTCCTCCTCTGGCTCCCTGACAGAGATGGGGTGGGAATGCCAGCCGGAGCGCACATGGACAGGGCAGGAGCAAAGCTGAATTCTGGGTCTAGGGCAGCTGACAGCATTTGGGAATCCTGGGGTGGGCCCCTGTTAGCTCTTCCCAGAACCCCAACTCTTGGGCAGGATGGGGGTGGGGGGGTGTAAGGGTGGTTGGGGGTGGGTGTAGGTGTGTGTTGTGAGGGGAGAAGAGCCCCCGCTGAGTTCCTGGGCCACTGCCTGTGCTGTCTAGTGGCCTCTGCCAGCACTGGCTGCCCCGTCCTGCCCCCACCAGGCGTGACTCAGATCGAAAGCAGAAGCTGCCAGACACTGCACAGGGTGAAGTGAGGCAGAACCAACTCTGCTATTTTGGAACCTGGTTAATTCCCCCTTCTGCCCCCCACCTCCCTGCTCTCAGGGCTCCCATCCCCTCCAGCTGTCTGGCACTTCAGCTTCCTCAAGGGGACAGTTGGGGCAGGCCTTGGTTTCCCCTGGCATGGACGTGGAAGGCCATGCTGAGGCCCCTGTCCTTGCTAGGCCCCTCTCCCTGGCCAGAGGTGCTGGATTCTGGGGACCTGCGCTCTGGGGTTGGGGAGGAAGAGCGCCCTCTCCTGGTGGGAACTCGTGGGCAGGGCGGCCCTGGCGAGATGACGGTCACCAGGCCTGGCACCCACTCTCCCCCGCCCATCTTTGGCCGCTCTCAGGCCAGCTGTCAGCTGCCTCTCCCAGGGGTGTGAGCTGACGAGAGCTTCAGGTGGGAGCCTCTCCCGGCAGTGAATCTGAGGGTTGGGAGGGATTTCCGGACCCAGAGGGAAGATATTTTGGGGCCGAGGGCCTTTCCAGAACCCATGAAATCACACACCCTGCTGCGACCAGACTGACCCTCCCTAGTTGATGGTTCTTTTTTGGACATCCTAGGCCTGCTTGGGATTCTGGCCCCATGATTTAGGGTTTCTTTGGAGCCCATCTGAGCCTGGGGGGCCCTGTGGTGGTGGAAGAGGTCCAGCCTGCGGTGGTGAAAGAGGTCAGTGGATGTGTGTTTCTGAGCTGAAAATGGGTGTGGAGTTGAGAGCTGTCACCTCTTCATGGACAGGGTGGATGAGGGTCCCTGGCCCTTCAGAAGCTGTGTCGTTGGGAAGAGGGTGGACTTTACAGCTGTCCCGTGTGAGTGTACATGGGAGTGGGCACAGGCCTTGCGGTATGGCTGCCTCTCAGGGAACCCTGAAGTCAGAGCTCCACTCTGCTGATTACCCCCCAGCAACCTGGTGAGGAGGATGGTGGTATACTGGGGGAGAGGGGAGTCAGCAGGCAGGTGACCAATTAAAATTTGGGTCCTTGCCAACCTCAGGTGGGCAGGACGTAGGTTTCTCATTGTTCAGATGGAGCTGGGGTTTAGGCAGGTGGGAGGCAGAGGCAGAGCCGTGTGGAGGAGAGAGTGGGCTCCTAGACCTGCTGTGGGAGCCTCCACACTCCCAGGCCTCCTGCGGAGCACACAGGCCCAGGCACACACTGTCCCAAAGGTTGTCTGCTCTCTTCTGGAGCTGCTCTTTGGGCAGGCAGGCAAGTCCTGGTGCAGTGTGTGTGTACTGGTGAGTGTGTATGTGTGGACAGTGGCTTATGTGTGAGAGGTGGTGTTTGCATGAATGGGTGTGTCTCATATGGTCTGTCTGGGTTGCTTTTCCACTGGTAACCATCTCGGCTTTGAAGCTGTTTCCCCATAGACCTGGATTGTTTTCCCCTCCTGCACGGGCCAGAGCCCCAGCACCCAGTGAGCCAGAGCCCACCTGCAGCCTTGCATTCTGGCCTCCACCTTGGCTCT
The DNA here is from genome assembly GCF_000001405.40 of Homo sapiens. Classification (NCBI taxonomy): domain Eukaryota; kingdom Metazoa; phylum Chordata; class Mammalia; order Primates; family Hominidae; genus Homo; species Homo sapiens. The sequence continues at coordinate 41,704,851 of NC_000006.12, read as the reverse complement.
TGAGCCTGAGAATCAGGCTGCTTAATTTCCCTGTGGGGCTCAGAAGGGCCCTGCCTGTCCTTTAAAATAGCTCTGTGCTTCCACCAGGGGCCTGTGCTTCCCTGCTGTGTTCTCCCACCCGCCACCAATTTTCATGCTTGGAACCAGGGAACTAAGTCCCCAGAAGGCAACAAGTAAAGTGTCTTTAATGTGCCCACACATCTCCCAGGGCAGTTTGTTAAAATGCAGATTCTGACTCAGTGGGTCTGGGCAGGGCCTGAGAGCCTGTTTCTAACCAGCAAACAGGGCGTGCAATGCCTTAAGAGGCCCTCTCCCATCTAAGGCCCTCACTGTCCAGCCAGATGGCTGGTGGTCACCCAGGCAGGGAGCTAGTACTCACAGACCACCTCCAAGGTGCTAGGCACATCACATATTTCAGTTCCATTTACCCCCTCACTGACTCTGAGGAAGGTGGCATTACCGCCATCCTTTTGTACAGATGGGGAAACTGAGGCTCTGAGCGGTTAAGCACCTGCCCCCAGTCACAAAGCTGACAAATGGCAAAGCCAGATTTGAATTCTGGTCTGTCAGGGTCCAGAGCATATTCGTGATCCACTAAGCCCGGCTGTCTTCCAGAGGGCGGACTCAGGACAGATGACGTGGTGGAGGTGGAGGCGGGGTCAGAGGCTCTGTTGGGGAACTGCAAGGGTAGTCCTGGGTGGTTTTGGATGGAAAGGATATCTTGAGGGGAAGGAGGGTTGAATGGGAGTAGTTCTAGAGGAAACAAGAGCTGAGGGGAGGCTGGTGTCCTGCACCCACCTGCTTAGCCAAGAGCCCCTTCACTGATGGGCTCAAGACCCCCTACCTGCCTCCTCTGGCACTTTCCAGACAGACTCTCCACAGGGGCACCCAGCACACTGTGGGGAGACCAGGTGCCCCAGTTCTGCTACCTACCAACTGTGTGACCTCGGGCAAGTTTTCAGCCTCTCTGTGACTCAGTTGCCCCCTCTGTAAAACAGGGGATATGTGAACGCCTCCATCATGGTGGATGGAGCTGTGGTGAGGATTAAATCAGTAACACATATCAATGCAGAACAGTGCCTGGTGCAGAGTACGCACTCAGTGTGCATAGTACTAATGCCTCTTGGTTTGCACCTGAGAGAAAACAGGCCACCTTCTGTGAATTCAATGCAATCGTCCATGCTCATAGATGTTTTTGTCCTTTCTTCCTCCATTCCCCTCTCCACTGTCTTCTTTTGTTTAGGAAGACCTGGCTACTTCAGTTGTACAGTGGTTGTTTCCAAAGTACTCAGAAGCAGGTTTGACTCTTAAAAACAAAGCCAGGGAATCGTTCTTTACAGCAGACCAGCCACAGGGAGGCTGGGGAGGCTGAGGCAGCAGATGACGGAGGAGGAGCAGCCCCAGGAGCAGGGGCAGGAGCCAGGCACTGGCGGGGTTGGAGTGCTCTGAGGACTTTGGGCCTGGGGCAGGGAGGGCTGAGGCGGGGGTGGCTTAGGCACTGGGACCCTGAGAGCCATTATTAGAACTCAGGACAGATGCAGGGGGTCCTGGGCCTGCGGCTGGGTTTGGGACCAGGAGCCAGAAGCTGCTCTGCATGCCCGCTGTGTGCCCAGCTGTGGTCGTTGTGCCTGCCTCTTCTCACACTTGGAGTCAACGAGCCTTCCCTGCCCTAAGCAGCTGGCAGCTAGCAGAAGATGCTGGAGTGTGGATTCTTTTCTCCTGAGGAGATGGAAAAGCAAAGGCTGGATCCTAAGGCTGCCATGGCTCTGGAGAGGGAGCTCCCCAATGCTGGGGCAGCCAGCACATGGGACAGTGAAACCGGTGCCTGGCCCTTCCCCTCCCAGCCTGCAGGCCGATTCCACCGGACCAGCCCTCCACACATCCATGCTGCCAGAACCATCAGCACACCAGGCAGGCGGCAGGGAGCCTATGAGAGGTCCCACACAGCCTCTGCATGTTATTTGTGAGGGTCTTGAGTCCCGGAGAGGGGGACAGGACTTGCCCAAGGTCACGCAGCTGGGTGGTGCATACCGATGCAGGTCTTCCAGTCCCACTCTGGCCTTAGGTAGGCTTTTGTGCTGGGCCTGTGGAGGCTGAGAGAGTCCTTGCAAAACAGACTCATCTCAGAGAGTCAGAGCTTGTGGGCCCCAAGTCCACAATGGCATGAACTGACCAATCAGATAGAGTCTTAGGCCTCACCTTCCCTGGGGAGGGACCTCATTGACCACATAGGCTGACGTAGCATCCATGAAAACTTTAGCTGATCTTTCCTGCAGGGGACATGAGCAGGTTCGCTGGGGTGGGCCAGAGGGTACTTGGGGCAAGTGGAGTTTCAGTCTCTAAACCCCTCTATCGCCCTCAGGCCCCTTTCCTGTCCTAGGAGCCATCTATGGCTGAGTCCCACTCCTCCCCCAACCCTTACCACCCTCACCTCACTATGGTCTGGTGCCAGATCTCTGATCCCTGGAATCACATTTCTGTCTGACCAACTCATATAGCCTCCCCTTCCGCCCCCTCCGACCCAGGCTCTCAGGCGGGCTAACCGTCTCAGCGAGATTCAGATTTGTCACCCTCTGAGCCTCCTGGGCATGGATGTCTTGGCTATTTAGCAAAAAGCATCTGTGGGTGGGGTCTGGGAGGGCTGAGGAGCATGCAGGCCTCTCTGGGGAACCTCTGTAGGATTCGCTGAGGGTGACATGGGATGAGGGGGGCGCAGGACTGGGAGTGCAGGGGACAACAAGCCATCTACATGGGGAGACCTTTCCTATGGGCCCCAGGTTACCTCTCCTGGGCTGGAGCTGCTGGTGGTCACATACCTGAGAGACCTGGGCTTGAACCCCCACTTCACTGTGCTCTTGCAGTGTGACTTCTGACAAGCTGCTTAATCTTTCTTTTTTTTTTTTTTTTGAGACGGAGCCTTGCTCTGTCGCCCAGGCTGGAGTGCAGTGGTGCGATCTCAGCTCATTACAACCTCTGCCTCCTGAGTTCAAGCCATTCTCCTGCCTCAGCCTCCCAAGTAGCTGGGACTACAGGCATGTGCCACCGCGCCTGGCTAATTTTTGTATTTTTAGTAGAGACAGGGTTTCACCATGTTGGCCAGGCTGGTCTCGAACTCCTGACCTCAAGTGATCCACCTGCCTCAGCCTCCCAAAGTGCTGGGATTACAGGCATGAGCCACTGCGCCTGGCCTACTTAACCTTTCTGAGTCTCGGTTTCCTATCCTGCTGTGTTGCTGTTTATCCCATCAAGTGTTTGTGTGGATGAATGTGATTGAACAGAGGCCCCTTGCGCAGTGCAATGTGGGAGGGACTCGGAGCGTTTGCCAAGTGGGTGATAACTGAGTGTGTGGGGGTCACTGGACCAGCAGCCCTTGAGGGCCGTGCATCTCTTTCTGGAAAGTCTGATGGGTGGGATGGTGTGGAGGTTCTGAAGAAGAAAAGTGATTTCTCTGAAACTTCCTTGTAGCTGAGGAGACTGGTAGGTGGCAAGGAAACAACTAGAGAACAAAGCATGGCAGACACAGGCAGGAGGCTGGAGTAGATGGAGTGCCCAGGAGGCGGGTGCAGGGGCACAAGGGGTGGGGGTTCAGTCCCACCACTCCCCAACCCAGGAGAAAGGTGGCTGCCTGCTAAGGGGATCCTTAGACTGCAAGCGGCAGCTGAGGGATGCGGCTACACGTGTGTGCACATGGACATGTGTGCATGTGTGCGTGCATGTGTGTGAGAGAGAAGAGAGAAAGAGAAGCAGACACGGAGAGACAGAGCGTCCACATGGGTGGCTGGGCCGGTCCGTGCATATCACAGGGGTGGAATCCTTTTCTAGTTTCTCCTTTCATGTTCCTATTAGCTACATGTCCCTCGTCCCTGTCCTGCCATGCCCAGTGGCAGTCGTCTTTGCCAGGGCCCAGCTGGTCCCAGTGGGACAGGACAGGGCGACTCCCTGGTCTGCAATGGCCTTTGAAGCTGCTCCCCCTGTTGTCCCGGGCCAACAGTCTGACCAGCCAGGAGGCGCCAGTTCCCACCCTTTCCTGTGGGATGTGAGCTGAAACTTGGGGCTGATGGGCCTGAGCTGTGGGAACAGGAGGCCATTAAGTGGGCCAGGAGCTTGTGTGACCGCCCTTCCTCTCTCCTCTCCTTCCTTTCCCTCCTCCCCACCTCCTGCTGGTGCTCAGAGATTTAAAAACAAGCCCCTGACTGCCCCCTGCCCCCAGCCCTGCAGTCTCCCGCAGCGCATTCCTGCAGGGGGTCTGGGAGAGGCGGTGCAGAACGCATCCTGGGGTCTTGCTCTGCTGCCACTGAAGCGCATTGTGCAGATCTCCCTTTTGGAGCCTCTGCTTCCTCATGTAATTCATTCTTTGTTTCTTGATCTTTTTTTTTTTTTTTTTTTGAGACGGAGTCTCGCTCTGTCGCCCAGGCTGGAGTGCAGTGGCGAGATCTCGGCTCACTGCAAGCTCCGCCTCCCGGGTTCACGCCATTCTCCTGCCTCAGCCTCTTGAGTAGCTGGGACTACAGGCGCCCGCCACCATGCCCGGCTAATTTTTTGTATTTTTAGTAGAGACGGGGTTTCACCGTGTTAGCCAGGATGGTCTCCATCTCTTGACCTTGTGATCCGCCCGCCTCAGCCTCCCAAAGTGCTGGGATTACAGGCGTGAGCCACCGCGCCCAGCCTCTTTTGTTTCTTGATCTTTATTCATCACAAATAGGGGTTGGTCAGTCCTCAGTAAGTGTCCCCACTTGGCAGAGCGGTTCCATTTCATGAAATATACTGAAGACCACATCCTGCATGACAGCCTTTGTGTGCTGTTGGAGACCATAGCACTCAGCCATGGTGATGCAGGACAGGGTCCCGGAGGGAACCTGCCAGGGTGATGGTGACATTCTCCATCTTGATCTAAACAGTGATTATACAAGGCCACACACCTGTAAAAATTCATTGAGCTGTACACTACAAATCTATGCATTTTGCTAGGATAAGTTACACTTCACTAAAAGGGAAAAAGACCAAAACATGGCATTAAAACTGTTAAAAGCATGTGCGTGTCCCATTGACCTCATTTCTGCTTCTGATATCAAGGACCTTTCAATCAAACAGTGCACACTTACCAGGTGTCCTGGGTTTGCTATGTTTCTGTATCGGAAGTTGCCAGCTAATATAATAAAAGGCTATATTATGAAGTATCTCCAGTGTGCCAGGAACTGTGGTAAACACTCCGACTACTTATCCCTTAGAACCCAAAGGAGTGGACATTGTTATTGCTCACCTGCCTCTCTCATCTCCTGCAGTGAATGACATGATATACAAGCTCTGGAAAAGAAAATCTTAAAAGACCCAAGGCTTTTGGAGAGGAAACAGAGGGCTCCTGGTAATAGGAAAAGCTGGCCTGAGGCCTTCCTGCCCCTATCTAGTAAGGAGAGACTGAAGCTGGGGTTACCACTAGGCTGCTCTGCCCCAGTCTGGGCTTTCAGATGGTGTGTATGTGTGTATGTGTGAATGAATGGGTGAATGGATGGGACACTTTCCCCAAAGGAACTTATGCAGGGATGCCCCCAGTGGGCCTGGACGGAGCAACACTGAACAGTGACCAGAATGGTGACACCTCCCCTCTGCCCACAAATTCACACCTGCAAGACAACTTACACACCCAGCCTCCTCACTTAGAGCACAACTGCTATGAGGTAGACGTGGCCCCAGCTGGCAAGCCCTGCTTGACTGATGGGGAGACTGAGGCCATACCCAGACAATTGAGTCCAGCCCAAGGCTAAGACTTGAACCCAAGCACTTGGCCTTTCCCACAGCATCATATGGGCAGGACTGCTGGCTCCTGGGAGTCGTAGGATACCTTTCCACCCCTCACTCTGTTTGGGTCTGGGCCATCTGATGCCCCCTCCCCAGGCCCTACAGTGACTCATGACCACCTCCGTAATGTGGAATGGCTTTGTCCATGAGGATTATGTGATGTCCTTGTTCTGTTTCCTAGTTCATCAGGACTTCCTCTGCTGCCTCCTCTGCCAGAGGGGGCTGAGAAAAATCCCAAGTTTGGTATTTTTTTCTCTCTTCCCTTCCCTAGGCTGAAAGGTTCCTAGGAGGCCACAAAGCCCTTCCTTTGCCTCCAGGAATCTCGAACCTGTTCAGGAAGCTTTTGTTTAGCGGTCAGTTTCTTTCCCCAGGACTGACCGGGCAGCTCCCCCACGACTGAGAGTGTAACAGACTGAATCAGAAGAAAACTTCTTCCGACCACAGAGGTGCAGAGCGTCATCAATGGCTTAAACAGGCCTCCCAGCCTCTGGGCTTGCACACTTTGTTGTTTCAGCCGCCAGACATATGTTTTTCTGGGAATACAGGAAATTATCTCTGCTCTTTGAGGAAGGGTAGAATTTTTTTTTCTGCCTGTGTTTGGGGATTCCAGACTGTTCCATCATCCCGGACACCCTCTGGCTCCTGGGCTGGATGAACGAGATCAGCCGCTGAAACTCTTTGATCGCAGGGAGGCTTCTTCAGTGAGAATTTCTAAAACAAAACGTGGCCGCCCTCACCCTGAATGCAGGACTGAGGCCAAACTCCCAGCCCCAGGGTTGGGGCGGTGCAGCCAGACTGCCAGGGTCCAGCCTTGCCACTCATTAGCTCTGTGACCTTCAGCAAGTGACCACCTCTCTGGGCCTGTGTTTCCTCATTCCTTGAATGGGGACAATAATGGTACCCACGTCACTCATATCATGAAATAATTATGATAATTACATAAGGTGCTTTGAACAGTACCTAGCACACAGTAAGCATTCTATGAGCATTAGCTGTTAGCATAAAATATTTTTTTTTCAATTAGAAAGATATACATCTTCATTCTAGAGAAAGAATAACATTCCAAAAGGCTTTTAAAACCACACAAAATACTTATGGTTACATCATCCAAAGAAGTCAGTAATAATTTTGTATATTTCCTCCCAAGAGGTTTTTCTATACATATTTTTACATTGTGATGATCAGATTTTATATACAATTTCCCCCTACATCCTACATTTTGTCACCTGACATATCCTCATGTTATTTATTGTAAGTATAGCAGTCCATCAGGAGGGACACACCGTAATTTATTTAACTATCCTATAACTGGACATTGAGGTTAGTTTTGACTTTTTTCCATATAATGTGAAGTGCATCTTTATGCACAACATCCTTTTCTGCATCTATGATTACTTCCTTGGACTGGTGAATATTTTTCAAGGCTTTGACATATATTGCCAAATTGCTTTTCCAAAGAGGTTGTACCAAGGTATGCTCTGGCAGTTGTGTTGAAGGTGCCTGGTACCAAAGGCATTTTAAAGTCATAGACACACTTGGGGAAGGGGGGGGGTTTGGAGAAGGGGTGGTGTTGGTGAAGGTAGTTTCCCTAACTCTTCTTTTAAACTATTTAACGTCTGCCCTCATTCTTTTTTTTTTTTTTTTTTTGAGATGGAGTTTCACTCTTGTTGCCCAGGCTGGAGTGCAATGGTGTGATCTCAGTTCACTGCAACCTCTGCCTCCCGGGTTCAAGCAATTCTCCTGCCTCAGCCTCCCAAGCAGCTGGGCCTACAGGCATGTGCCACCACACCTGGCTAATTTTTGTATTTTTAGTAGAGACAGGGTTTCACCGTGTTGCCCAGGCTGGTCTTGAACTCCTGACCTCAAGTGATCTGGCTGCCTCGGCCTGCCAAAGTGCTGGGATTACAGGCGTGAGCCACCATGCCAGGCTGGTCTGCCCTCATTCTTATGTGATTTTAAAATGAGAATACAACACACATACAGAAAATTATAAGTTGTAAGGGAGCAGCTGTACAAATTATTGTAAATATGACACTCTCATGGCACCAACACCCATATCAAATTACAAAACTTTCCTAATCCTCTTACCCACCAAGCCATCTTGTGTCCCCTCCCAGACACTCCCCCAAGGGTAATTAGGATCCTGAGTTCTAACATAGTAGATTAATGTTGCGTTTTTTTGAACTCATATACGCAGAGCATGCTGTATACACTTTTGTGCCTTGGTTCTTTCGTTAACATTATGTCTGCGAGAGTCATCTATGTCATGTGTAACAACAGTGCATTTGCTGTCATTGCTTTGTAGCATTTGATTGTATGGATGTACCACCACTTCAATTTATTTTATTTATTTATTTTTTTTGAGATGGAGTCTCACTCTGTCACCCAGGCTAGAGTGCAGTGGCATGATCTCGGCTCACTGCAACCTCTGCCTCCCGGGTTCAAGCGATTCTTCTGTCTCAGCCTCCCGAGTAGCTGGGACTACAGGTGCACACCACCACGCCCGGCTAATTTTTGTATTTTTTAATAGAGATGGGGTTTCACCACGTTGGCCAGGCTGGCTTCGAACTCCTGACCTCAAGTGATCTGCCCGCCTCAGCCTCCCAAAGTGCTGGGATTACAGGTGTGAACCACCATGCCTGGCCCACCACTTCTTTATCTATCTTTCTTTAGTGGACATTTGGGTGGTTTCCAGTTTTGGTTCCTATACACGCAAACATTCTAGTATATGTGCTTTGGTGAACACGTGGATGCTTTTCTGGTGGGCATGCATAGGAGGGGGTCCATGGGTCATGGAGTGTGTTTTCAGCTTCCTGCTCCAAGTTTTAAAGGATCATTTAGAGGGCAGAAAAATCCCCAAGGCAGTTCAGGCCTCACAAGCCACTGAATGGACTGGCGTCAGCTGACAATAGTTTGAGGGCACTGCATGAAGATGGTACTCCCCTCAGAAGCCCTTGTCTGGGGCTGTGGTAGAAACTGAGTGGGGCCCTGGCCCTCCAGCTCCAAATGCTTGGTGGCTGCTGGCCCTGGCTCTGTGCCTCTGCTGGCCACTCGGTGTCCTCACCCAGGGACCGCGGCTGGCCTAATGACCACTGCACCGAGCAGGGCAGGGCTTGGGCCAGCCCAGGTGGAGCTGGGGGGATTCCTTCCCCTTGGCGACCCACCTTTGGACATGACTGGAAGCCCTGGAAGCAGGTTGGGCCCCCCCATAAACCCCCAGAAGCTGCTGTGCTTCCTTTCTCCTGTTAACAGAATCACACAAGTCGCACATATTCCCACTGTAAGAGCTGAGTGCTTCTCCAGTGGAACGAAGAACTATAAAAATCCCTCTTTATCCCTCCCCCTCCATTGCCCCTTCCCACTCCCCTCCCCAGCGGTAACAACTCTGAACAGTTTGGGGTGCTGGGAGAGCCCAGAATAGTAGTTAAAGAGTGGGGGCTGTGAGCCAGCCTGCCTGGATCAAATCTCCATTCTGCTACTTAATCAGCTGTGTAACCTTGAGTGAGTTCCTTCACCTCTCTGTGCCTCTGTTTCCTCCAGGAAAAATGGGGATAATACTAGTACTCAGCTCATTGGGTTGTTGGGAAGAAAAAACAGAATTAACATTAGGAAAAGCACATTGACCAGCCCTGACCCATGGCAATCATTCACGAAGCATTTAGCGGTTGGTACTCTGATCTTCCTGTTGTCTACACATATACCATTTCATGATTCATGGGCTGGTTCATACTAAGGTGTAAATGACTGACAGGCAAGGCCCACACACAGACTGGATGAAACCAGCTCTGGCCTGACCAGAGGAGACCGGGATCCCTGGTTATGAAGCGACTGCCACACACTTACCTTGAATCCCCCCAATGGCCCCAAAAGGCAGGTGCTGTGATTAGCAGGTGCTGCGTTTTAGAGAGGAAGACAGCCTAGCACAGAGAGGTGAAGTAGCTTTCTGAAGTCGCCTAGCCAGTAGGGGCAGTGAGCCTGTGGGATTACAGAACTCATTTTGGACATGACTAAGCTGGAACCCAGTCTGGGCTTTGAGGCAGAGTCAGCTGAGAGGCTGTGGGTGGACAGCAGCAGGAGGCAGCTGGAGGGTCCTGGGGGTGTTGATGGGGGCAGCCATGTGATTGGGGAGAGGCAGGGATTCTCTGGGGGCATCAAACCCTTCCTCTCAGGAGGAGGGTGTTACCTGGGAGGGGCAGGGGAGAAGGCTCTCCAGGGAAGTGCCCCATCCCTGGTGTCTACATGCAGTAGGCACTCCAGGCCCCCAGTGTTACTGAACCTGTACACAGTGGACCCTTTCCAGGCATGGTGGGTCTGAAGGGCCAGATGGTGGGAGGGGCCAGGGACATTTTGGTTCTCCCATGTCCATCCTCTTAGTTCTTCCTGGCTAGACTGGGTGTCAGGGGAGGCTGAGAGTGGACCCTCAGGATTTTAGAGTGAGTAGGCATGCTTGGAGGCTAAGGATGGGGGGATTAGCATGTCCTGGACCACCCCCATCGCTCTCTGATCCCCTCAGGTCCCTCCCTTACCCCATACCCATCCCACCTACACCACACTCAGCAACCCAGGCTGGCGACCAGGGCCAGGGGAGAGGGCTGGAGCTTCACTGGAGGACAAGCTTTGTGGGTGTGACAGCTCCAGCGGTGGGGTTGGGGAGCCTCACTACCCTGCCAGCCTCTGTCAGGGGACAGTAGCTGAGGCTACTGACACCCACTGATGCACAGACACCTCACTGTGTCCACTTCTCCAACGTCCTCTCCCAGGAGGCTCACCCAGATTCTGGCAGGGGGCGGTGGGGCAGGGATTCCCAAGTCCATTGTGCAGATGAGAGAACTGAGGCTGGCCCAGCCAGTGAGAGGCAGGGTCCAGCCCAGGCTCTCCTCATAGCAAAGCCAGCTCCAGTCCACGCGAGGCCAGGCCAGACGCTCAGCTCTTTGTCAGAGAAACAAGGGGATCATTCTCCCCTAGCCCTCCCTGTGCCGGCTGGCACTGCCAGGCCCGGTGCCCACACCCCCACCAGGGCCAACTGAAGTCAGATTGTCCCCAAGGGTGGGGGGGTGAGCCAGTGCCGTGTGGGTGGGTGTGTAGAGGGTACAGCTGCGAGGGGGTGGGTTGGGCTGGGGTCAGAGCCTATGAGGTCTGTAGGGCTAGTGTGCGTGTGGTGGGCAGTGGGGGTACAAAGACAGGGATAACCCTCTGTAGCAGCATAGGAAGGGGGTGGGCAAAGGCATGGGTGGAGGCTGCAGCTGTGTTCCTGCTGCAGGATGGGAAGGGAGTGGTGGGCATCTGCTCCTTTCTTTCTGGGGACTGCCCCGTTGGTAGCTGGGTGGAGAGACCCAAGGAGCTGAGACAGCCCCTTTACTGATTCATGGTGTAGAGGGGCAGAGAAGGAAGGAGGGTGGGGTGAGGGCCACTGCCTGCCTTCCTACCTTGTCGGGAAGGCACAGTGGTGGTGGGAGGAGCCCTGGCTGGCAGTCAGGTGGCATGGGCTCCATTCCTGGGCCTGGCAGCCAGGCAGCCTGCAATAAGCTTCCTCCCTGCTCTGTGTGGAGACCCTCTCCTCCCCAGCATGGGCTCAGAGGCCATGCTGCCTGGGGCTGGGTTCCAGCTCTGTCCCTTTCACTGCTGAAAGACACTTAATCTCCTGTGCTTCTGTTTCTCCTTATCTATAAAAGGAGAGTAATATGCAGAACTACTTCATAGGGCTCTTCCAGGTGAAGGAGTCTGGAACATTGCCTGACATACAGTAAATGCTCAAATAAATTCAAGTTATTATTATTTCTATTATCTGGTGATTTTCACTGAATATTTGCCAGTTCTTTTTGCTAATGCTGACTAAGTCCAGTGTCTGGTATTAGCCAGAACATGTCAGCCTTTGCTGCTTCCCTTTGCTATCCCCTGAGGTCTGGGCCTCATTGTTAGGAGCTTGAGACACAGCTCTGGCTTCTGGTCCACACTGATCAGTTCGCCTGCCAGTCATGTGCCCATCCATGTCTCATGCACTCAGCCTCCCAGGTGCTACATACTGTGCAAGACCTATTAATTTCATATAGTGCTCCAATCTTCTGAAGCAGAGACCGTTTACTAATGAGAAATTGACTCTCAGAGAGGTTAAGTGACTTGCCCAAGGTCACACAGCAAAGAAGTGGCAGAACTAGGATTCAAGCCCATATTTTCTCAGTTCAAAAGTCCTTGCTCAACCACAAAGTCATACTGCCTCTTGCAATATCCCCAAGATGGGACCCTCCAGCCCCTACCAGGACCTTCATGGGGTCTGGACACACTCAGGAGCCCTGCACCTCTCAGAGTCTCAGCCTGTCTCAGCTGGGGAGGACCTTAGAAATTACTGGGTCCAACCCTTTCATTTTGTGCATGGAGAGATGGAGGCTCAGAGGGGGAGGGGACTTACCCAGGGTCACTTACCTAGGGTCAGTCAATGAGCTAGGGACAGAGTGGGCCAAGCTGTAGGACTCATTCTTCCCTGTCTTTCCTTCCAGACTGGGCTGGGGGGCTTAAGTCACACCTGTCCCACTGAGACCTGTAGGAGATTAGGGCTGATGTGCTGGTGGGAAGTCCTCTCTGGGCTCTGGCAGTGCCAGGTGCCTGGAAGTGGCCCTCCCCATACAGGCCCTCCTAAGCCTGTGGACTTGCCCTTCTCTTTATTACACTGTAGGCTCCATGAGCTCAGGAACTGCAGTTGTATCCCCATTGCCTGGCTCACAAATAAGATACATTTCTTCACACATGCATTCAGCATATGCCATGTCCCAGGTCCTGAGCCAGAGTCCCATGGTATAGCAGTGAAAAAGACAGAAAATGCCTGCCCTCAGGGAAGTTTGCATTCCCAGTAAGAAAGAGACAGACAATGAATGAAATAGCTAGGCAAAAATGCATTGTATTTAAGATGGTGATAAGTGATATGGAGGAAAATAAAAACAAAAGGGAAGGGGCATAGGAAGTGGTGGTGGAGGGCTTTGTAATTTTAATAGGGTGGTCCTAGAAGGTCTCTGTAAGGTAACATTTGAGCCTTGGAGGAGGTGAAGGAGTGAGCCATGATGTCATCTGGGGGGAGAGCATTCCAGGCAGAGGGAACAGCAAGTGCAAAGGTCCTGAGGTGGGGGCATGCCTGGGATGTTTCGGGGATTTCAAAGTGCCTGGAGGATGTAGCCGGAGCAGATAAAACAAGAGGGAGAGCTGGCGGATGGGGTCAAAGGGGAACACGAGGTGGGCCAGATCCTAGGGGGCCTTTCCAGTCATGGTAAGGACTTTAGCTTTTCCCCTGAGGAAGGTGGGAACCATGGGGAGTTGTGAGCAGAGGGGAAGACAGGATCTGACTTAGGATTTAACAGGAGTTAAATGAGTTGCTCTACTGAGTTGCCAGTAGAACGTCCTAGGGCAAGCCAGAGGAGGCAGTCTGAACACTGGGCTACTCCTGCGGGATTCCAGGTAAGACCCAGGATAGGCTGGGCCCACCTTGTGGCAGCAAAGGAGGGTGGATATGAGGTCGGATCTAACAGGATCAGGATGTGGGCGTGACACAGAGAGGAGTGGAAGTTGACTCTTAGAGTTTGGGATTTACCAACTGCAATGAGTGAAGAAGACAGAACCTTCAGTTTTGGTCCAGGAACCAGGAAACTTGGATTCATGTCTCAGCTGTCACCCGCTTGCTCAGTGACCTTGGGCAAATCTCTTCCCCTCTCAGGGCTCGGTGTCTTCTCCTCTAAAATGGATGCGGTCCCAGTCATTCTGGCCTCCCCCTGCCAGCCCCTGTGCTTTGAGGAGGACACGTGCCTCATATACCTGCTGCCCCTTCTCATCCACAGGGAGCCAGCGCCGGCAGCCACCATGGCGTCACGCATAGGGTTGCGCATGCAGCTCATGCGGGAGCAGGCGCAGCAGGAGGAGCAGCGGGAGCGCATGCAGCAACAGGCTGTCATGCATTACATGCAGCAGCAGCAGCAGCAGCAACAGCAGCAGCTCGGAGGGCCGCCCACCCCGGCCATCAATACCCCCGTCCACTTCCAGTCGCCACCACCTGTGCCTGGGGAGGTGTTGAAGGTAGGGCCTGTTCTGGCCTGCCCCCCACCCTGTCCCCACTAGTCCCAGCCTCCCCTAGAGCCCTTGCCTTTTCCCCCTCCCAGGTGCAGTCCTACCTGGAGAATCCCACATCCTACCATCTGCAGCAGTCGCAGCATCAGAAGGTGCGGGAGTACCTGTCCGAGACCTATGGGAACAAGTTTGCTGCCCACATCAGCCCAGCCCAGGGCTCTCCGAAACCCCCACCAGCCGCCTCCCCAGGGGTGCGAGCTGGACACGTGCTGTCCTCCTCCGCTGGCAACAGTGCTCCCAATAGCCCCATGGCCATGCTGCACATTGGCTCCAACCCTGAGAGGGAGGTGAGTGAGGAGCTGGCCAGTGGCCATGCTGCTTGCAGAGCTCGTGCCCACTGCTGTGCTTCTGAGACTCCCAGTCTAATGGCAGAGGCAGGGGTGCCTTCAGGGAGACTCAGTCTGAGGTGGGGACAGAGCCCTTCTCAGGGAGCCCCAATCTCAGGGGGGAAGACACAGCCCTGCCCTCAGGGAGCCTCACAGAGGAAACGCCATCCTTACTTTCAAAAGCTCTGCTAGGAAGTCAGGTGCCGTGGCTCACGCCTGTAATCCCAGCACTTTGGAAGGCTGAGGCAGCCAGATCACTTGAGGTCAGGAGTTTGAGAACAGCCTGGCCAACATAGTGAAACCCTATCTCTACTAAAATACAAAAATTAGCTGGGCGTGGTGGTGCACGCCTGTAATCCCAGCTACTTGGGAGGCTGAGGCAGGAGAATCACTTGAATCGGGAAGGCGGAAGTTGCAGTGAGCTGAGATCGAGCCACTGCACTTCAGCCTGGGCGACAGAGTGAGACTCCTTCTCGAAAAAAAAAAAAGAAAAAAGAAAAAAGAAAGCTCTGCTAGGGAGAAACAGAAGACTTATCCAGGAAAGCCCAGCACACTCCCCAAGCCAGAGACAGAAGTGAGATCAAGGAAGCTCCCTGGGCAGGTAGGCTCCTTGGCAAGAACCGTAGCTTCATGTTGGGCCAGTGGGACCTGGACAGCTCATCTCTTCTCTGGGCCTATTTCCTCTTTCCCCAGATAAGTAGGTTGGGTGAGGTGGGCTCCAAGGTCCCTCCAGGTCAGTGGTTGTCCCAATGCCTCTTTCCCCTGCCCACCTCGTGGTGGGCCCTCCCCAGATGGACTTTTCTCTTTTCCAGTTGGATGATGTCATTGACAACATTATGCGTCTGGACGATGTCCTTGGCTACATCAATCCTGAAATGCAGATGCCCAACACGGTACTCCTGGCTAGGGTGGGGTGGGTGTGCAAGGGTTCTAGGGAGGGGGGCACCCACTGTGGCTCTGAGCCTGGAGAGAGTGGAGACAGGGTTCTCACTGGGCAGAGCTGGCATGTTTCTGTAGAGATGAGTCATTTTCATTAAATAATGTGACAAAGGCCGGGGCCAAGAGGAATTATGAAGCAAGAAGGATGTGCCTCAGCCTCTGTGCACCATGGGGCTTCAGAGGGGAGAAGGGGCTGGGGACACGGAGTGGGCCTGTGGGGGGAGCTTTCCAGGTTGGCGAAGGGGCAGAGGGAGGCAGGGAGAGCACTGCATGGGTGGAGGGGCAGTGTGTCTATGGGAAGGTGTGGAACTAATGAGCTCCTTTGGGGACCTGGGCCTCCCCTCCTTTACCAAACCCAGGGCCCAACAGGCAAAAGCCTGTCTGTGTCTCTTACTCCATGGGGCAAGTGATCTGGGGCTGGCCTTGTCCCCAACCACAGGAACACTCCCTCTGGCAGCTTCCTGCGTCTCCTGGCAGAGGTGGGGTAGCAGGTGGGGAGGTGCTGGGCTTGGAGTCAAGAAGCCTGGCTTCTGGCTTTTGCTGTGACCTTAGGAAATCCCTCAAGCATACTAAACCCCAGTTTTCTCAGCTGCAAAATGGGGGTGATGCTCTCTACCCACAGGATTGTGGGAAGATTAGATGAGGGAAGAAATTGAGGGCAAGCTCTCTACAAAGGTGGCAGGTGTGTACGCTGGGCAGGTGGGATTGCCAGCGCCCCTTCCACCCACTTTTCTTTGGAGCTCCTGAACCTCAGCTACTTACTCCTGCCTTTGGGCATGAGCCTTTCACCCTGATCCTGGCCCCAGCCCATGCCACCAAGGGAAAGTCCCCAGTTCCTGTGGTGGGGAGTCAATCCTCTGTCCCCACTGCCCTGGTGACATCGCTGAGTGGCTTAGTAGGAGCTGGCCGGGACTGGTTGGGTCCAAACCTACAGCTAGCAGGGGCAGCGAGGGCTGAGGAGGGAGGGAGGATGCAAGTGATTGGTCCCTTTAGTAGTTCCTGTGTACACTGTGGGGTGTCTGGGCCTGTGATTTGTTCTGCATGTTTCTGTGGCAGATCTTTCCAGAGCTCAGATCTCTCCCTGTCAGACTCCTGCTTCAACTTCCCTTGGCTGCCCATTCCAAAATTCCAGTATCTTTGCAAGTCAAACACTGTACTGGGGATCCAGATACATCTGCCCTGCCTACAGCACCTCCACCCCCACCACTTCTGCCCTTGAGCTGCTGGAATTGTGCTCTGCCAAGCTGCCCTGTCTGCTTGTGCCCTGGTGGCTGCCCGGAGTGCCTTGCCTCACATCTCTGCTCAAGACTCAGAGTTCCACACCCTCCAGGAAACCGTCCAGAAACTCTAGAATTGATTAGATGACCTGCTCTAGGGCTTCCATAATGCCTGGGGCCTAATCCTATCACATATTATTGGTTGGATCACTCTCTCAGACACTCTAGGCCAGGGGCTCCTTGAGGGCAGGGACTACATCTTATAATAGCTCTGGACTCTGCAGACCTTCAGGTTGAATTGCTGGGTGAAAGGGCCCAAGGTGAATTTTGACACTCCAGGTGTCCCCAGGAAGGACTGCTCCTGGGATGATAGGCCCTAGAGGGGGCTCCCCGTGGAGAGGGGGATACTCATGGGTCTCCCTCACCCCCTACCCCACAGCTACCCCTGTCCAGCAGCCACCTGAATGTGTACAGCAGCGACCCCCAGGTCACAGCCTCCCTGGTGGGCGTCACCAGCAGCTCCTGCCCTGCGGACCTGACCCAGAAGCGAGAGCTCACAGGTACTGCCTCCCTCTACCCCTGTGCCTTTGAATACCCGACTCCTCCCTCCTTTTCTCCCTCCCTCCCAGCTCCTCTCTCCTTCTCTTTTGGCCTCCAGATGCTGAGAGCAGGGCCCTGGCCAAGGAGCGGCAGAAGAAAGACAATCACAACTTAAGTGAGTCCTGCCCCGCCCCTCTCCCTGCCTCCCTCTTCCTTGTTCTCACCTGGGCTGGCTAAAAAGCCACTCCCTGACCTGCACTGGTGGAAGGCTTCCCTGCTCAAGGCCAATTCACTTGCAGATGGCTTAAGCCCTCCCATTGCTGTCGCTCAGTGGTGCCTGGGACTATTAGTGCTGTCTTTCCACTAGGCCTCTTTAGGAGTGGGTAGGAAGGATTCCTGTAAGGGATATTCATGAAACCCCCAGTTTATCAGGTTGTTTTCTGGGTTAAGGCATGGAACCTGGGGCATCAGAGTTCTGTGTAGCAGGGAAGAGTCCTACCCCAGGCAGCTTTGCTGTGCTACGAGCATCACCATGGCTGATTCTACCTTTCAGTGCTCTTAATTGTGTCTGGCCTTTGCCCTGGACCCCCTAATTCCTGTAGAAATCCCAATCTGTTGGTCACCTCTTACTTCCTGGAAGAACTAAATCTAAGCTGCAGGCTGCCCTGAAGCACCCCTCCCTGGGCTGGGTACTTCTCCCCATGGGGTGGGGGGTCCCCATCCCTCTAATTGCTCCTTCTGGAATCTGTTACCTTTAGTTGAAAGGAGACGAAGGTTCAACATCAATGACCGCATCAAGGAGTTGGGAATGCTGATCCCCAAGGCCAATGACCTGTGAGCAGGTTTCTGAGGGGGAGGGTGATGGGTCTGGGTGGGCAGCAGCTGACAAGTATTATCTGCCCTCAGCCCCATGCTAGTTACTAGGATGGGAGGAGAATTCCTTCTAGAAGTTCATCTATTTGAGAAAAGATCTCTCCCTCTCCCAAATCAGGAAAGAATCAGGAAAGCTCAAGACAGATGAGTTTCTGTCCTGGAAGTGAGGCTGAGGTCAAGGGAGGCTTCTTGGAGGAGCAGTCATGCTGAGAAAGTTTTCTTAAGGCCATTGGGCTGGCAGACAAGAGGCCGGGCTCACGCCTATAATCCCAGCACTGTGGGAAGCTGAGGCAGGCAGATCACTTGAGGTCATGAGTTCAAGACCAGCCTGGCCAACATGGCGAAACCCCATCTCTACTAAAAATACAAAACTTAGCTGGGCACAGTGGTGTGTGCCTACAGTGCCAGCTACTAGGGAGGCTGAGACAGGAGAATTGATTGAACTCAGGAGGTGGAGGTAGCAGTGAGCCGAGATCTCGCTACTGCACTGCATTCCAGCCTGGGCAACAGAACGAGACTCCATCTCAAAAAAAAAAAAAAAAAAAAGAAAGGTAGGCTGGGCTGGAGTCTTGGTAGTCTGGGAAGGAGGCTGCTCTGAATTGCCTGGTTTCATGAGATTAATGAAGTGGGCAGTGGCAACAGAAGTCACCAGGAGGGCCCATTCTGTGCAAACTGAGATCAGCCACCTCCACCTCCAGGTCTGGGGTTGCTGGGTAAGACTGGGACAGGCCACATAAGCTCTGCAACCAGAGCAGTAGCAAGGATTTGGCCACTCTTCTGAGCATGCACCTCTAATTTGCCTGGCCTGCTGCTGCAGGGACGTGCGCTGGAACAAGGGCACCATCCTCAAGGCCTCTGTGGATTACATCCGGAGGATGCAGAAGGACCTGCAAAAGTCCAGGGAGCTGGAGAACCACTCTCGCCGCCTGGAGATGACCAACAAGCAGCTCTGGCTCCGTATCCAGGTCTGGTCCTGAACTTGGACTTCTTTGGTAACTCTGACCCTTAACCTGGCTCCTGGCCCTAAGGGGCAGTACTTGTACTTCTGAAGTTGGAGACACAGGAATAATGCCCATTAGGAAGGAGGATGTATCAGTTAGGATGTTTTGCTTTGGTAACAAACAATCCTCAGCATCTTTAAGCAACACATATCAGCTGGAGGTTCTGTTCTGTGAGACCCTCATTCTGGCACCCACGCTGCTGGCACCCAGCTCTCTGATGGCACATCTAGAGCTGGCTCTTAAAGCCATTGTCACTCTTAAGGTGCCACATGTCACTTCTGTTCAATGGGCTTGGCCAATGCAAGCACACTCTACAAGTACTCTAACCTCAAGAGGCAGGAAAATGCAAACCTATCATGTGCCTGGAAGGTAGAGAGCTGGAATCATTTGGTGGGTGGCACTAGGAATCTCCACAGGGCCAACCTAAAGAACCAGGAGCTTGGCAGAGTCAGCCCTACCAGCTGGAACTGAGAGTTCTAGTCCTGGCTCTGAGTTGAGGGCCTCTTGTCCTCTTTAGACCTGAGGCTGGCCCTTTACACAAAGGGCAATTGGACTGCACCTTGTTTCTCTTTCTTATGGTAGATGACACAATTTACATTAAAATCTAGCACACACAGGCACAAAGTGAAAAATCAGTTTCATGAAGTAACGCTCCCCTCGTCCTTAATAGATGCAATGCATTCTAATAATTTCTATTCTAGTCTAGTCTAGACAAGTCAATTTCAATTAAAAAAATAGAAAGCTGGTCAAGACTCACTACGGTGGCTTCACAACCCACTAATGAGTTACGACTTGTAGTCTGAAAAAACACTGGTCTAGACTCTAGAGCTACCCTATGCTTTCTTCCAGCGGAAACACTTTGGGTCTTGGGTGCCGTAGGGCAGGGGCAAGTGCTGTGATAGAGGCCCAGGGGAGGGGTCCTGGTGGCTGGTGCCCATAGGTGTGTTCCCCAGCCTTCTGTCTGCTCCCCTGCAGGAGCTGGAGATGCAGGCTCGAGTGCACGGCCTCCCTACCACCTCCCCGTCCGGCATGAACATGGCTGAGCTGGCCCAGCAGGTGGTGAAGCAGGAGCTGCCTAGCGAAGAGGGCCCAGGGGAGGCCCTGATGCTGGGGGCTGAGGTCCCTGACCCTGAGCCACTGCCAGCTCTGCCCCCGCAAGCCCCGCTGCCCCTGCCCACCCAGCCACCATCCCCATTCCATCACCTGGACTTCAGCCACAGCCTGAGCTTTGGGGGCAGGGAGGACGAGGGTCCCCCGGGCTACCCCGAACCCCTGGCGCCGGGGCATGGCTCCCCATTCCCCAGCCTGTCCAAGAAGGATCTGGACCTCATGCTCCTGGACGACTCACTGCTACCGCTGGCCTCTGATCCACTTCTGTCCACCATGTCCCCCGAGGCCTCCAAGGCCAGCAGCCGCCGGAGCAGCTTCAGCATGGAGGAGGGCGATGTGCTGTGACCCTGGCTGCCCCTGTGCCAGGGAACAGGGGCCGGCCTGGGGGCTGGGAGGGCCAGGGGCACCTCCCTCCCACCCTTCAGGCTGCACTGTGTGTGAAGTAGCCACCTGCCCTGCCTCCCTCCTCCCCGTTGGCCCCTGTTTGGACTTAGTGCCTGTCTGGCAGCCTGTGGGGTCAGGAGAAGCACCCCCAGGGCAGCCCTCTTGACTGGCGCAGTGGGAAGAGGCCTTCAGCCCCTCTCCCGGAGATGGAATCGCGGGGCAGGGAGGGGCAGGGTGTTCTAGAGGTGAGAAGAGGGCCTGGTGGAGATTCCCTGTCTTCTGAGCCCGAGCCCCTCATTACCAGTGAAGGACATGCTTGAGGGGTTCGGGAAGCTCCTCATCTGAGGCAACTGGTCCTGGGGGTGCTCAGGCCTGCCTTTTTGGGACTCAGATGGCAGGAGGTCCACCCCGCAGCCTGGTCCTCGGCTCTCCCACAGGTGGGCACCCCCCACTTTGGTGCTAATAGCTCTCCACCAGGTGGTGTGAGCGCGGGGGCTGCCAGAAGCGGGAGGGGTCACTGCCGGAAGAGCAGCTGCCCTCCGACCCCTCACTTTGTGCCTTTAGTAAACACTGTGCTTTGTACTTGCTGGTCCTGTCTCTTTGGAGTGGGTCTAGGGCTGACAGCGAACGGGAGGATTCAACCCAGCGGGCCCCCTCCAGAGTGCGGATGCTGCCTGAAGGGAGTCGGGGTGGGGGGTACAGGGAAGAGGGAACACGCTTGTCACACGCCTCAGCCCTGCCCGGGGAAGACGAGGGGTTTGGGTGCTGAGGGGGGCACGGTCCCTCCTCACGGCCACGAGGTGGCGCTGCGGCCACGCCGGTTCCACACCTCCAGCGGCGGCCGGAGCGAGACTAGTTGATGTGGCGAGAGGGTTGCTCACAAACCAAGTGCGCCGCCCTTAGCTGCTTATTTGGGGCACCCTGGGCCCGGGGTGGGGGGCATGCTTCTTCTGTCCCACCCCTGTTCTGGGGGTGACCTCCCCAGGTGGGCGGCCACCCGGCTTGAGAAGCTGTAGCTGGGCGCTCTGGAGGCGGCGCTCGCGCTCTGTCTGCCAGACGGGCTTCCCGGTAACTGAGGGGCTGCGTCCTGCTAGGGCTCTGGGGAAAGGGACCCCCGTGAGCTAGACAGGGAGGAGATGGGAGTCCAGGACGGCGCGTGGGGTGTTATGGGCCCGGGTCCCCCCGCCCCGCTCTGGCTCTGGCAGCGAGGCCTGGGCGCGGCCTTTCCTCCGAGCTGCAGTCCTTGGGCCTCTGCTTGGAGACGTTGGTGTTTATGACCTCGCCTAGGAGGGGGACATGGGCTGGGGACAGTCAGGGTTCGACTGGCGGCTGCTCGAGCCCCGGTGCCTGGCGGGAACAGGGAGAGGGCTTTTCGGGCTTCATCCAGTTCCCCTCTGCTCTCCACGGCCGCTTCAGGCAGAGACCAAAATGGCTCCCCGTCATCGCCCTGAGAGGCTGAAGGGGCCTAATTTAAAAAAAAAAAAAAATCCCGGGATGAAAATGGCTAATAGGGCAATTTCCTCTGTGCCGAACGGGAGATCAAATCAACGTTGAGCAATTAGCGTGCGAGGGGAGAGAAGGAAAATGGGCCGGGCGGCTGGGCGCTGATGGTGGCCGGGCTGGCGCAGGCTGCAGGATTAATCTCAAGGTCAGATGGAGCCGGGGATGACCTTGTGGAGCCTGAGCCAGCCGGGGCGCTGGCGCCTCCTCCTAGTTCCAGGTTCCACCCCACCACCTGGGACTTACCCATGCCCTGGAAACCCCTCTGAGCCCCGTCTGGGTCAAGCCCTGAACTCTGTGAGACACCTGATTAACTAGGCTTGGCCTGCCTTGGCCGGGGGATGAAGGCTCCGGGAAGTCCCAAGGCCGGTCCTTCAGGCCCCTGAGAAGTCTCTCCCGACCCCACTGGCTCTTCCACTTCACCCTGGGGATTGACCTAGTGGAGTGGAGGGCTGCCCACCTGCTTCCTCTCACAGCCCTTCAAGATCACGGATAGCCCTTCCTGCCAGCAGATGTCTGCTAAAAAGAAATAAATATTTAAAACATTTTTAAAAAGGAAAAAAAAAAAAAAAGAAAAAGATCACTGATATCCCCGCCTCCACCTGCCTGCTGCTTTCCTGCCCCTGGGCTCCTTCAGCCTGGCCACTACCTCTGGCATTGGAGTATGGACTGCATATTCGACAGGACAGAGGGTGTGAGTGGGGTTCTGTCCACAAGAGGGTGCCCTGGGCCAGGACTAGGCAGCTGCCCGCCGCGGCTGGTGGGGGTGGGGGAGTCTCAGCTTCATTGTACATTCCAAGCTGTCTGCCTGGGTGGCTCCCATCCTGCCTGGGAGTCCTGCAGTCCTACCGATTTGGCTGAGGCCGGCCCAGGAACTACTTCCGGTATTTCAATAAGCCACCAGAAAGTGTTCCTGTTTCTGAGACCAGCCTGAAGGACCCTCACTTTGTGGCTGGAATGGAATCTGGCTGGTGATTATGAACGACTCTGATTCAATAAGAGGGCAATGCATCCTTCAGCAATATTTATTTGGTGGACAACACCTTTCCAAGTGTCAGGTCCATGGAGGAAATTCTTTTTTTTTTTTTTTTTTTTTTTTGAGATGAAGTCTCACTCTGTCTCCCAGACTACAATGCAGTAGCGCAATCTTGGCTCACTGCACCCTCTGCCTCCCGGGTTCAAGCGATTCTCCTGCCTCAGCCTCCTGAGTAGCTGGGACTACAGGCGCACACCACCACACCCAGCTAATTTTTTATTTTTAGTAGAGATGGGATTTCACCATGTTGGCCAGGCTGGTCTCAAACTCCTGACCTCAGCTGATCTGCCAGCCTCAACCTCCCAAAGTGCTGGGATTATAGGTGTGAGCCACCACACCCGGCCTTTTTTTTTTTTTGAGATGGAGTTTTGCTCTTGCTGCCCAGGCTGGAGTGCAATGGCATGATCTCAGCTCACTGCAACCTCCGCCTCCCAGGTTCAAGCAATTCTCCTGCCTCAGCCTCCTGAGTAGCTGGGATTACAGGTGCCTGCCACCACGCCCAGCTAATTATTTTGTATTTTTAGTAGAGATGGGGTTTCATCATGTTGGCCAGGCTGGTCTTGAACTCTTGACCTCACTCAGGTGATCTGCCCTCCTTGGCCTCCCAAAGTGCTGCGATTACAGGTGTAAGCCACCGTGCCCAGCCTGGAAATTCTTTTTTAAAAGGCAGAGTAGGGCCAGGTGTGGTGGCTTGCACTTGTAATGCCAGCTACTCAGGAGGCTGAGGCAGGAGGATTGCTTGAGGCCAGGAGTTTAAAACCAGCCTCGGCAACATAGCAAGACCCTTAACTCTATTTTTTTTTTTTTTAATTAGCCAAGCATGGTGGTGTACACATGTGGTCCTAGCTACTCAGGAGGCTGAAATGGGAGGACTGCTTGAGCCCAGAAGTTTGAGGCTGCAGTAAGCTATGATCATGCTATTGCATTCCAGCTTGGGCAATACAGCAAGACACTGTTTCTAAAAAATAAAAAGGCAGAGTAAGGACATTGGCTGGTGTGGACACAGGAGGGATGAGCCTGTCCAGCCCCTTCATTTTAGGGAGGCTTAGAGAACAAACAGACACGTACAGTGGGAGAGGAAGCAGAGAAAGAGGTCAAAGCTAAGAGGACGAGAAGCAGTAGCTCCCTTGGATCCATTGTGGGGCCCTCGGCAGGAGCCAGGCTGCTGGGGTAGCAGAGGTGGTGAGGGTGGAGGATGCAGACAGAGCCCCAGCCCCTGACCCTGCTGTCTTCAGCTCCAGTTCCTGCATCTGTCTATCCCCATCAGCTGCTCGGCCTGCGTTAGTACCTACCTCTTCAGCCTTAGGAAGTTCTGCATGTCCAACTGCATCTGCTGGGCGGCCGGCTCCACCATCTGTAGAACAGGGCCTGGGAGGCTAGAGTTGGAGTGGCAGCCGG
Organism: Homo sapiens; assembly: GCF_000001405.40. NCBI lineage: Eukaryota > Metazoa > Chordata > Mammalia > Primates > Hominidae > Homo > Homo sapiens. Next base: position 41,680,625 of record NC_000006.12, on the reverse strand, counting down.
GGAGGGGGTTGCAGGGCCTTGGAATGTGCTGCTTGGAATGCCATGTTTCCATTATCCATGGTTCCTTTAAAGCAGAGATTCTTCCTTTACTGTTTGACGCCATTAACTTAGATGAGAGTCTGATACATGCTACACACCTTCTCCCCAGACAAACACACACATAGCCTCCTAAAAACTAACCTCAGGTTCAACACTCAAGCTCTCAACCCATGCCCCGTGCTCCATCTCAAAGCCCATGCCCCTCCCCTGTCTTTCAAGCTGCCTGGCTCAGCTGCAGCCGCCAGAGAGCCCCTTCCCAGGCACCTGGGTGTACCTCCTGCCCCCTCACCTCCTGGAACTCCTACCTCTTGGGGCCCAGGCCCCATCCCCCTCTCAGACTTCTCCAGCCTCATCTTTTTTTTCTTTGCTCTGTTCTTTCCAAGGGGGGCAGTGGAATTTATACAATATTTAAGCAGCCAGAGCCGAGTCTGGGAAGATATTATTAATGTAAAAGGGACGGGCTGCAAATGCTTTTGGACCTGGTTACAATTAGAGGGTGATTTTTCTAAAGGTCAATGAATTCAGATAATATCCACAGGGGGGAGAGAAATTTAATACCTTTTTAGTGAATTAATTAATTATAATATTATATCGGCTTGGGGTTCTTTTCCAGAGTGATTAAGGGAGCTATCTGTCTTCTGTGAGGCCGGAGACCGGCGCCTGCCGCCAGCGAGGACCCTGGCGCAGGGCTCAGGATGGGGGGCCCTTCCCTCTCCTCTCACCCATGCAGTGGCCAAGGAGCTAGGGGCTTGTTAGGCATGAAAGAAGACAGGCCGGACCTGGTCAGGGCTGAGGGTGGTGCAGGTATTGGCCTTTCCCCTTGGCCTGTGTCTTCCACCCCCGGGTCTGGCCCTCCTGCTGCCATGTCACCAAGCCTCATGCCATGGTGGCCTGAAGAGCTGAGATGTGGGGTATGGCCTCTTTCTTTACACTTGGAGAAACTAAGGCTCACGGGCTTCAGGGACATGCCTTAGCTCCACTGTGGGTTAGGACAGACTGAGGTGGCAGAGCTGGCTGGAAATACCGAGAAGACAAGAAGGACCTCCCTAATACCTCCCAAACCAGGCCTTCTGGAAAATCTCCACCAGCCAGAGGTCTGTGGAGCTGCCTGGGAAGCTTCTCCATCTCTTTCAGGGTGTATAGTGTGCCCAGCCTCTGCTTATAAAATGAAAATGCCCCAGGAGTATTGATACCTCCAGTTGCTGTGAGGCCTAAGATTTCTGTCCCTGGAGGGATCTGAAAGTGGCCAGGGAGTGGTGCTTTTCACCCATTTATTCATTTATTCATACTCAGTCAAATGTTCATTCAACAAACATTTGTGGCACACCTGCTCTTGTGCCATCAGAGAGACCTAAATATCACCTCTTGAGCCCCTGCCCACTTCATCTTAAGCCCCAGCTGCTCATCTAAGCAATGGAGGGTGGGGTGGGGAGAGCTCCGTGGTCCCTTTCTGTCCAGACAACAGTCCTAACTCAACCTGAAGGCGAGAAGACTGGCTGGGATGCGGTGGGTTTGTGGAGCAAAGTGGGTGCTCATTCACTCAGCATACCCTGAGCACCCACTTTGAGCTGGCCCTGTGCTGGGTGCTGGGGATATGTGGGTGGATAAAGGCCAGCTGGTCCTGGTGACAGAGTGGGCACAGGGAGGCAGATGTGAGCCTGCAATCATGATTCCGTGTGGGTTCAGCAAAAGGAGTAGAAGTGACATTAAGCTGGGTTGTGAGGGACCAGACTGACAAGGGGAGAGGGAAGGCGCATGGAAGGAGAGGGAGGGGCATTCTAGGCATTGGACACAGAGTGTGCAAAGGCCTGACAAAGGGGGGTACCTGCAGATTAGAGGAGATGGTGGGACAGTAGATGAGGCCGAGTGGGCGGCCACCTTTGTCCCCACCCACGGGCCCAGGCATGTTGACAGGAAGACAAGGCCATAGGTCGGGTCCAGGAAGGCAGGGAGCAGCAAAGCCAAATAGACTTGCTTTTCTTCCCTTGTTTTTGAGGCAGGGTCTCGCCCTGTTGCCCTGGCTGGAGAGAAGTGGAGTGATCATACCTCATTGCAACCTCAAATTCCTGGGCTCAAGGGATCCTCCTGCCTCAGCCTTCTGAGTAGCTGGGACTACAGACACACACCACCACACCTGGCTAGTTTTTGTATTTTTTGTAGAGATTAGGTTTCACTATGTTGCCCAGGTGGTCTCGAATTTATGGGCTCAAGCCATCCTCCTGCCTCAACCTCCCAAAATGTTGGGATTCCAGGCGTTAGCTGGTGTATTGCACGCTGGGCCCAGATTGCATTTAAACGTTGGCTCTGCCATGACTTGCCATGTGATGGAGCCTCCCTGTGCCTCAGTTTCCCTATCTGTAATGGGAGATTGCAATGTCTACCTCCTAAGGATGTTGTAGGAATTAAAGGAACGACTGAAGGGAAGAAGTCGGCCCTGCATTTAGCACATGATGTGGCTCCAGATATCTTAGACTGTACATGGCCCTCGAGAGGGTGGGTGGGTCAGGGCCATGCCTTCTATTGTGCCCGAAATTCCTCTTTCCTCTCAAGGGGGTGCCAGCAAAGGCCCTACCCTGGGGACATTTTTTTGGGGGGAATATCAACATTTTCCTCCCCTCATGGCTCAGCCCCATCTTTCCCCACTCCCTGCCTCTGTCCCTCTTCTCCCTTCATGCAACATCCCCTCCACCCTGACTCCCCCGCAGCAGCCTCCTCCCCCACCCTCTCCTCTCTCTCCATGTGCGGCGGGCCGGGGAGGGCCTTTCCATTGTACTATCTTTGGGCCCTAAATTAAAATTGATGACATCTTGAAATGAGCAGTGAGGGTAATTTTGCTTCTGAGCCGGGATGCTAATGAGGCCCCTTAATGGTGCAAACGCGGAGCTGACGGGTCGTGTGTCACGCGCCGCAGCGAGGGGGGTAATGGCCGCGGTAAGTGCCGGTAATTACACCCTGTCTTGCTGTATTTTGGCAGGCCTGGTGGGAGAGTGGGGGCTCAATCACCACTGGCGGGGGCACCCCCCACCCAGCACGGGACTGACAGCCAGAGATACCCACTTCCACCCAGCCAGGCCCCTCGACTTCAGCCTCACCTAGAATGAGGGGCCTGGGCACAGCCCCCTTGCCCCATGCACACATGGCATGCAAAACACATAGTCACACATGCCACAGTCAGACCATTGTGCACCCCCACCCCCACTCCACACATAACTCCACAGCCTGGGCACTCCCCCGGTATGCACAAAGCACACGCATAGACACACACACACATGCACACTCACCCGTTATGCTCCCCCATACACTTCTACACTCTGCAGATACACACTGCTCCATATACACAGCCTGCACAGCACACACACATGCACGTGCACACAAATACATTCTCAAAGAGCACACACACGTGGAGCGCCTACTGTGCTCTATGAGCTCTATGTCTGCCAACTCTACTCCCAACTCTTCTGAAATAGGTGTTATTCTCATTTTATGACACAGAAACTGAGTCTTGGGAGATTTAGCAACTTGTATAAGATCACACAGCTAGGCAGTGACAGAGACAGGACTGGAATCCAGCTGTTTTTACTTTGCAACCTTTCCAGCCCCCATATTTCCTCCTATGTATGCATGCATATACACCTCTCACTGCACAAACACACGCATGCATGCACATGTGCACAGTCATCACCCACAGATCACGTAGATCCTCTGTGCACCCAAAGACGCATACAAAGGCATTGTTCAAATACCTACGCGTTGCTGACACACATATGCAAGGTGTGCTTGGTGTGTACACACAGATGTGCACTTGTGTCACATGGTGTTTGCACCCCTCACACATGGTGAGCAGGATATCATGGAGAAGGAAGCCTAGATTCCTACATGGGGAGCTAGGCATATAGCCTCTCCAGGCTTCGGCATCTCAATCTCTAAAGAAGGGGAAATAAACACTACTCCACTTCCCTCCCCAGCACTTAACTGTTGTTAAGGCAGAATGACAGCCACACAAAGGACTGTGACGTGCCCTCCTACAAACCCCCGGCAGAATCACACACTGGGTGCACGTATATGCATTGTATGAGTGTGCATGCACTGTCCAAGTGGCGTCTAAGCTCTCTGTACATACAACATTGTATTTAGACACATCTCTGCACACACACTGTACACATGCTGTGAATACACATCACAGCACCTGTGCAGTACCCTAAGCGTACCTGCCAGTGAAACTGGAAACCCCACAAAGCCCATGGGTACTTGTCATGTGTATATACTACATCCCTTCCTCCTCCCCCCGAAAAGTATGTATCAATTCTATGATTATGGTAGAGGTTAAAAGTATAGACTTTGGCGTTTGACCGCCTGGGCTCTGCATCACTTTATTTGCTGTGTGACCTCAGGCAAATTACTTAACCTCTCTGTGCCTCATTGTCTTCCTCTGTTAAATGGGGATAATAAGAGTGCATCTGCCTCAAGGGATGCTGTCAGATTAAATGAGTTGACAGATGTAAAGCACTTAGTGCCTGGCACGTAGTAAGCCCCAGTGAGTGTTGTGATAAGGTGTACAACTACAACAAAGGAACATACCTCGGGGTGTGGCAAGCACCAAGGAGCAGGCAGTGGAAGGCAGAGGAGGGAACACTCATATACGGCTGGGGCAGTCAAGGAGGGCCTCCTGTAGGAAGAGGGATTAGGGCTGAGCCTTGAAAGACTGTAGTTTCGTTTACTGAGTTCCTGCTCTGTGTCAGGCCCTGTGCTACGTGCTTTATATGAATTATCCCAGTGAGCCTTCTGCGAACCCTGGGAGGTGACCATGGTTATGTCCATGTTAGAGATGAGGAGGAAAAGGTGCAGAGAGACTCGGTAACTCGTCCAAGGACAACAAGGGCCTAGATAAGAGAAGGAGAAGAGGCACAGGAATTCCAGGCGGGATGTGCAGCTTGTGTTGGAAATAGAGCAACAGATGGGAAACACACCCAGAGGGCCTTCCTTGCTACACTGTCATAGTTTCCAGTTAATGAGAAGGGGGTGAGCATCTGGAGTGGGGGCTGACCTAATTGCTGTGTCTCTTGCAGTGACAACAGGGACTTGTGGGGGGTGGGAGTGGCTGGCACTGCCCACAGCATGCTCAGGGCAGGGGCCAGAGCTGGGCATCTGATTCACCTCCCTTGCCCCCTCCCCCACCAAGAGCCAGGGCCTGACCCAGTTCGGGAAGAGGTGGGTGCTCCCGCTTAGGCCCTGGAGACCAGGCCTGGATCCCTGGAAAGGGACCTGGACAGGTGAGAAGCATGGAGGAGTTGGTGAGGGGTCAGTGAGCAAATCTCTGCCCACTCCACCCTGAAGCCAGCACCGCTGCACCCCAGGGCTGGTTCCTGGAGATGCCTACATGAGGAATAAGCTGTGGGCCAGGACACTGAGGCTCCCCTCAAACCGGCCTTAATATCCCTGTTGCCTCATGTCCATTAAACTGTGCAGGGCCTGACAAGCTCATTCACCACCCCTTGAAGAGATCATAGATTTTTTCCCCTCAGTGTTTTTCATGGGCTGTTCCTATTTGTAGTGCAGTTCTTGACATTCAGCAAACAGCTCCCCACAAATAGCCTCCTGTCCCCCAACCCCACAAATAACCTCTAGCCCTCCTCACCCACACACCCACCCTTTTATCTTGCTGGCATAGAGAAGGTGGGGGGCTAGGTGGGGAAGGAGGGGAAGGGCCATGGCTTCCGAGGCCCGGGACATGGGTTGGCATCCCACCTCCTCCCCTTCCTAGTGTCGGGGCTTGGGGAAGTCCTCCACCCTTATCTCTGTGCCTTTGTTTTTTCCTCTTTGGTCAGGTGGGGACAACAAGGCAGCCTCCCAGGCTGGGGTGTCTCTGGGGTTGGTGTGAATCACATCCAGCAAAGCACTTGGCCCATGCTGGGGTGGGGGTGTTACCCAAGGAGGGATCACAGCATTTATTGTCCAGATCAGGAGACTCTGAAAGTGGAAGGGGACATTATTAAAGATCACACCAGGGCAACACATGACAACTGGGACTGTCTTGGGAGCAGCAAGATGAGTGATCACTGGTCTATGAGGTGTCTGTAGCCTTTCTGTCCATCCCGCCTGGTGGGATGGGCTGGGGCGTCTGTGTACACACATGGAATGGCTAGGGCTGGGCCACCTTGGGGAAGCAGAACAGCCTGGGTGCGGAGGTGTATAGAGAGGTGGGAGCAGTCTCAGGAGCCGGAGGTGACATCCTAGACACAAGGAAGGTGGAGCTGTTGGGAGTGGCCCCCAAGGCTAGACAGAGGAGAGGAAATCTGAGGGTGGGAGAGTAGGGTGGGGGGACTCAAATCTGCAGACAGGCTTGGAGGTATGAACAACCTCCATTCCAGATCACAGTGACAGCCGCCCTCGTGGAGCACCTGCTTGGCAAAGAAGGCACTGCTCTGAGTACTTTTCATGCATTTGCTCATCCAATCCCCACAACAAGCCTATGGAGAGGGTACTATCCTTGTCTCCATTGTACAGAGGAGGAAACTGAGGCACAGAGGGGTTGAGTAACTCGCCCAACGCCACACTGCTAGGAAGGAAAGAGCTGAAATTTGAGCCCAGGCAGCCTGCTCCTGTTCCCTGGGGGCCCTCCCTTCTCCTGGCTCTGCAGAGAAGTTAAGCTGTGTTGCTGGGGGGCAGATGGCTCCATGGAAGGGGCAAGTCCCCTTCCCAGCCCAGGTCCCAGTTTCCAACACTGTGGGACCCGGGAAATTCTGCAGGAGGCTGCCGGGCCAGGGGAGAGCAGCTTGGCTTTGGAGAAGGCCTGCTTGGACCTGGCTCCACCCCTCACTCGCAGTGTGAACCTCCTGGGTATATTTCTCAATTTTGTGGAGCCGGTCTCCTCAACGTGGAAGACGCCTGTTCCGTTGGGCATCGGGAGGTTCAATATTCTCAGCTGTGGGAGGCGACTGGTGTGAGGCGGGCCTTTCGAGAAGGCTGGTTCCCTCTCACTCTCTGAGCTGGGCCTGTCCTGGGCTCCCCTCACCCCAGGGAGGAAGAAACTCAGCGCTCTGGAACACCTGCTTTACTCCTCATCTGGGCCAGGGGTTTGAAGGAGGAGGGCTGCAAAGGCCAGGATCCAAGGCGCTCAGTGATCATTTGTGTCACGATTATGGAAGGGCAGCTAGCTTCAGGCCAGGGCGGTGAGTGCTATTCCAGCTGAGGCTCTGGAGCAGGCTGGGCTCAGGCACTGGGCTGGGTGGTGGGGTTGCCAACTCTGCGCCCCTCAGGTACCTTAGCTGGTAGGTCCTAGGAAAGGGGTGGGGGACAGAGGGGGCTGCCTCCTAATGAACAATTAGTGTCTGCTGCGTGGCTAATCATGTGGTTCCGTGTAATTAAGAAGTTAATTAGTGCTGTGTCAATTAAGGTTTAATTAGTCCCCTCTTCAGAGAAGCCTGAAATGCCCTCCTGCTGGAAGCTTCTGGAATGGAAGGTGGGGGAGCGGGAGGCAGATGGAAGAGGGGACAGTGGGTGGGGAGGGGGCCCCACTTCCTTTTGTGCCCCTCCCAGTTCTGGGATCAGTGACTTGCTGCCCCCAGCCCCACCCGACTGGCCCTGGTCATGACGACTTTGGGGCCCTACAAGGCTCTCTTCTACCACCAGGGCTTGCCCACTCCAGAGGGATGCTACCCTGTGGCGCTCTTGTGGAAGGCCCTCTTAAGCCACTGCACCCGGTTCTCTACATCTGCTTTTGGGTAACTTTCTTTTTCTTTTCTTTTTTTTTTTTTTTTTTTTTTGAGACAGAGTTTTGCTCTTGTTGTCCAGGCTGGAGTGCAATGGCGTGATCTTGGCTCACTGCAACCTCCGCCTCCCAGGTTCAAGCGATTCTCTGCCTCAGCCTTCCCGAGTAGCTGGGATTATAGGCATGTGCCACCACGCCTGGCTAATTTTGTATTTTTAGTAGAGACGGGGTTTCTCCATGTTGGTCAGGCTGGTCTCGAACTCCTGACCTCAAGTGATCCACCCACCTCGGCCTCCCAAAGTGCTGGGATTACAGGCGTGAGCCACCATGCCTGGCCGTCCCTAGTCTTTTTACCACTCCCTTCTTCCATGATGGACATCATTGAACGTAAGACTTTCAAGCACATCTTGGATAATTTCTTTAGGACATGACTAAGAGAAAAGATGAGGCTTTTGGTTTGATCTTCTACTAACCCCCACTCTGCCCTTGCCATCTAATCAGAGTTGCTTGGGGCCATCGCTGCCCTGACGGCCTCTTTTCTCTAGTGTCTGTTCAACCCGCTGCAGCCGCCTCATGCCTGCTTCCTCTGCCTTTCATCTTTTTACTCTTGATGGTATTATGAGCACAAATTGGCTCCACCTTCCAGGAAGTTCTGACCTGGACAGTTCCCTGGTGCTTCCGCGAGGAAACCCACAATCCTTGGTGGTCCCTGTGTCGCATCCCCAGCCTGGCTGTTGGCTACTTCTCTGAGTTCCCCCAATCATTCAGCTGGACAAGGCTCCTCTCCTGTCCAGAGTGCCTATCTCTGACCTTCTGCAACTGCTTCTGTTGGATTTTCCTCTGAACTCCAAATTTCCCAAACCAAACACCAGCTGCTCCATGAAACTTTTCTTGATTCCCTCCTCTCAGAGGGATGTTTCCAACTTCAGAACAAAGGATGAAGAAGGCTGGTAGAGATTATGCCTCCTGCTTGACCTCCTGCCAGGTGTTGGCGGGATGGCATTGCTGGGCCATGGCAGCGTGTGGTCAGTGAGGGTTGTGCAGTAAGCCCCCTACTCTCTGAATGGAAGGAGGCACTCAGCACCGTCACTCTGACCCAGAGCCGTCCTTGCACTTCAACAATCATTTCTAAGCATTTTCTTAATGCCAGGCCCTGACCTAGATCAGGAAACAGACAGATGAATAAGACTAACCCTTGCCTACAGTTTAGTAAACAGCCCCTTAGGAAGCAACGTGGGGAGTGCCTGGGGCTCCTGGGAATGCAAAGGAGAGGCCCCCAGCACCATCTCCAAGGTGGGCACTGCTGGTGTGACTGGCACGAGCCTTCGTCTCCCTCCTCCCATCCCCCAACCCCAAAGGGGTAGCAGGAAGACCCACTGGGGGAGGGAAGCAGAGAGATTTGGCTCGAGGAGGGAGGAAATGAAATGGAGAACAGAGATAATTGTTCCCATTTGGCAACTTTTTCTAATTAGGGACCAATTATGTCCTTGGGTACCTAATTGGGGACCTGGTAGATTCTCTAATTTGCTAGGTAATTACTGGCCAGTAGTTCTACCAGCATGAAATTTGGGGGAAAAATACATGATCACAACAATTGAATTTTCTCTGTTTCAGACGCTTTGCCCAGAAGACAAGCTGGGTGCTCTGAGCTCTCTTTTGCCTCTGTTAACACCGCCTCCCGCCACCTGTCTCTCCTCAGGCTTCCACTGGGCTGTGTGCCCTTCCTGGTCGCTCAGCTCCAGGAGCTGGCAATCTAGCTGGAAACCATCAGCCAACACCACAGGGATATGGGGACATCTGTGTTTTTGTCTCCCTCGAATTCATCCAGCTTTTGGTAACATGGAATTACTAGGTGTGAGAAACTGTTCTAGGTAACACACATACACAGGCACAGACAGCTTTATTAAATTCCACAACCCACTGACATTGGCATCATTGTTAATCCCATTTTACAGATGAGAAAACTGAGGTACTAAGAGGTCAAGTTAAATATAGGAATTTACCCTAAAGAAATGATCCAAGATGTGCTTGAAGGTTTTATGTTCAAGGATGTCCATCATGGTGTCATTTACAACGTCCAACACAATCGGAGCTGGGGCAGATAGTCCGACCTTGAGTGCTCACACGCTATTCCATATTGTACCTTTCCATTAAATTGCTCTGCCTCAGTTCTCCTCTGTGAAATCATTCCTAACCACAATGCAATACCACCTTACTCCTGCAAGAATGGCCATTATCGAAAAATTAAAAAATAATCAAAGTTGGCGTGGATGTGGTGAAAAGGGAACATTTTACACTGTGGGCGAGAATGTAAACTAGTACAACCACTATGGAAAACGGTGTGGAGATTCCTTAAAGAACTGAAAGAACTGGCTGGGTGCAGTGCCTCATGCTTGTAATCCCAGCATTTTGGGAGCCTGAGGTGGGTGGATCACGAGGTCAGAAGATAGAGACCATCCTGGCTAACATGGTGAAACCCTGTCTCTGCTAAAAATACAAAAAATTAGCTGGGTGTGGTGGCACGTGCCTGTAATCCCAGGTGCTCGGGAGGCTGAGGCAGGAGAATTGCTTGAACCCAGGAGGCTGAGGTTGCAGTGAGCAGAGACAGCGCCATTGCACTCCAGACTGGGTGACAGAGCGAGACTCCATCTCAAAAACAAAACAAAACAAAACAAAACAAAACAAAACAAACAAACAAAAGAACTAAAAGAACTACCATTTGATCCAGGAGTCCCACTCCTGGGTATCTACCCAGAGGAAAAGAAGTCATTATACGAAAAATATACTTGGACACACATGTTTATAGAAGCACAATTCACAATTGCAAAAATGTGGAACCTGCCCAAATGCCCATCAGTAAACGAGTGGATAAAGAAACTGTGGCATATATATGATGGCATACTATTCACCCATAAAAAGGAATGAATTAATGGCATTTGCAGCAACCTGGAGGGATTGGAGATTATTATTCTAAGTGAAGTAACTCAGGAATGGAAAGCCAAACATTTTATGTTCTCACTTATAAGTGGGAGCTAAGCTATGAGGATGCAAAGGCATAAGAATGATACAATGGACTTTGGGGACTCTTGGGAAAGGGTGGGAAGGGGGTGAGGGATAGAAGACTAAAAATTGGTTCAGTGTATACTGCCTGGGTGATGGGTGCACCAGAATCTCACAAATCACCGCTAAAGAATTTACTCATGTAACCAAATACCACCTGTTCTCCAAAAACCTATGGAAATAAATTAAAAAAAAAGAACTAAAAACATGCTATGTACAGAAAGAAAGAAAGAAAAAAGTCTACTTCATAAAAAATAAAATGGCTTTATTGAGATATAAAGCCATTTATTGCACATATTTAAGTGTACAATTTGATAAGATTTGATGTATGTATCCACCCATGAAGCTATCACCACAGTCAAGATAGTGAACACATCCATTACCCCCAAAGGGTTCCTTATGATCCTTTGTGATCCCTCCCTTTTGTTTCTCCCTATCCCACCTCCAACCCCAGGCAACTACTGATGTGCTTTCTGTGCGATAGATTAGTTTGTACTGTTTAGAATTTCACAAAACTGGAATCATAGAGAACGCACCTATTTTTCTCTGGCTTCCTTTAGTAGGCATAATTAGTTTTGTCTGTGAATCTAATGAGATGCATAACTGAGACACATTCATGTTGTTGCATGTATCAGTATTTCTTTCCCTTTTAATGGCTGAGTAATATTCCATTGTATGGATATACCAGAATTTGTTTATTCATTCAAATTTAAAGACATTGGGTTGTTTAGAAGTTTGACTATTGTGAATAACACTGCTATGAACATTTGTCTACAAATATTTGTAGGGACAAGTGCTTTCATTTCTCTTCAGTAAATACCTAGGAGTAGAATGCCTGGGTCATGAGGTGGGTGTATGTTCAACTTTTTAAGAAATTGTTGGTCGGGCACGGTGGCTCACGCCTATAATCCCAGCACTTTGGGAGGCCAAGGCAGGTGGATCATGAGGTCAAGAGATCGAGACCATCCTGGCCAACATGGGGAAAACCCGTTCCCTAAAAATACAAAAAAAAAATTAGCTGGGCATGGTGGCACGAGCCTGTAGTCCCAGCTACTTGGGAGGCTGAGGCAGGAGAATCACTTGAACCTGGGAGGCGGAGGTTGCAGTGAGCCGAGATTGCGCCATTGCACTCCAGCCTGGCGACGGGGTGAGACTCCGTCTCAAAAAAAAAAAAAAAAGAAATTGCCAAAATGTTTTCAAAGTGATCATATCATTTTACATTCCCACTAACAATATATGAGAATTCCAATTCTTCCACAGCCTCAATAATATTTGGTGTGGTCAGTTTTTAATTTTGGCCATTCTAATAGATATATAGTGATATCTCATGGTGGGTTTAATTTTAATTTCCCTAATAACTAATGATGTCGAACATCTTTTCATATGTTTATTTGCCATCTGTATTTTTTCTTCGGGGAAGTGTCCAAATCTTTTGCCAGTTTTGTTGGGTTGCTTGTTTTCTTTATTGAGTTTTGAGAGTTCCTAATGCATTCTAGAAACAAATCTTTTATCAGATATCAAATCCTTTACCACTTTCCTGGTAAGGAGTTCAGAGAGCTCCTCCATTTTTCTCGCAGAGAAACTAATGCTAAGGGAAGGAAGTACATCAGTCAATACGTTTCCAGCTAAAAATAATAGAAAACCCAACTAAAGTGCTTAAGAATGATTCTATAACAGGATGTTCAGAGATAGTGTGGTTCCAGGGTTGGTTAATTCAGTGGTGAAGATGTCATAAGGAGTAGATAGTTTTCTTCTTTCCACTCTGGAGTCCTTGAGAGTTTGTCTTGACCTCTTAGACTGGCTACCTTCAATAGGCCCAAGGTGGCTCTTTTTTAAAAAAATTCATTCAAATAATATTTTTTTGAGCAGTTAAGGAGATACAAAGGTGATTTAAAACATGGCCAGAGGTGAGGCAAATGCACAAGTAATAGAAAGCAAAGGGCAAGTTTCACTGAATCACAGCAGTCAGAGAAAGTGCTTTTGGGAACCAAATTGTTTCCAGCCTGAAGAGCCATGGTGGCAAATCCAAAAAGGGGATTGAGATTAAAATAGAAGACTTCAGTCTGGATTGTTGGTGACACTCAGTATGGACTATATTTGTCTCTCCTTTTCCTGTCTCCCCATCTTTGGGCTTAATTTACCAGTAGTGCCCAGGACTGTTCCATGTGCTTTTTCTATACTTGCTTGCATTTTTGTTTTAATGTCTTCTACAGAACGAGGTCCTTTGGGTGTTTTAGGAGTCTTTTCCTGTTTTTTAAAGGATTCTTGTCCTTTTGATCTTGGTGTTGATGATGGTTTTGAGACTTTTCCATTCTGATCTGACTTTTGTGCATTTCTGGCTGGAGTGTCTTGTATAGATTTCTTCACTGGCGCTTCTTCAGTTTCCTCATCATCAAAATCATCTTCTTCATCATCATCATCATCATCTTCATCAGCAGCAAGTTTTACTTCTTTTCTGTGGAATCTTGCTACCACTTCCAGGGGCAGACTGCTTTCCAGATGTACTTAAGAGTTTCACATCCTCCTCCTCTTCACCTTCTGACTCTGCATCTTCCTCCACAGCTACTAAGTGCTGTCCACTAGCATGCACTGGCCCTGAACCACACTTCAACCATAAGGCCACTAGTGGTGTTATTTCAAAGCCCCCAAGGGAAACCATTGGTTGTGCAGACATTTTCAAAGTTGCCAGTGTGACTTTAATTGGACTGCCTTTGTAATTCATGGCCTCTGCTTCAACAATGTGCAATTCATCCTTTGCTCCAGCCCCTTAACTGACTGTTCTTAAAGATAACTGGTCTCATCTTCATCATTATCCGCCTTAAAATGATCATCTTTGTTGGCCTTTAGTTCACAACTGAAAAGATAGTTCTGGGACCTCAGTGGGCTCATGTCCATGTCCATCAAATCTTCCATCAGGTGGTGCCACGCACTTAGGTGGGAGAGAAGGCAGATGGAGATAAACGACCACTGCTGGAGAGAACAGCTGCACAGGACAGAGTCACACCAGGGTGGCTCTATTTTTATAATCAGAAAGTTATAAAATAATTTTCAAATATGTTATACCAGACTGTGACTTGTTTTTTCATTCTCTTAACAGTGTCTTTTGGAGAATAGAAGTTCTTAATTTTGATAAAGTTGAATCCATCAATTTTTTAAAAAGATCTGTGCTTTTGTTGTTCCATCTAAGAAATACGTAGCAAACCCAAAGTCACAAATATTTTTCTTCTTTGTTTCTTCTGGAAGTTTTATAGTTTTAGATTTTGCACTTAGGCCTATGATCCATTTTAAGTTAATTTTTGCGTATGGTGCAAAGTATGGTTCTCTCTCTCTTTTTTTTTTTTTTTTTTTTTTTGCAGATGGATAGCCAATTGTGCTAGGACCATTTGTTGAAAATATGATCTTGCTCCATTAAATCATCTTGTCACCTTTGTTAAAAATAAATTGATCAAGGCCGGGTGCGGTGGCTCATGCCTGTAATCCCAGCACTTTGGGAGGCTGAGGCTGGTGGATCATTTGGGGTCAGGAGTTCGAGACCAGCCTGGCCAACATAGTGAAACCCTATCTCTACTAAAAATACAAAAACTTGGCCAGGCGTGGTGGGTCATGCCTGTAATCCCAGCAATTTGAGAGGCCGAGGCAGGTGGATCACCTGAGGTCAGGAGTTCAAGACCAGCTTGGCCAACCTGGTGAAACCCTGTCTCTGCTAAAAATACAAAAATTAGCTGGGCATGGTGGCAGGCGCCTGTAATCCCAGCTACTCAGGAGGTTGAGGCAGGAGGATGAACCCAGGAGGATGAACCCAGGAGGCGGAGGTTGCAGTGAGCCGAGATGGCACCATTGCCCTCCAGCCTGGGTGACAGAGCGAGACCCTGTCTCAAAAAAAAAAAAAAAAAAAAAAAAAAATATATATATATATATATATATATATATATATACAAAAAATTAGCCAGGCATGGTGGTGGTGTACACCTGTAGTCCCAGCTACTTGGGAGGCTGAGGCAGGAGAATCACTTGAACCTGGGAGGCAGAAGTTGTAGTGTGCCAAGATGGCACCACTGCACTCCAGTATGGGCAACAGAGTGAGACTCTGTCTCAAAATAATAATAAAAGAAAATAAATTGATCATATATGTATGGGTCCATTGCTGGACTTTCTATTCTGCAAATCTATTTGTCTGTCTTGATTACTGTAGCTTTATAAATCAGGTAGTATAAGTCTTCCAAACTTCTTCTTTTTCAGAGTCTTTTGGCTCTTCTAGGTCCTTTTTCTCGCCACATAAATTTTAGAATCAGCTTATTGACTTCCACGTAAAATCCTGCTGGATTCTGACTGGGATTGCACTGATATAGATCAATTCTGGAGAGAATTGACATTTTCACAATATTGATTTTTTTATTAATAAACCACAGTATATCTTTCCATTTCTTACTTAATTCCGCTCAGCAATATATTTTACTTTTCCAGTGTACCCAGTCTTACACATCTTTTTTCAGATTTATTCCTATTTAATAGTGTTTGATGCTATTATAAATGTTTTTACAAGTAATTTTGGATTGACTAGCAGTTTATACATTTTATCGATTTTTCTCAGAGAATAAGCTTTTAGTTTCATTCATTTGATTTATTGTTAGTCTGTTTTCTATTTCATTGATTTCTGCTCTGTTCTTCAATGTTTGTTTTCTACTTATTTGGGGGATTATTTGCTTTTCTTTTTCTAGTTTTGTCAGGTAGAAGTTTTGATCATTGATTTGAAACCTTTCTTTTTTCTAATAAAAAGATTCTGTGGTATAAATTTCCCTCTAACTACTGTTTTAGCTGCAAACTACAATTATTTATTTTATTTATTTATTTATTTATGTATTTATTTGAGATGAAGTCTCACTCTGTTGCCCAGGCTGGAGTGCAATGGCACGATCTCATCTCACTGCAACCTCCACCTCCCAGGTTCAAGCGATTCTCCTGCCTCAGCCTCCTAAGTAGCTGGGATTACAGGTGCATGCTACCACACCTGGCTAATTTTTGTACTTTTAGTAGAGATGTGGTTTCACCATGTTGGCCAGGCTGGTCTCAGACTCCTGCCCTCAAGTGATCTGCCTACCTTGGCTTCCCAAAGTGCTGGGATTATAGGCATGAGCCACCGTGCCTGGCTACAACCTACAAATTTTGATATGCTGTGTTTTGCTTTTATTTTCATTCTGCCCAAAATATTTCTTGGCGTGTGGTGGTGGTGGGGGTAGAAAGCCATGAAAAGGCCTCCCTCCTGCAACCCTGCGCCTGCACCCCGGACTGCCCCCTCCTCTGCAGGGCCCCCACTTTCTCCTTCCTTTCCCTGCAGCTGGATGCTGGGGCTTTGGCAGCAACCCTGCCGGCCCAGGCTGGATCTGGAGACTACAGAACTACAGGGTGATCCTGGCTGGGAATGTGTATGGTGAGGGCCTTTCAGAAGATGGGGCTCAAGTGGGACTTTCAGGAATGTGCAGACACTGTAGTCACTCAGGGGCTCCAAGCTTCCAGAACTGGGATGTCAGCAGGCTTCGTGAAAATGATTCTAGTGGTCTTCTTGCTTTGCAAGGCAGAGGATCTGATGGGGCCCCATCTTAGTCCACTTGGGCTGCTGTAACAAATGAGTGGCTTATAAACAACAAAAATTTATTCCTCACATTTCTGGAGGCTGGAAGTCTGAGGTCAAGTGTCAGCATAGCCAGGTTTTGGTGGCGACTCTTTTCCCAGTTGCAGATGGCTGTCTCTCACTGTATCCTCATGTGGTGGAAAGCAGAGAGCTTGCTCTCTTCCTCTTCTTATAAGGATGCTCATCCCATCATAGCGATCCACCCTCATGACCTAATTACCTCCTGAAGGCGCCACCTCCTAATACCATCCTATGATGGCTTGGTGTGTCAACATACGAATTTTGAGGGACACAAACATGTGCACCGCAGGCCAGTTGGCCATTGTGTCTGTCATTTGCCTATGTATCCTCAGACACATTCCTTGCCCTTTGTCTGATCTGCTCTGCCCTGCCCTGCCCTACAGGGATGATGGCCCTTGCAGCCTCTGTTTCTCGGGCTCTTATTTCAGCTGGCTTCCATCTGAGTTCAGCCAGTGGGGCCACTGGAGGGAGTTCACAAGCTAGAAGGAAGGGAGAAGCCAGGGAATTTGTCTCCCTTTCTCTGCCTTGGGTGGGCTCTCCAGAAGCAGCTGTCTCCTCTGTGGCTCCAGCTTCCCCAGGCCGCCTTCCACAATCACAGATTCTGCTAGGCAGCCCCCTCACCACTGTGGTTTTAGCTCTTTCCACATGGTTCTGGCTTCTGGGCTCTGGTAACACCTAACACTACCTCCTCCTATTTTCTCCCTATCCCTTATTGGTATTGCTAATCTCTGGGGTGCCTCATCATACCATTGGCATCTTGGTTCTTCCATCATTCATGTAACCTATTCCCTGTATCAACAGCCTCCCCCACCACACACACACACACACACACACACACACACACACACACACACACACAATTTGGAATACGCTGAATTGTCCTAACTGGCTCCAACTGATAGATTCATCATCCAAAATGGAATACCCCCTTTGGCTAGAGTTTTAGGAAAAGATCCCCAAGAGGTGGCAGGCCTCCTTTATGGCTCAGCCACACATCTGCAGTCCAAGTTCAAGGTATTATCAAGTTCAGGGATGCCACATTGTCCCACTTCAAGGGGCACCATTCATATAGAATTGAAGCCCTTCTCTGGGTAGCAGGATTGCTTTCACTTAATATACTGGCAAGATGCAAGGCAGATTTTAGTAGGAAGAATCACTTGGGGCCGGGCACGGTGGCTCATGCCTGTAATCCCAGCACTTTGGGAGGCCAAGGTGGGCAGATCACCTGAGGTCAGGAGTTCGAGACTAGCCTGGCCAACATGGTGAAACCCTGTCTATACTAAAAATACAAAAATTAGCCAGGTGTGGTGGCAGGTGCCTGTAATCCCAGCTACTCAGGAGGCTGAGGCTGGAGAATCACTTGAACCCAGGAGGTGGAGGTTGCAGTGAGCCAAGATGGCGCTGCTACACTCCAGCCTGGGGGACAAGAGTGAAACTCCGTCTCAAAAAAGAAAACAACAAAATCACTTGGGGCCTCTGTCTTTCGGGGAATGAGATGTGTCTTGAGCATCTGTTTTTGTTTTGTCCTCCCAATGCTTCCACAGTATACCCCACACTTTGGGAGCTGCTCCTCTCCTCCTCCATGTGGTTCTGATGAATCCATCAATTACCAAAGCTCCTTCTCCAGCAGAGGTAAACAGATGACCCAGGCTTGACCAATCGATGTATCCAATGAAACACTGATTTACCCAGAGGATGGGCATGTGATCCCAGAGAGCCATCCAGCATCCTGTCCTGGGATTGAGAAACTATGCAAAGGGTCCTTTCTCTCACCAGGGTTGCCAAGATCTCTGGTTTCTGTTCACCTTGTTTTCTTCCCACCCACCAATGTGGAGGAGATCTATCTTCAATAGGAGACATTGAGGCCATCACACAGGGAATCTCAGAGTTGAGACAGAAGGAAGAAGACAGAGAGAATCCCAGAGGCACTGGGTCCCCAGCTCCCATCCTGATTCCTGAAGCTCTTTCTTTAATTTTACAAATACCAGAGTGTTCCTTCCAGCCATGAGCGCCAATAAATTCCTTTTGTGCTTAAGTTGGTTTGCACAGGATTTCTGTCACTAACATGGTAGACACAGGGCTCTCTGAATTCCTTACCAGGAAAGTGAGACTTTAGGACAACCCCTCCATTCGTCTCACAGAGAAACTAATGCCAAGAGAAGGGAGTGCATCAGTCAGTAGGTTTCTAGCTACAAATAGTAGAAAACCCAATTAAAGTGGCTTAAGAATGATTCTATCACAGGAAGTTCACAGGTAGTGTGGCTCCAGGGTTGGCTAATTCAGGGGTGAAGGTGTCATAAGGAGTAGATAGTTTTCTTCTTTCCACTCTGGAGTTCTTGGGAGCTTATCTTGACATCCTAGACTGGCTCCCTTCAATAGGTCCAAGGTGGCTTGTTCTGTCTGGGTTATGGACAACAACCACTTAGGGCAGAAATGGGAATGTCCCTGTCTGATGTCCTAGAAGCCTCTGGAGAGTTTTATGTTTCATTGGCCAAGATGGTGTCACATGCTCATTCCTAAACCAGGCACTGACGGGGGGATGAGACCACCATGGTTGGCTTAGAGCAATCATGGTTCATCCCCTGGAGTTGGGGTCTGCTCTCTTTGAATCTCATGGCTGCTTGGAGAAGAGTAAACTAAATCAGGAGTCTGTTAAAAAAAAAAAAAAAAAGGAAGAAGGCGAGGCACAGTGGTTCATACCTGTAATCCCAGCATTACGGGAAGCTGAGGTAGGAGGATCCCTTGGGCCCAGGAGTTCAAGACCAGCCTGGACAACATAATGAGACTCCATCTCTACAAAATATAAAAAAGTAGCTGGGTGTGATGGTGCATGCCTTAGTCTCAGCTACTTGGGAGGCTGACGTGGGAGGATCACTTGAGCCTGGGAGGTTGAGGCTGCAGCATCACTGCACTCCAGCCTGAGGAACAGAGAGAGATTTTGTCTCAAAAAAAAAATAAAATAAAATAAAAAAAGAAGAGGCAAATGGCTGTTGGGTAGGGTAGTTGAGACAGCTAGCTGTCCCCTCATATCTAGTCACCCTTTCTTCCACAGTAATAGAAATTTCAGCTGGGCATTTGGCCACCCAGAATAAAGATGACATTTTCTAGCCTCCTCTTATGGTTTGGCTATGTCCCCACCCAAAATCTCATCTTGAATTGTAATCCCCATAATCCCCATAATCGCCACGTGTCAAGGGTGGGACCAGGTGGAGTCAATTGGATCATGGGGGCAGTTTCTCCCACGCTGTTCTTGTGATAGTGAGTGAGTCTCCCAAGATCTGATGATGAACATGTAAGCATCTGGCATTTCCCCTGCTTGCACTCACTCTGTCCTGCCGCCTGTGAAGAAGGTGCCTGCTTCTCCTTTGCCTTCTGCCATGATTGTAAGTTTCCTGAGGCCTCCCCAGCAGTGCGGAACTGTGAGTCAATTACCCTTTAAAAATCTTTTATTTATAAATTACCCAGTCTTGGGTGTTTCTTCATAGCAGTGTGAGAATGGACCAATACACCTCCTTTGCAGCTGAACGTGGCCATGTGACTAAGTTCTGGCTAATGGGAAGCTTGCAGAACTTTCACACAGTGGCTTCCAGGAATCTTCTTGAAGAGGGCTCTGACATGAACCTTCTAAACAGGACAGGGGCTGAAACGCATCTTCTCTATGTGGTTTGTTCCCACCTTCACCTCACACTGAAGCTCATCCCCTGTGGCTGGCCCGGGTAGTAGAGTCCAAGGTAGAGGAGGTGGGGAGGGGCTCTGTGGCAGACCCTGGGGCTGAGTCCCCAAAGGTAGCCCCCTTTCTCCCTGCCCAGCAGTGAGTTGGGTTTGTCTGGCCATCAATCATCACTCCCCTTGGTGGGTGAGGGCAGGTTCTGCCAATGCCTGCCTGTTCGCTGGTCCTTCTCAGGGAGGGACACCCTGGCCCCCTTCTGCCTCTGGGGGCTTTTCTTCCACAGCCCAGCAGGCTAGGAGCGCTGGAGAACACTCCCTGCTGGGAACGGTCCCCAACCGGCAACCATGGGTTTGCTGTGTAAATATCGCAGTTCCCTCAGAAGCACGTGTCCAGTTGCCCACAGTGGTAACCAGCTTGATAACACTCCTCACTCCCCTACTGGTGTTTCCTGGAACCCCCTCGTAAGCAAATTATTTGCACTTCAATTCTTGTCTAGAGTCAGCTTCTGGAGGAGTCCAACCTAAGAAGGAATATGATCCAGTGTGGGCAAAGATGTAAGTAGAAGCCTGTTGGGGCTTCTGGAAATCGTTCCCTCCCTGCTCTGGTAAAAGGTGAGGGAGGAGAAGTCCCCCTTTTCCATCTGCCTTTTTTTTTTTTTTTTTTTTTTTTTTTTGAGACAGAGTCTCGCTTGTTGCCCAGGCTGGAGTACAGTGGTGTGATCTCGGCTCACTGCAACCTCCGCCGGGTTCAAGGGAGTCTTGTACCTCAGCATCCCAAGTAGCTGGGATTACAGGCATGCACCACCATGCCCAGCTAATTTTTTGTATTTTTAGTAGAGACGGGGTTTCGCCATGTTGCCTAGGCTGGTCTTGAACTCCTGAGCTCAGGCAATCCACCTGCCTCAGCCTCCCAAAGTGCTAGGATTACAGGCATGAGCCACTGCACCCAGCCCACCTGCCCTTTTTGTTCTCGAGGGATGCCATGTGTAAAGACACAACGCTTGGGGCTGTAGTAGCCATTTTGTGACTAGGAGGGGAGCCATGGACAACATTCTGGGCATGATGGAGCAGGAGGTTGGAAGCCAGGATCCTTGATGGTGTCTTGGAGTTTCCTGATCAGCTCAGGGCTCACCCACTTCCGCATTTCTAGTTAAGGAGACAATAAATGTCCTTACAGTTGAGGCCATATTTATTTGGGTTCTTTGCTGCTTGCTGCCGAACACATCAATATTGATACAAGCTTTGTCCCAGAGGTGTTACCTTTGAAATCAGGTCCTCCCACTACTACCTTGAGCCCTTGGGGTAGAGCGGGAGGCAGAGGGGGGCACAGGCTTGAACTCCACAGGTGGCTGAGGGCCAGGGGTCCTGGACGGGAGAGGAACATGGGGGAAGCTAGTGTCTGGGGTCCCAAGAATAGGGGATGGGGAGGGCAAGAAAGTCAGTCCTCCATTAATCCGGGCCAAGAGGACCATTGTTATTGTTATTAGCACGAAGCATCTCGAGGCTCACACTCGTCCTGGCCTGGCTGGGCCCCCCTAATGGTCCCATAAATCCCAGCCATAAAGAGTAATGGGGGGAGACAAATGAGATAATTAGGAATAAATCTCAGCGCAGTCTCTATTCATCAGCGTCCCTAGAACTGGCCAATCTTCCGAGCCATTAGCCAGGTCCTAATTAATGCTGAGCTGCCCAGCTCTGCGGAGGCTCCATGCCTGGGAGGGATCCGGGCTAAGGGGCACCACTGCCCCCACAGCCCACAGCGGGCGACCTTGGGAGGGGCCGGGGGCTGTGTGCCTTCAGCCTGCTGCTTCACCTTTCCGTCTCCAAGGGCCTTAGTTTGTCCGCACCCTCCTGTCTGCCTCCTTGTCTCTGTCTCCTTTTGTTCATCTTACTCCATCTCCCCGACTACCTTCAATCCCGTGTTTCTCTCTTATCAGATGGCCGCAGTCTATGTTGTTAGCTATGGAAGATCTGAGTTAGAAGGAATTGTGGGACCACCTGTAAAAACTCTCCACCATCTGTCCTTTCTGCCGCCCTGTCAGTACCTGGGCAGGGACCTAATCTACACTGGCTCCCCCAGAACAGTCCTTGGAACAGGGATGACCCCAGCCCTGCCCCCTGCTGTGGCTGTCCATCTTTCCTGGGGCAGTTCTTGCTAGCAGAGTATTCTCTCATTCCTGGAGCTGGGAATGCTCTTTCTGTTATGTCTGCTTCTCGGTCTTACCCCTACCTGCTGGAGGCTGAACATAAGCCGCACTCTACTCAAGCTCCAGGTACTTGAAGGCCATTCTTGCCTTCTCTTCTCCAGCCAAATGTGCTGAGCTGCACTCGACAACTTGAGGTTTCCAGCTGGGTCTCCTCTACTCAGGGACTTCTCTGTACCACCCGTGGTAGTCTGACCCCACGGTAACTTCTGTTGTTTTAATCTGTTAGCTTTCCCCTCGTTTTTCTTATAACACCCCTACCTCTTTGGGAGGTTTCCCTTCCTTGATTCTATCAGGGTCTGGAGGGGTGGCCAAGTAGCCCACTCTCCCAGGCCACAGAGGCAGCACACGATGAGGCCTGGCCAGCCACAGCCCTCCGTCCCCTGGCACCGTGATTGGCTCAGGGATGAGCCTGCTGATGTGCGGGGCCAATCAGAGTGCCTCCCTGGCCTTTGCTATGTGGCCCCAAGGCAGTAGAACTGAGACGGTGCCAGGTGGACCGTGTGTCTACCCCTTCCCACTCCACATGTATCTGTCTGCAGTAGGAGGAAATGTGCCCCGCACCCAGAAAGAAGCAGACCCGGAGATGGCAGGGATTGTGAACTGGACGGTGGCTACGGCCTGGGGGAAAGCGGTGAAACCAGGTGAGAGGCGAGGAAGGGCTGGGAGATGGCTTTTCTCCAGAGGAGGCTGAGGTGATGAAAGGGCTGTGACTGCGGCTGCCATCCCATACCGTGTGTCCTCACCAGCCTAGGAAAGTCAGAGCACAGAGGAGCATCTGCACAGAGATGACAAGGGACCGGCTCTGTGAGCTCTGTCCCCATGACTCGCTACTCCCCCACTGTGGCCTGAGCCTCCTGTCCCTGCTTCTCCCTCACCTCTCTTTGCCCAGGGCCAGCCCCAAGGACGACTAAGCTGTTTTCCAGCTCGGTCAACAAGTGGAGTCCCGCTGCCCCCTGCTCAGCCCTGGGATTGTGTGCAGCAGTTGGCCTGAAAACCCCAGAGACCAGCCCCAGCCCCCACAACCGGACCATCACCCTGGGGAGCAGGTGAAGCTGTTGAGGGTGATGGCACGGGGCAGGGATGGACCTGCTCAGCCCAGTGTCAGAACTGCTTAGCGGTGTTCTGTCCTGGCAGCTCTGGAGCCATGGAGGCCATGGGGCCTGAAGCTCAGTTTGCCCCGCTCTGAGTATGAGAACAGGCTATGCCAGTTAAAGTTCCAAATACAGGGAGAAGCTGATGGAGACTATGGAGGCAGAGGGGTCCGGCTGATTGCCCTCCCCTCACAAACCACCCCCTGGTTCAGCTACTTGCTCTGCCGTGGGGCCACCCCTCTTAGGTTTGGCGCACAAGATCACTGAGTGGTCATGGACAGTACTAGCCACAGATGGCTAAACTTGGCCTCACCACCTTCTCTCCCACAAGCAGGGGGTGCTTGCCTTGGTTTAGACAACCCAGGGGGCGGGGTGGCCTCTTAAGATGTCTCCCAGGCAAAAGTGGCCTGATCTGCTGCTCCAAAGATGAAAGAAGACTGGAGAGAGGCAGGTGTTCCCTGGACACTGTGGCTGCAGTCTACCCACTCTTCCGTCGTACACACAGGCTTGGGGAGGAAAGGGCCTCTTTCCCGGGGCCCACAGCACAGCCAGGCCTAAAACTGTCTCCTGGCTCAGCCCAGCCGTTGGAAAGCAGAGCCTGGGAGCCTGTGGTAGACCATGAGGAGAGGGAAGGGCCCAGAGCCAGGGCTTTTGCCATTTGCTGCCCGGCAGGGATCAGGGCCACCTGGGCAAAGACAGGGAGGTGAGGAAGGCAGGGCAGGTGTGGGACGAAGCTTGAATGGATAGGCATGAGTCTCCACAGCCCAGCCTCAGGCTGGCCAGGGGTGGCGGCGGCTGCAGGCTGTGAAATGTGTGAGTGTGTGTCCGTGTGTGGGTAGATGTGGTGTGAGTGTGTGTGTGGTGCGGGTGATGGAATGCATGAGCCTGCGGAATGTATGTGAGTACGTGACTGTATGGAAAGTCTGTGTGAGTGTATGTGTGTGTGCATACAGGTGTGAAGTGTGTGTGTGTGTGAGTGTGTGAGTGTGTGTGTGTGTGTGTGTGTGTGTGTGTGCTGGGGGGCTGGCTAAATCCTTCCCCTGTCCCGCCCCAACCCAGCTTAGCCTCTAGGGTTTCAGCCACTGTCCTAAAGAAAACAGCCTGGAGCCTGCAGCAGGAAATCGCTGTTTGGATTGCAGAGGCGCCTCTTCCTGCCACAGCCCTGCGGAGCAGGGAGGGCCAGGAGCAGGCCTTCCTGCCCACCTGGACCAGATATCGAGCTGGTCAGGAGCCCCTTCACCCCCTGATCTGGCCTCCCTAACGCCCTTCAGACCCCAGCCTTGAGGACTGAATGGGAAACCCTCCCACCGTTGTCTCTCGAGGGCAGTGGGAGAAGTGGATGCCCCCGAGGCTGAGTGAGCCGAGGCTGGAACACCCTCACAGAGGAAAGCCAGGCAGTCCTGTCAATGGTAGGTCCAGCAATCCCACATTCACGAACATTCTGCCGATACAGCTCATTCATGCAAAAGGGTGTGCCTCGCTCAGCCTGGTTTGTACCAAAGCGCTTGAGAGCGGATTAAGCAGAGCTGGGGGTCCCTGGACTGTGGCGCATCCATCCAGGGCAACTCAGCCAGCTCTCCATGTGCTGGGAAGGAAGCTCCCCAAGACATGGCCAGGTGGGAAAAACAGGGTACAGTGCAGTGTGTACAGGATCCTCACATCTTCGTAAAAAAAGAAAACACATACATGTAAATGCTTGTGTGTGCACAGATCAGACTTTCAAACCTTCCGTACCTTGGGCAGGCAATAACTAAGAAAATATATAAAAATACGCACAAATAGATACATGAGTGCTGGGGGTGCCTCGGGGACCCTCTACCGGCTTGATTGTGAGACCCCAGGCAGGTCCCTTCCTCTCTGTGTCCTGAATTTCTTGTGTGCTCTCAGAGGTCAGAAAACCTTGAAGCTGGTGAAGTGAGGCGTGTGTGCGTGGAGATGGAGTGGGGAGGGGGTGGGGGGCTAGTTTGCGTTGCCTGTTAGAACCTCCTCCTCCTGCTGCAATGAAACCCACTCCCAAGGCCATAGGCTGCTCCCTCCTGTGACATTCCTTAAGAGAGTTTGGATTTCATCTGGCCCTTTTCCCCAGTCCCCACTCCTTCCTTCCAGAATCCCTCGGAACCACTCCAAGCCTTCATTCCTGGAAGCAGTGCCCACTAATACCCCTGCAGCCCCCGTCTCAAGGCCTTCATCAGCTGAGTGTTCTCCAAGTTGCCCCAACTGTCCCAGAGCCTCTCATGCCCCCTGGACCTCTCCTGGCCTCCTCCAGGTCCAGGATATGTGTGGGGGGTGCTGGTCCAGCTGCCCCCAGTGCGGCCCTGCGATCCTCACAGCCGCCATTGCTTCTCAGGCCCTTCCCTCTGCACTCCAAGGCCGCCCCACAGATGGCCGTAGGGGCCCATGCAGTCCTGACAAGGCTTCCTTCTTTCTCAGACGCCTGGCAATAGGGGGATGCCTGAGGCTGGGTGTGTGACCCCCACTGGGCCTCCAGTGAAGCCCAGGGGCAAGTCTGGGCTGCCCCAGGCCTGGAGTAGCCCCCTCCCAGGCACCCCTCTGGCACTGTCATGGGCATCACCTATGCCTTGGAGCGACTTCATGGGATAGAGCTGGAGAAGCTGAAGTCAGCAGGAGATTAATTAATCAAAACCCGAACACATCTGCTGTTAATTAATTCCATGCCAAGGTTAACTCTTCCCTCTGGGCTTCCCCTCCCCTTGGTGGGAAGAAGGAAATAATGGTGGGAGACAGCACCCCCTTAACCTTCTTCCCTTAGTGGGAAACATGAAGAAGGGAGGGGAACGTGAAGGGCAGGGCAGTTTCTGGGGTAAGAAAGCAGAAGAGGCAGGGCCCCCAGAGGGCAGGGCAGCCTCACCCATGTGGGTGCTTTTTAGCGGTGGTAGGGGGCGTTTGCTTTTGAGAGTCAGGGTCCATGGCAATTAGTCATGAGTCCTGAGGAAATCTGAGATGGACAAATATCTTTATTTACAGCAACAGATAGAACAGACCCTCCCTCCCTTCCCTTCCTTTCCCCTTCCAGTCTTTTCCATACTGTTCCCCCTCCCGCCCCACCCCAGGCTCTCGCCTAGCCCTGCCCTCTGGGGTCACTGCGTGGGTTAGGCCCCCAAAAAAGCCTAGGAAAGGAGACTGGAGAGGGCTGGCTGAGGGTGGGTGGGGCGTCTCTTCACATTTTTCTGTCCTCTAAGCCTGGGGTGGAGGAGAGAGGCAGGCACCAGGAGCAGGGAGAGGTAGAGAGCTACGGCCCCACCGGCCCACCCTCCCCAAGTAACTTTCACAGTGTTCCCCAGCCCTGGCTGCCCCCTGCGGTCCCCACCCCAGCCCTGCCCCTAGGTTGTCCTGTCAGGTCCTCAGCAATGTATGAACCTGGTAACCCAGTAAAGAGTTCAGGCTTCTCTGCCATGGGCCCACCACCCACGGCTGAGGAGGTGGCCCCTCTGAGTGCCCCCCACTATTTTCAAGGCTGGGGTTCTGAGAGGACATGGGTGGGTAGGAGAGGACCAGGGAGAGGGGGCTTCTCAAGCCTTGTGTGACAGTCCTGGGCCTGGCCCCACTCAGAGGGACCCTGCTGGAATCTGCAGGGGCGCCAGGCTGGCTTAGCCCCCGACAGAGGCTCAGGAGGAGAAGCAGAGCCCACAGCACTCCATGCAGATCTCCAGGCAGTCCGCGGACTCGCAGCAGGCATCCAGGATGCCGCAGTCCAGGTCGCAGGGCAGGTCGCAGTCGGCACACTCGCCAGAGCCACAGCAGCAGCAGCAGAGGCACGAGTCCTCCGAGCTGCAGGAGCCACAGGTGGCGCAGTCCAGGACGATGTTGCACAGCGTCAGGAACTCGCAGAACAGGCAGGACAGGATGCAGTGGACACAGCAGTCTGCGGGGTGGCGGTGGAGAGGGGGACGGGTGAGAGAGGGGAGGGATGAGCGTGTGTGAAATAGCCGGGGGTGTGGGGGCCTGCGGCAGCGGCAGCAGCAGGGACGCTGAGTGTTCACTGTGTGCCTGAAGCTCACGAATCCGTCCCCACAGCTCCATTTTCTAGGTGATGACCCCGAGGCACAGACAGTTAAGCACATCGGAGCGGGCAGTCTGGATCATCCTTGCTCTTAGCCACCCTCTGTTTATTTGTTTAACCAACATATGGAGTGATACATGTTCTTGGCACTGTTCTGAGTGCTGTGCATGAATTACATTCATTTAGGCCTCCAATGAATCTATGAGGCAGGGGCCTTTACTAGCCCCACTCTACAGATGAAGAGACTGAGGTTAAGAGAAGTCGGCCGGGCCCAGTGGCTCATGCCTGTAATCCCAGCTCTTTGGGAGGCCGAGGTGGGCGGATCACCTGAGGTTAGGAGTTCGAGACCAGCCTGGCCAACATGGCGAAATCCCATCTCTATTAAAAATACAAAAAATTAGCTGGGCGTGGTGGCACACGCCTATAATCCCAGCTACTTGGGAGGCTGAGGCAGGAGAATCGCTTGAACCCAGGAGGTGGAGGCTGTAGTAGTGAGCCGAGATCACACCATTGCACTCCAGCCTGGGCAACAAGAGCTGGACTCTCTCTCAAAAAAAAAAAAAAAAAAAAAAGAGAGGGAGAGTAGTTAAGTCTACACCCAGAATCCTACCACCTGGCTCATCTCTCACCTGGACACCTTCGACAGCCTGCTTACTGGTCTCCCTTTGACCACTGCCACCTGGCATCTCCACTCCACACCGCAGCCAGAGGGATCCTTTAGAAATACCTGTTGGATCCTGGCCCTCCTCTGCTCAGACCCCTCCCATGGTTCACATGTCGCTTGTGATAAAAGCTGAAATCTTTGAAGTGGCCTCTGAGGCCCCCTGTAGTGTGGTCCCTGTGCCCTCTTAGTTCTCTTCTCCCACTCTTCTCCTCCAGATCACTCTGCTCTGGCCACGCCAGCCTCCTGGCTGCTCCTTGGCCATGCAGGCGCTGATTCCTCTGCCTGGAACAATCTTGCCACAGGCACGTGCTTGGCTGAGTCCCTCATCTCCTTCTTTGCCCAAATGCCACCTCTCACCGAGGCCTTCCACCACCCGCTTCAATACCGCAACCGGCTGGCTCTGCCTCACACTCCCTGCCCGGCCCTACCTGACTGCCTTCTTCTTCCCTCAGAGGACATCGCCTCCCACTGTACTACACGGTTTCCTCATATTCATTGTCATCTCCTTCTACCGGATATGTAAGCTCCAGCAGGGCAGGCATCTTTGCCCATTTTGTTCAATGAAAGATTACAAGTCCCTAGAACAGCGCCAGACACATAGAGGTGCTCAGTGAATAGAATAGAAATGCATGAAGCTGCGCTGGGCACCAGCTGGGAGGTGGTGGAGCTGGGACTTGAATCCAGGCTGCTGGCTCTAGAACCCACGTCCTGCAGCCCTCCGTGTGCTGGGGCCAGGCCATGGGGCAAAGCGTGCAGCTCTCCTGGCCAGGGGGCCCCCTGGGAGGTTCACTGTGCTGTGGAGGGTCTAACCCTGTTCTCCTGCATTCCTGTGTGGAGGGAACTAGGGTCTTGTGATCTCTCTCCAAACTGGATAGGGTAGTTATCTTCAAACGTAAATCTAATGAGGTGACCACCTTGTTTAAAACCCTTCAGTGGCTCCCTACTGCTCTCCAGATAGTCTAGGCTTACTGCCTGGTTGGTAAGGACCTCCCAGGACCCCTGCCTGCTAGGAGTCTCACCTTTGGCAGTTCACCCTCCAGCCACACTGGCCATTTCTCAGCTCTGTGCGCATGCTCTCCTGGCTGGAGCCTCCTTCTGGTCTTTTAAGGCATGTTCAGACATCACCTCCAAGCCTTCCCAGGATTCCCTCCCCAGATTTCTGGGCTGGTGTGAGTGGTCCCCCTGTGTTTGCGTAATCCTCTGCATGAGTTTATCATTGCACTTATCACATCGTATGGCGATTACCTATCTACGTCTCTCATGAGAGCTTTATGAGGTCATGAACCAGGTTTCCAGCACATAGCAGGTGCCTAGGACATTTCATTTTATTTTTCTTTGAGACAAAGTTTTGCTCTTGTTGCCCAGGCTGGAGTGCAATCTCGGGCACGATCTTGGCTCACTGCAACCTCCGCCTCCGGAGTAGCTGGGATTACAGGCGCCCACCGCCACGCCTGGCTAATTTTTTGTATTTTTAGTAGAGACAGGGTTTCACCATTTAGACAAGGCTGGTCTTGAACTCCTGACCTCAGGTGATCCACCTGCCTCGGTGGATCCCAAAGGGCTGGGATTACAGAAGTGAGCCAACGTGCCTGGCCAGGACATTTTAAATGAATAAATGGCTCCTTCATAAATAAGACTGTTGGGACTGGGCTTGGTGGCTCACGCCGGTAATCCCAGAACTTTGGGAGGCCGAGGCGGGTGGATCACCTGAGGTCAGGAGTTCGAGACCAAGCTGGCCAATATGGCGAAATCCTGTCTCTACTAAAAATACAAAAATTAGCTGGGCGTGGTGGGACGCGCCTGTAGTTCCAGCTACTCAGGAGGCTGAGACAGAAGAATCGCTTGAACCCGGGAGAAGGAGGTTGCAGTGAGCCAAGATTGCGCCACTGCGCTCCAGCCTGGGCGACAGAGCAAGACTCCATCTCAAAAAAAAAAAAAAAAAAGGAAAAAGACTGTTGGGCAGAATCTGCTTTGCAGAGTGGGAAGGTTTCTGAGCATGTTATGTGCAAGTGTGTTTTGCAGATGCCCAGGCCAGGGTCCCTTCACATGGACAGGAATCACTGGAACATTCTGAGGTAAAGGTCAGGCCATCACTGAGCTCAGGCAGCTGTTGGCCATGTTCAATTGATGGCTGATGAGGAGGGGACTGGCTGCCCCTGTGGCCCTGCAGAGGATCTTTGTGTTGTAGGCACATCGGCTGGTTGGGTGTCTGGATCCTCTGACCTCCTACTGCACCTTGCAGCCCTGCCCTGGCACCATTTTATTCTGCTACATGTTCTTTTTTCCTCCCTTAACAGAAAATTTCTGTTTCCAGAAACAGAGTGGCTTAAGATGGATCAACCCAGGTGGCTCCGTTCCTTGTCACAGCAACTCTGGGAAAGAAGGGATGGGGAGGGGTTTGGGGTGGGGTGGGGAGGTGGCCTTGAGAAGGCAGGTACACCTTTACCCAACGGGTGTACTTTGCAAGGTTCTAAGATTTGGTCATGCGTCAGGTTCCCTGCAGGGCTTGTTAAGCTCCACCAGAGATTCCAATCCAGTAGGCGTGGAAGGAGGCTGAGATCCTGCATCTCTAAGTAACAGCCTGGTGAAGGTGCTCCAGTGGGCCCATGCGTCATGCTTCGAGGAACCCGGCTTTGGAGGCCTCTCCCAGGGAGAGATGGGATGGGTGCTTACCTTCCTGTGCCTGGAGGGGGATCTGGGAGGTGGTGGATTTGCTGCTGCTCTTACTCTTCTTGCTGCCCTGGCTGGCGAGAGATGGGTGTGTCTGCAACTTCCGGTGGGCCTTGGGGCCACCCAGGGCACCATTCCCCGCCCGTCTGGTGCCGCCCAGCTCTGAGGGGTGGCCAGAGTCATTCGGCAGAAGTGGGGTGCAGCCCAAGGGGTTCCCCTGAGGCTGGCCTGGAGAGATGAAGAGAAAGTGTGATGGGAAAAGGGTGGGGGTCATTCGGCCCCCAGAGCTATGCTCGAATCCTGCCTGCTGCATTCTTACATATACCCCAAAGCACCCAGCCAGACCTGTATCCTGCAGATGGGGAAACTGAGGCCCAGAGAGAAGAAATGACTAGTCCAGAGCCACGCCATGAAATTGAGTTGGGCCTAGCTCCTGACTCTCAGTTCAGTGCTCAGTCCAGAAATGACAGATGTATAAGGGCAGGGGCTCGGAGCCCTGGACCTCTCCTTTGTTCCTCACACAAAGTCCATTCTCCTGCTCTTGTCATCCTGGGGTTTTGGCAGAGTGGTGGCAGTGGCAGTGCTGGGGAAGAGGGGTGGTTTGGCTGGGGTTGGGAGCGCAGCAGTGAAGAAGTTAATCTTCACCTCGGCCTCTGCCAAGCCCCCAGCTGTTATTGCCCTTGGCGCACTGGGTGATTTATTGGAAACATCTGTTTGGAGATGAACGCCTGGCTCTGGAATCCAGGGGCTCCTCACTGCAGCCCCTCTACCTCCTGCTCCTTCCACCTGGTGCCTCCACTCAAGCCTCTGCCCTCCGCACCCTCAACCCCATCCTGCCTCTATGGGCAGCTGGCAGAGGGGTCTGGGAGAGGAGGGAGGGAAGAAGGCAAGAAGAAGGGCAGTGGGGAGACCCCTGAAGCCAGGACCCCCGGGTCCCCATTGCAGGCTGAGGGACCAGACTTCAGCTTTATCAATGGAGTACAGGCAAGGTGACCCTGGAGACCCCCCAAACCCCGAATTCCTTCCTGCTCCTCGCTCAGGGATGTTCAGTTCTGGGTGAGAACCAGCTGGCTCAGTTCTGCTCTCAAGAGATGAGGGGAGGTGTGTATGGTGGGGGGAGTGCGGAGGGACTGAAGAGGGGTCACTGAGAGCTCTGGGGCCCCTCAGCTGTGCAGGGGTCCTGACTCCTGGGCAGGACCCTGTGGCCTCAAGGACCCTCTGTAAATGTGGGGGGCACTTCAGTCCCTCAGGAGCTGGGATCTGGATCCCCATCTCCCTCCAGGCCTGGTCTGTGTATGTGAATTGTGTAGGAGATGTCTTGGGGGCCCTGGAGCCCAAGGAGAGGGGAGGGTGGCCTCGGTGCCTCCCTTGGCTGAAGAGGCCGGGTCTTCCAGTGATGGCAGCAGTCACAACATTGCACACTGCCTGCTTCCTGCACGCCAGCCCTTCTAAGTACTTGCTGCTCACGCATCCCCTCAGTATTGCTAGTCTTCTTTTACTGATGAGGAAACTGAGTCCCGGAGAGGTAGAGGTACAGTAAGTTGCCCAAGGTCACATAGCTAGCAAGTGTCAGAGAGGTACAGTAAGTTGCCCAAGGTCACACAGCTAGCAAGTGTTAGAGATTAGGAGCTGGGGCTCAGAGGGCAGAGGCCAGCATGGGGGCAGAGGCTGGGAGACAAGCGACTGAGGAATAAGCTGCTACTACCACGACAATCACTACCCTCATAACTGGTGTTATGTACCAGGCACAGTGCTAGAAGCTTTAGGTGGAGCAGCTTCTTTTTTTTTTTTTTTTTTTTTTTTTGAGACGGAGTCTAGCTCCGTGCCCAGGCCAGAGTGCAGTGGCGCAATCCCGGCTCCCTGCAACATCCGCCTCCCGGGTTCACACCATTCTCCTGCCTCAGCCTCCCGAGTAGCTAGGGACTACATGCGCCCGCCACCACGCCCGGCTAATTTTTTGTATTTTTTAGTAGGGATGGGGTTTCACCGTGTTAGCCAGGATGGTCTCGATCTCCTGACCTCGTGATCCGCCCGCCTCAGCCTCCCAGAGTGCTGGGATTACAGGCGTGAGTAGGTGGAGCAGCTTCTTTAGGCATCGCAATAGATCTACTACTGGCCCCATTTCACAGATGAGAAAACAGAGGCCCAGAGAGGGGAAAACTTGCCAAAGGTCCTCTAGCTGGGAAGTGGAGTGGGGAGGGCATGAAGATTGGGAGAAAGGAGCTGAGGACAAGGTGGGGGATCGGGGGAGGGTGGGAAGCAGGGTTCTGGAGAGGCTCCATGCTGGGAGCCTCCAGCAAGAGGTGTGGCTGATGCCTGCATCTGGATAAACAGGGTTAAGGCTATGGTTAGTGGCCAGGCCTGAATCATCAGGCCCCCACCTCTTGGCCCCACACAGGGTGACTGGGCCAAGTCCTTGGCCAGCTTCGGTGCCCCTTGCCCTTCTGCCGAAACATGGGCACACTGACCAGAGGGCGGGAGTGTGTGGTGAGCTGAAGGATCTGGGCGACGTGGACAGACACAGAGCTTGTCTGTGGCCATGGCCGTGGGGGCTGAGTCACAGAGCAAACACTCAGGGCTCACAGACACAGGAGTGTCTGTCCCATTCCCACCAGACCCCCTCCTCCACTGCCAAGGCGCTGACCTCTTTCTCTCAATTCTGCTAGTGGGTGTGCTGGAGGAGACCGAGGGCCGTGCACTAGTGGGATTAGTAAGCCTGACTTCCAGGGAGTCCAGCTTAGCCCCAGATGCCCTGGCTGGAGGAGGCTTCCAGCTCAGCCATGCCAGCTGGGCATGCAGGCAGGCACTGCAAAGAGTGTTGGGCCGGGAGACCTGAGTTTCCCAGCTTGGGACCAGGGTGGGCCGTTCTCTGTGCCTGTTTCCTCATCTCTAAAATGGGCTTCGCAGTAGCCATCCTGCTGCCTCATTGCAGGCTGATTAGGAGAGCAAGTGAGCCCACTCAGGGAAAGAAAGTTGGAAAGTAAAAATGTGTCTAAAGATGTGGGCAAATCTTCGTTAGTTATAAAATGATCCCAGCTGTTGCTTCTCCTGTTCTTGAGGGTGAAGGTGGAAAATTCTCTCCCTCCCCCCAGGACCTCCTTGGAGAACTCGAGCCAGGCCTGGGAATGGAGCTGAATTTTGTTCCTTTCGCCCTAGAGCAACTGGGGGCTTCTTCCTTTTATCCCTGATTCCCGGAAGGATGGAGATGCATCAGGCCCTGGCTCCCTGCCGGACCCCAGCCCCGTAGCTCTCTTCCTGAGGCAGGGGGTGCCTCTCTCCAGGTAGCCGCATGCTCTCTGTCCTGAGCCATTTTGCCTGGAGCCTGCCCACACTCCCTGCTTCCTAGTCACTTTGCAGTGGAGGTCTTCCCCTTGACAGAAAGCACAGTGACAGTGCCCTTCCCCTTTCTGCTGCCTGTGCTGCCACACTCAAGGTTCTGGCCAAGCGGGTGCACCCATTTTTGCCGACCCATTTGGGTTGAGTTCCCTAGTGCAACCCTACATGTTGCCATCCAACCTCCTGGCCCCCTAGGACTCACATGTCACAGCTTCTGTGGGGACGTCGAGGTCAGTGCTGTCCAGGCCCTGGGGGATGCCAGGGCCATTGCCTTGGGGCATGGGGGTTGCCGCCTCCTCCAGGGAGCCCTCCTCTGGTGCTGCCTCCGCAGGGTGAGTGGATCCTGTTACTACCTCCAGCCCAGGAAGGAGGGATAGGGTCTGGGCTAGGAAAAAAGCAGATGACTGAGGTCCATTTTCCTGGGGCCTTCCTGTTTGCCCAGCCGTGGGCCCCGCCCCACAGCCCAGCATGCCCACTGAACCCTCATTCTTTGTCTGTCTGCATCAGTTATGCAGCCCTTACTCTAGCTGACAACAGCACCGGGCTCCAAAATAGAAAGCTCCCAAACCACAATCTGGGAGTGAGCAAGGGTGTGCATGCATTTGAGTGTGTGCACGTGTGCATGTGGTGTCGGGAGGGGCAGAGATGGCAGAATATAAAGAGAAGTAGGGAGAGGAGGCAGAAACACAACACGGGAGAACAGACGGACGGTCAGCAACGGAGAGATAGGGACAGGCATCGAGAGTGACAGGGAGAATCAAAGGGACAGTGAGAGGTAGAGGTAAAGGGAGATAGAGCATCGGACTGCGAGAGATTGGGCACGGAAAAGGGATCCACAGTGACCCAGTGACAGACAGCCTGAGACGGGAGTGAGACGCAGCAATAGCACGGAAGTCAGTAATGGAGAGAAAGATAGAGATGGGGCAGGGGCAGAGGCGACAGAGAAGGTAGCACTGTGTGATACAGAGCGCGGAGGGAGACGGGAGAAACTGGGTCAGAGAGGATGATGATAGAGGAGTCAGAGGAACCTGGGGGTGAGGAGCAGGGAGGGGCTACAGTCAGGAGGAGGACAAGGAGCCGGCCGGAGCACTGGGGAAGAGGTGAACCGCAGCCACATGTAATTACAGTGGCTCTGTGCAGGGGCGGCAGGAGGCAGAAATGGAGCCACCTTCAAACCCACAGCTCCCCAGCCTGCAGGACTAGGGCCCCTAGGCTCAGGGGGAAAAGGGATGGGGGATGGGAGGTGAGGGAGGGAGGAAGAAAGGGGTCCGAGCGTCCACACACTCAGCCAGGGGTCAGGGGCGGGCCCAGGCTGTGGCAATGAAAGGGTGTAGGGTGCAGCCTGGGCCTCTCATCAGACCTCAGCCTATGCAGTTAGTTGGAAGGACAGGGGTCTAAAGAGGGTGGCCTTCCACCTGCCCCCTCCCCAAATATCATGTTGGGAGAAGGAGCAAGGAGACACAGAAACAAGAGACTCAGAGATGCAGAGGCCAAAAGAGCGCAGGGAGAGGCAGGGTGACACAGAGGGGGACACAAGGAGAGGCAGGGTGACACAGAGGGGGACACGGGGAGAGGCAGAGTGACACAGAGGGGGACACGGGCAGACAGGGAGATGATGAGAAACAGCAGGGAAGCCCAAAGAGTACACACCCCACAGAGAGACCAGAAAGAGGCACATGCAGAGACAGAGACACAGAGAGACACAGGGTAGTCTTGGGAATTGAAATGGAATCAATCACAGAGAATAGTGAGGGGTTGACACAGAGAGGGAGAGAGTGGGGGTGGGGGAGAGAGGCAAAGAGAGGGAGATGAGAGATCAAAGAAGAGAGGAGGGAGGTAATTAGAGGGATCAGTGGAGGCTTGGGCATGCAGGCCTGGGGGATGGGAGTTGGAAGCATGCTGAGGAGAAGATCCTGTGGCCCAGCTGCCTCCCTGGGCCCAGAGCACAGCCTTCTGTGGCCATGACCCTCAGTGACCCTCATGACCCTTGTTCCAAGGGGTCTGGTCCCCCACAGCCAGGGGAATGGACGCCCCAGAGGCCCCATGTGGGAAGCACAGAGGGCGGCAGGCCCAGCAGGCATGCTCTCACCTGCCCAGGGAAAAACCACAGGGCTTGCCTGGAGACAGGAGCTGGGGCAATGGGGAGGGAGGGCTGGCGCTCCTAGGATTTGTGCAGGGCAGGAGAGTTATGTGCTGGGAACCCTTCCCGGGGCCCATGGCTCCACGGAGGCAGGGGTGGGTTCCTTTCAGCTCCATCTGCTCTTTGGGCCTGTTGAGAGCTCCCCTCTTAGCTGGGTTAATCATTGGGAAATCAAATAGCTTTTGGACGATCAGAGGATTTGGAC
Source organism: Homo sapiens (assembly GCF_000001405.40). Taxonomy (NCBI): domain Eukaryota; kingdom Metazoa; phylum Chordata; class Mammalia; order Primates; family Hominidae; genus Homo; species Homo sapiens. Next base: position 41,644,165 of record NC_000006.12, on the reverse strand, counting down.
AAGGAGGAGCAGGCAAGTGGAGACGCTGGTGCTAGATGGTGCCTCTCCTAGCCCTGAGCCCGGTCTACACCAGCTCAGATATGGCTCTTGAAGGCTAAGACCAAGTTGCCATGAAAAGGGAGGCTCAGGGTCCTAATTTCCAGGAAACCAGGGGCCTGCCTAGCTCCGGACCCTGGCCCCCAGAGGCACCTTGCTATGGCCCTGGGCCCTGAACTGGGGGACCTGACTCTCCCACAGGGTGTAATGAGACAGAAAGACCTGAGTGAGAAGCAGAAGATCCAAGCCCTACATTCACCAGTTACCAGCCTGGCAAATTATCAGAGTTGGGTTACTTTGCATGGAAAGGGTTGGGTTACTTTGCAGTCCTAATCTCATGCCACAGGGTTTCAAGGAGGAAAGAAAATGCTCATCAGGGGGTTGTTCACGAGCCTTTCACCCACAGCCCTACTACTCTTCCCTCCTTCCCTTCCTCTCTTCTTTCCTTCCTCCCTCCTTTCTCTCTCTCTTTTTTTTTTAATGAGTAGTTTGGCTTCTGACCTTTCCCCTTCCTTCCTTCCCTCCTTCCCTCCCTCCCTCCCTCCCTCCCTCCTTCCTTCCTTCCTTCCTTCCTTCCTTCCCTCCTTCCCTCCTTCCCTCCTTCCTGTGCTGTGTGGTTTAACATTTATTAAGCACCTACGAGGCACCCAGCAATATGACAAGTATTGGGTATACCCGAGTGAGAAAGACCAGCTCACTGCCTCGGAGTTCTCGGTTAGGGGAGAGGTGGGCTGGTGGCTCTTACATACCCAGAGGTGCAAGAGTTACACTGGGGCATCTGGAAGAATGGTGGAAGCACAGAAGACGGGCACCTAGCCCAGATGGCTGAGTGTGTCAAGCAGGCTTCCTGGGGCAGGCAGTACTCACACTGAGTCTTGACCAATCAGCAGTACAGAGGGGGAGTTTTGAGAAGAGCAGCAGGAATCAAGACCCCCGAGTGAGCCGCTACACAGAGAGCAAGGAAGCCACATGCTGCGGGGTGGTGTTGAGGCTGGGAAGCCTAGAATGATAGCAGGGCATGACAGGCCTTGTGGTCATTTCCCAGGCTTCCTGCTGAGGTCACCAGGGCTCACAGAGGTGACACTGTGAGTCCTATGGTAGAGAGAGCCAGGACTTCTGCTCCCTGCCCTGCTCCCCCTCCTCCCCGCAGTGTTAGAGAGGGAGGAAGGCAAGGAAGAGGGTTTAAGGAGCCTGGAGTTCACATCTCCACCTGCCTTACCCAAAGTGTCTCTGCTCTCTGGGCAGCCTCTCCTGACAGTCACCTACAGGGCTGGTGACCTTGGATCTGGTGGGAACAGGAAATTACAGAGTGCAGACCAAGGCCCGAGGAGGCCCATCCCACAGAAAGCCTACCAGGCATCAGACCGTGGAGGAAAAATGAGGAAGGAAAGAAAACCAAGTCCAATAATCCTGACCTGGAGACACACAGAGGGACAGAGAACCTCTGGAGCCAGGAGGGGCCACAGAGGGGACCCAGCAAACCAGCACGGAGGGCAGAAGAGGGAGCTGTGCCAGATATCCAGAGACAGGGAAGCAGAAGGAAAAGGAAGAAGCAGCTGCAGGAAGACCTGGTCTGCAGAGGAGACACTGCCCGGGTGGCCCAGACCCCTAGGTGTGGACTGAGAAGCAGCTCCTGCTTGGAACAGATGGGGCAGAGGCGCCAAGAGCCCACTTTGCCATTCTGTAACCAAGAGACACCGCTGTCCAGCCACAGAGGGGAGAACATCTCAGGGGAGAAACTTCTGGAGGGTGGAAGTGTGGGGTGGGCAGGAGGCAAGGGGGTGGCCAGCAAAGGTGAAGGAGGCCCCCCGTGTGGATGTGCAATTCATGTACTGCAGAAGGTGCCTGCCAAGGGGGTGAGCGGATGTGGCTGAAGTCCTTGCCCTCCTAGTAGGTGCCATCTGCTCACCCAACTGCGCACCTGCTCCATCTGACCAAGGGGGTTCCTTTTTCTAATCTGCACCGGGTGCCACACATGCTGGCTCCGAGCAGAAGCCCCCAGCCCTGTACTCCTCCTCTCAAGGGTGGCTATCTACAAAGGGGAGATACGGAAAGGCAACAGCCCCTTTGCTTCAATACACTCTCATTCCTAACATGGGGTAAGATTCTGGTAAATGCCTGGAGCTCTGGAAAGACGCCCCAGATGGGAGTGGGAGAGCCATGTTTAAATCCATGAGCCCAAGAGGAAAGGCCGAGACTCACACCCTCAGCAAGGACTCTGTGGGTTCTCTCTGCTTGCCATCCACCAAGTTGAGGGGTGGTCCTGGACCAACAGGGAGTAGGGGGGAACCTCTTTCCGGTGGGATGGTTTCAAGCCTGCACAGTGCCCATGGGAGTTTCAGCCAAAAAATCCCTGGCTGGTGTGGAGAGAGGCCTGTGTTCCAGAGCTCCACGGCCTACTGCCTTAAGTTTAGCCCTCGTCATTGTCTTTGTGGACCGTGGATCTGGGCTTCCCACTTGGAACTCTGACCGTCTCTGGAGAGGGAAGGCCAGAACCTCATATGGTCAGAGAGTGGTGGCTGGAACCCCACACCTCAATCTTTCCTTGGCTTGGCATTCAAGGCCTCAGTCCGGACCTTCAATCTATCAATGTACCAGGATCCTGTGTTCCACGCAGACCGGCCTCCCCATGGTCTGGGCCATTGCCGGATCTTCTGACCAGTCCACCCATGCTTATATTATTCCTGTTGACCAGAAGATCCTACCCCTCCCACTCTCCAAACCCAACTCATCCTGGACCAAGCTCAAACTTCACCTCTTCCTCTAGACAGCTTTCTCTGACCCAGTTGCTAAGAATTTAGCTCCAGTGTTCCCTCTTGTTAATTACAATTTGCTAGTGAAATCCCGGCTTCTCAACCAGACTACAGCCCTCCCAACTCACTCCCTTGGAGTGGTGTCCATATTCATCTCTGCATCCCCAGGGGGCACTCGGCAAATGCCTACTGGGGAGTACTTTCTGGAGTTTGGAATGCCCCTGTCAGGGGAAGGAGAAAGAGAAAGAAATGAAGACTAGGGGTGGCACCTGGACCTGAACCCCAAGAAAGTCAGAGAGGGTGGACTCCTTTGATGCACACATGGTTGATGCGAATCCAATGGTCACACTCCCAGGCCACCAAGCTGAAAACTAAAGAGGGCCTGAGCTGGCCAGTTAGTCTGGGACAAGTTGGTTTTATTTTAGGTCTGAAGGTTCCAAATCCCCAGGAAATTCAATTTAGAACCATGAACAGGAATGTGACGCCCCAATGCTGGGCAAAAATGTGCCTGTGGGCTAGGGAGCCAGGCTCCCGGGGCTCTCAGGGGTGGGTGGGGAGGAGGCCACTAGGAGAGCCAAGGGTGTGGGGGCTTGGCCACCTGCCCCTACCAGATCTGCCCTGAGTCCCCTTGTGCCCTGTCTGCATCTGGGGTGGCTGAGGGAGGAGGCCGACTTGCTCCCTGGCTGTCCTGCCAGCAGAGCCCCTGGGGCAGCGCTGTGGCCTTGCTGTTCTGTCAGCACTCAGGGAGTAAAGCGTGGGGGATTCTGGTCTCAAATTCAGGCATCTGTGGGGTTTTGGCTGGGTCTCCTGCGGTTTGGGCTTCCTGGGCAGCAGGCTCATTCTCCCAAGGCGGTGGCAGAGCGAAGCCTTGAGTTATGAAAGCCGCATTGTCTGGCCCAGCCCAGGCTGGGGAGGGGGTCTGCTGGGGTGCTGGGGGGCCTCAAGTTACAGCCCAGAGCTTAACCCTCCCAGTTGCCCACGCTGGCCCCGGTTGTGTGCAGTTAGCCCTCTCCTCTTGCTGCTGGAGCTGAGAATGGCTTCAACAAGGAAGGGGATCTTGGAAGGAGGTAGTGGAGGGAGAGCAGAGAAAATGGATAAGGGGAGGGAGAAAGCTGGAGAGAGTAAGAGGATGGGAGAGCAGGAGGCTGAGGAAGGGAGGAGGCAGGAAGGAGGCCCAGCGGGACAGGGAAGGTTCCCAGACACAGAGAAGGACCCTTCCAAGTGCCCTGCCCCCAGCTGTCCCTCCGGGCTGAAGGAGTCCAATTCTTGGAGGCGCTCATCCTGCAGAAGGCCCCGTTGCAGGGGCCCCACAGAGACAGCAGGCAATTTGAGGCTTGGCCAAGATGGGCTGTAGACACACTGGCCTCATCTATGTGCTGGCTGTTGGCCAGACATCTTCCACTTGTCCTCACTCTGGTTTAGAGGACCCCCCACCTCCACAACTAGGCGTCCATACCAAGTAGGTGGGGAGTGGAGAGGGGCCTCCTAGAACAGGCAGGCAGGCCGGCTTCGAGGGCGCATGTGGAGGCTCAGGCCAGAGAAGGGAAGGAGCTTGTCCAAGGCAAGGCAGGGAGTTCGTGTCAGAGGTTCAGGAACAGACCTTCATTATTCAGAGTCAAAGAGGGGAAAGGGGGAATGGCGCTGGTGGGGAGGAAGGCAACGACTTAGACAGTGGAGATTCCAATTATGAAATCCGGGTCCACACTCCTGCACGCGGTTCCCCTGGCCCTGAACACATCCCAGAGGTTCCTGACTTCTCCTTGACCCGGACTTCCATTTGGGAGCTTCGGCTTAGGCATCTGGCCAGTGAGGGGAAGGGACTGAGAACCAGGGCCGGCGAGGCCCCTACTCCAAACCCCTTCAGGGAGTCACAAACCGTACTTGGCGTGAGAGGCTCCCCCAGGAATCGCGGGTAGGTTACAGACGGCGCCAGGCGCGGGACGGGGCATTTCACTTGGGCTGAAGACACTGGGTTGGGGTGCGTGTGTGTGCACAGGGCAGGGGCGGCGGGGACTGGCCGGCACGAGAGGGAAGGAAGGCGAGGGAGAAGGGATGGCAAGAAAGAGGGGAGGGGCTGGGTCCTGCAGCCGCTCGCGGCAGACAAAAGTTTTCGGGAAGCGCTGGGCTCTGGTTGGGCTGGGGGAAGGGAAGTAGAGAAAGATTCAGACAACGCCCCCTCCCCCACACCAGGCCCCCACAAATATTTACACACTGGGCAGAAACAGTTGAGACACAAATCCCAGACGGACAGACACCGCGGAGTGTATGTGTGTGTGTTTGTGTGTGTGTGTGTGTGTGTCTGGTGTCGGGAGTTGCGGGGAGTTGGAGCCAACTTGGCGCAGCCGCAGCCTCTGTTCAGGGCCCTGCCTCCCTCGCCCAGCCCCCTACTCTCCTTGGACCAAGTCCTCAAACCCAGACTTTTCGTCCCTACCCCCACCAAGCTCCCTGGAACGGTCTCCCCGCGTCTGGGGACGGAGAGGAGAACTAATAACTGGCCCCTTCAGCCGCCCACCCGCCCCTGTCCAGCTTCGCTCGCCACTCCCGGTCCTACCTGGGCCCGGGGCTGCGCTGGGGGCTCCATAGGGCGCGTCGCAGCCAGAGGGGCGCTGGCCGCTCACCTGGTACATCGGCCCCGGACCTGCGGAAAACAGGGCTCAGCGGGCGGCGCCGGAGGCGGGCAAGGGGCGATTCCCCCGCAGATGCGCGCCTCCCACGTCCACTCACTCGTGCGAGCCGTGCTACGCTCTCTTCCAGCCGGATCCCCGCGCGGGGCCCGCCATGCGCGCCTGCTCCGGGCGCCCCTGCCCAGGTCCCGCTGGCTCCCGGGTGCTCGCCTGGCGCCCCTTCCCCTCTCACTCGCTGCTTTCTCCCATTTCGGCGCCAGCTCACGCCGTTCGCCCCTTCCTTCTTCCTTCTCTCCCTCCAGCCCCCCTCGCTCCTCCCCTACTCGCCTCTCCCCTCCCCTCTTCCCTGGCCCACCCTCTCCCCGCCCCCTCCTCGCCTTCTCAGTCGCCCCTCTGCGGGTCCCCTCCCCCGCGCCGGGCTTGGCCCAGCCAGGAGCCGGACACGTCTGTCCGCGGGGCGCCCGAGGCCCGAGCCCCCACAGGAAGCCGGCTGGGCGCGCTTCCTCCGCGCTCTCGGAGCGGGGCCTCAGTCTCCCCGACTCCCTGCTCTCTGAGGCCCGGAGATCCGCGGGCTGCACGTTTTCCTTTGCCTGTCCAAACTCTGCAAAAGTTTCTGGAAAATCAGGAGAAAGAGAGAAACCTCAACCACTTCGTGGAACTGTCTGAATAATTGCGGCCTCCAAATCTCTTTGCCCCAAAGATGGGCGCGATCAAGTTTCTCAGTCACGTTTTACCCACCCCCTCGGTCTCCTCCCGGGGTCCTAAGCCAGGGACAGGGATCTGGGCTCCCAGGCCACCCGCCCACAGCGCCAGAGTTGTCTGTCCGGGAAATCCGGTTAGTGACCAACCAGCCTGCCCTGTGCCGCAGCAGCCCAGAGCATCCTCGACCCTCCTGCCCCTACCAGCTGTGCGTGGGAATGTGTGTCAGAAAACCGACTTTGGGGGCAAAGAGAGGTCCTCCGAATTCAGCCCTTCTTTGGGATCCAGACTGAATCCGAGGGCTTCTAAGATGAGGGTTCGGGGAGAAAGGGGAGGGAGGGAGCCTCTCCCGGTGGGGCCAGCCGGGCGGCGCGTCTGGATGGTGAGCCGTGGTGGTAGGAAGAAGCCGCTGCCAGGCAGTCCAAGAGGGTTCAGGGGCCCTCAGCGCGACCCCGGAACCTGGTCCCCGAGAATGGGGAAGACTTTGGAGCCTGCGGCTCTCCAGGTGGGGCTGGGCGGGCCCGTGGGATGATGCTCAGGTGGGGCAGCCCCCTGGGGTGACAGCGTCTCGGCCGTACTTGTCTAGGGCCGCCTAGGAGCCGCGTCTGGGCTCCCCGCCACGAGGGCCAGTGAGCACACTGGAAGGCAGCGGCGGCACCAGGCCACCTTTTCTAGTCCCGAGTCCAGCCGGGTCTGGAAGTGGAGAGCTGGGACGCAGGAGGCCGGGCGTCCCAGCTCCCCACTTCTTGGACTCTCCTAGCCCCCATAGTCGCTACTTACGGCTATCGCAGGTCCTGGGGCGCCGTCGGGGCCAGGACCGGGATGGCCCCCACGGCGCCGGCAGCGCTCTCGGCACCCGCGGCCACGTCCCAGCGATGGGCTGGGGTGGTTGCGGCCCGGAGGAAGGTGGGGCGGGACAAGAAGAGAGTGTTCCGCCCCCCAGGCCGGGCTGCTAGCCGCGGGGGTCTGTCCTAGTGCCCCAGGAGCCGGCCGGGATCCGGCTGCTGTCCGGGAGCTCTGGAGAGCTGAGCCAACTCCCGCTTCCTGGCACGGGCTGAGTCACCCGGACGGGACGCGCCCGCGCCTGGGCCTGGCGGCTGCTGCATTCTTACCTGCTTACCTGGGCGCGCACGCTGGGCCTCACCCACCTCCGAAGGCAATCCTCACCGTCTCTCTCCGTTTCCTCCCGCGTATAGGGCCCCCTCCCGAACCCCAGACCTCAGTGCTGCACCCCTCCCCCTGCTTTCTCGTCTCAATCCAGGGCCCCTAAACTCTGCATCAGCTCAGTCCCGGAGCCTTACTATTCCAAGTCGCCTGCTTGATCTCAAAAGTCCTCTGAATCTGGCCCAGTACTAATGTCTGTTTTGTTGGAAATGTAAATTATGCTTTAAATTTAATCACGCATGCTGGTTATACAGGTGTGCTCATTTTGTAAGGATGCAGCAAGCTGAACATTTATGATGCAGGCACTTGTTTGTATGACTATTATACTTGAATAAAAAGTTTTTAAAAATCAACACATTAAAATCAACATTCCAGTTCAGAGCATGATAGGATATGATGGCCAGGCTGGAGGCCTGGCATGGGAGCCCAGTTTCCAGACCCACCATCTACTATATTTCTTTGGGGAAATCCCTTTGCCTCTCAGCCTCAGGAGGGATGAGCACTGGGGCCCAGGACCAGGACTGGGGTGAGGTAAGTGAGACACTCACCTGGTGTGCAAGATTTCGGGGATGCCAAGATAAGGAATTTTTTTTTTGGAGGCAGGATTTTGCTCTGTCCGCCAGGCTGGAGTGTGGTGGTGAGATCTCAGCTCATTACAATCTCCACTTCCCAAGTTAAAGCAGCTGGGACTACAGGTGCTTGCCACCACACCTGGCTAATTTTTTTTAGTAGAGACGGGGTTTTACCGTGTTGGCCAGGCTGGTCTGGAACTCCTGACCTCAAGTGATCTGCCTGCCTTGGCCTCTCAAAGTGCTGAGATTACAGGCATGAGCCACCGTGCCCAGACTGATGAGGAATATTTTAAGGCAATATTTTAATATACCAAATGGGCAAACTACAGTTCTTTGGGCCAGCTGCCTTGTTTTTTTTAAATAAAGTTGTATTGGAAACAGGACCAGGATTAAGGTAATTAATCACGCAAGTTCAGGGTCAGATCCTGTCTTTATCTAAAATGTTGGCATTTTGTTTATCATAGACTTTTTGGCATTAATTTGGATTTTTATACATATTGCAGGAAAATATTGTTTTATCTTAATTACTGAGTTTTTTGATGCCCCCTTAAGTTTTGAACCTGAGCCAAGTGCCTCATTCACTCCAGGTTTCACATGCCTCACCCTAGACCCGGCCCTGTTATTGTCTCTTCCTGAAGGACCTGTCCAGGAAGCCAGGGTAAATGAGGGGAGATCAAAGGTGTTCCCCCACCCAACACTGTCACACACACACATATGCACAGCACCAAGTGGGCTCTGCACCCAAGCCCAGGCCCAGCTTCCCCGGGGCCCACCGATCAGTTCAGAATAAAGCGCAAAGTCCCTCAGTCTCCATGAACTGGGCCCCACCTGCCTTGGCCCTCATCTCCCCTTACTTATTCCCTGCCAGCCATGCTACTTCCTTTTCTCGGTTAATTTGCCAGGCACCTTCTCGCCTCAGGGCCTTTGCCCTTGCTCTTTCCTCTGCCCAGAATGTGCATCCCCTAGATACCCACATTGGCCCTTTCCTCGTTTCTTCTGCTTATGTCAGCTTCTAAGAGAGGCCGTCCCAGACTTCTCACTCTCTGCCCCCAACACCATTTTATTATTCTACCCAGACTTTTTCAGCACTTGGCCTATTCTATATTTGCTCATCTGTTGGTAGAGTGAAAGGCCCTGAGAGCAGGGACTGGCTTGTCTACTAGTGTATTCCCTAGAGATGTGTCTGCCACAGAGAGTGCAATACATTTTCCAATTTCAGAGGTTGGAAAACAGAGGCCAGAGAGGGGAAAGAGCTAATGCAAGTCATGTAGTGAGTTAGTGGCAAAACCTTACCAAATCCCAACTTTCCAGACTCCCACCTCAGTATTCTTTCCTGCCTTCCAGGGCTTATTCCCCACTCTCCACCCCAGAGCCTTCCAGGCAACAAAGGGGACAGAACTGCCTTGCACGGGCTCTGCCCCTCACAATACCCTTCAAAGTGGAGCAGGCCAGCTCACAACTCCTCCCTTGCAGTTCATTCCGCAAGACCACAAGGTCTGGCCCAGCTCCAGCCTCTGGCGCCCACCCCTCCTTGGTGGCCAGCAGAACGCACAGCTCTTCCCCCACTTCCTGTCTCTGGCAGAGGGCCAGTCTGCTGGGCTGGCTTCTGCAGCTGGACCACAACTGTGGTCTCAGTGCCTGGAGAATGGGGTCAGGACACTGGGAGAATGGGACCCTCCCGGAAGAGGGATGCATAAATTGGGGCGTGTTTGTGTGGGGTGAGGAGAAGCTGCTGGGTGGGGATTGAGAGCCCCCAGCTCTTTCTTTCTACCCCCATCTCGGATGGGCACTGAGCAGAGAATGGGGCTCTAACCCTCCCCCTTCCTGAAGAAAAGAATGTGCAGTAGGATGAAGGGTGCTCTGGGCCCCATGCCTGATTCTAGCCCTCCCTGCTACCCCTGGTGATGGAGGATGACGGTGGCGTGTCAATTTCAGCGGTCATGTGTTGAGCGTGTTCTATATGACGAGCCTTTGCCAGATACTTCTAGATTTGTTATTTCCTTTAATGCCTACAACAGTCAGCATAGTTATTAACCCCATTTTACAGATGAGGCAACTGAGGTACAATGAAGTGATGTGAAGAGACTTACCCACTAGTAATGGGTGGAGCTGGGACTTGGACCATGTTTTCTGAAGCCAAACACAGCACTCACCCCAATCCCAGGCATGGCCTTCAGCGTGTAGAAAGGACTGTGATGTTCTCTTTCATGTGCTGCCCCCCTCCCCAAGCTAGTTGCTGAAGATAGGGACATGGCCCTCTGCATCCCTCCTCTGTCTCATTGTGTTGGGGTACCAGGAACTTGGCAGGGTATATAGGAAGAATGGGGCTTGGATCTGTGTCATGGAGACCAAATTTGCATCCTGGCTCAATCACTTCTACCACCCTATGTGATTTTGAGCAAATCACTTGAACTCTCCAAGCCTTTAGTTCTCCTGTTTAAACGTGGCAAAGGCGTTGGCTGTCAGCAAATGGGAACTCTTGCCCACCACGTCCCTCCCCAGGGGAGGGAAGCTTCAAAGGGCAACATTTCTGTTATACTAAGTTTTATTTACAAACCCTTAACCTCATACTTATGGTATTTTATTTTATTTATTTAGAGACCTTGTCTCAATGAGCTACAGGTGCATGCCACCATGTCTGGCTAATTTTATTTTATTTTACTTTATTTTTGTAGAGATAGAGTCTCACTTAGTTGTCCAGGCTGGTCTCAAACTGCTGGCCTCAAACAATCCTCCTGTCTTAGCCTACCAAAATGCAGGGATTACAGGCCATTTCAACAATTTTTAAGTGTACAATTCAGTGGTAATAATTATATCACAATGTTGTGCAAACAGCACTACCATCTATTTCCAAAACTTTTCACCACCTCAAACAGAAACTAACTATTAAGCAATAACTCCTTCTATTAATTTCTTAGGTCTGTCATGACAAAGTATCAAAAACTGGGTGGCATAAACTGGTAGCAATTTATTATTGCCTGATAGAGTTGGAGGCAAGAAGTTCAAAATGAAACTGTGGGCAGGGCTGTGCTCTCTCTGACAGCTCTGGGGGAGAAGTCTTCCCTGTCTCTCCTAGCTTCTGGGGCTTGCCAGCACTCCTTGAATCGCCTTGGTTTGTGGATGCATTGCTCCAGTCACACGGCTGTCTCTCCCTGTGTGTCCTCACATCAGTGTCTCTCTATATATGTCTGTGTCTGAGTCCACATTTTTTTTTTTTTGAGATGAGGTCTCTCTCTGTTGCCCAGGTTGGAGTGCAGTGGCATGATTTCCACTGACTGCATCCTCTCTACTTCCCAGGCTCAAGTGATCCTCCCACCTCAGCCTCCCAAGCAGTTGGGATTGCAAGCGTGCACTACCATGCCCGGCTAACTCTTGTATTTTTAGTAGAGATGGGGTTTCGCCATGTTGCCCAGGCTGGTCTCAAACTCCTGAGCTCAGGAGATCTACCCGCCTCAGCCTCCCAAAGTGCTGGGATTACAAGCGTGAGCCGCTGTGCCCGGCATGTCCAAATTTTTGTAAGGACACCAGTCATATTGAATTAGGGATCATATTAACCTGGTTAAATCTGCAAGGACTCTATTTCCAAATAAGGTCACATTCTGAAGTACCGGGAGGTAGGACTTAAGCATATCTTTTGGATTTTTATACATATTGCAGGAAATTACACAATTCAATCCATAACACTCCCCAGAAAAAGCTGGATCAAAGTAGAAAAGTAAAGAAGTGAGATGAAAAGTAAGTGTAAATGAACCTAATATAAATAAAAGTAAATGTAAATATATGTTTCTTCCTAAACCCCACTATGGAGACAATGATGTGCTACTGAAGGAATATATGTATTTAACAAACAGGCTTGCCTTACCCTACTGGTTAAGCTTTTCCTGGAGCCCACATTTCTTTGAAAATCTGATGAAAGCTATAAGCACCCTCTCCAAAAACCTCCCCCTTAAGAAAATGTAGCATTTCCAATACAAGCTGGGGAGATTCCTGGACACCCCAGAAAGCCCCATTGAAGAATATTTGCCGTAATTGGAAGGACTGCTCCAAGGGTGGAAACTCAGGCATCTGGGGAGTGCTGTTGGGGATGGGAAGAGAGAATTGCATCCACCTCTGTGGTCCTGTTTCCAGTCTGTAGGTGTTTTTTAATTATTTGTGTATTTATTTATTTTTTGAGATGGAGTCTCGCTCTGTCACCCAGGCTTGAGTGCAGTGGCGCGATCTCGCTGCACTGCAAGCTCCTCCTCCCAGGTTGACGCCATTCTCCTGCCTCAGCCTCCCCAGTAGCTGGGACTACAGGTGCCCGCCACCACGCCCGGCTAATTTTTTTTGTATTTTTAGTAGAGACGGGGTTTCACCGTGTTAGCCAGGATGGTCTTGATCTCCGACCTCGAGATCTGCCCGCCTTGGCCTCCTAAAATGCTGGGAGCCACTGCGCCCAGCCTCAAGTCTGTAGGTTTTTTAGGGTAATCTAACGTTATTGAAGACAATAAATAAGGCAAAATCGATGGGAAGTATAGAAAGTGAATTGAGTCGGATTATCAAAAAGCACTTCCTAGTAGCCAAGAGAATAAGACAGGATTGTGGGTGAGGAGGGAGGTGGAGAGTGGAGGAGAGCATTGGGTGGGTTTTTTTTTGTGTATCCTGGTCTCTGAAGATGCCCATGAACTCTAGTTGGGGTGACAGGTGGCCTGGCCTAAAGCAGTCAAGCTGATGGGTGGGATGATATCAGATTTCCACTAAGGGGGAATCACTGAGAGTTTGGGTTTGGAGTTTCCTTTCTGCTCTGGCCCTTGCAATAAGAAGAAGCAAATAAGTTTCACATTAATTACCCCATTTATTGCCCTCTATATCAATTGGAGCCCAATCAGGAAAATAGAAGGCAGTCTAGGCACCTCAAGGAGAAGACCGTTTAATTTAGGGAGTTGGTTACAAATGTCTTGGAAAAATGAATGAGCAAAGGGAGAAGGCGATGCTCTGAGTTGAGGGAGCTGCTACTGCCCGTGGGCTGGAACCAGAAGCACACACTTGCTGGTTAGCAGCTGGAAGCACTGCCACTGCCGAAACAGGCCTGCTGCCACTGCCGCTGCCGAGACAGGACGCTGCCACTGAGCCACAACCAAGGAGCCTGCCCTCCCAGGGATGCTGCTGGAACGCCTACCCTAGGGCCGCCATGGCTGCTGCCACTGCGGAAGTCACCTCCAGAAGCAGAGAAAGCTGCTATTCCCTTCCTCATGCCTTCCCATCTCTCACCACTTTATCCCATTGGCTGAACTTAACTGGAGTTCAGGAAGTGTCATTTGCAGGCTCCCAGGCCCTGCAAAAGAAAGATAGGAAAGAATGAATCTCAGAGCCAACAGGCAAAGGACCAGCACACCGTAGTAGCTAAAGCGGACCCCAGCCTCTTTCTCTCCTCCCTCCCCCAGATTATTGTCTTTCAACCTAACTGCTTCACAGCCTTTACACTAGAAGTAAGTGCATTGTTTGCAAATGTGTTTTGTGTCTCCCCTCACTAGAACAGATCGCCTTGAGGACGGGATTCTATCTTGTCTTCTACACTTTCTCCAACACTTAGAACAGGTGCCTGAGCCAGTGCTCAAAGAAATGTTCTTCCTGACTACTTTTGTCCTCTCTCAAGTAGAGAGAAGACAGAGTCTAACCCTGTTGCCCAGGCTAGAGTGCAGTGGCACGATTACAGCTCACTGCAGCCTCAACCTCTGAAGCTCAAGTGATCATCCTACCTTGGACTCCCAAGTAGCTGGGATTACAGGTGCACGCCACCATGCCCAGCTAATTTTTTTTTTTTTTTTTTTTTTTTGTAGAGAGGGAGTTTCGCCATGTTGCCCAGGCTGGTCGCGGACTCCTGAGCTCAAGCTCAGCCTCCCAAAGTGCTGGGATTACAGGAATGAGCCCATCCCACTCTCTACTTTTAATATACAAAGAAACCAAGGTCTAGAAAGCTCTGACTTGCCCAAAGGCATGCAGCTGCCATGACATGTCCTGCTGGCCAGCCTCAGAAAGGTCTTGGGTGAGGACAGGGCTGACTTGGCAGCTGCCCACTCCCTGCCATACCTCTGGGATCTGGCTGCCCCAAGCAAACTATAAGCCATGACGTTGATGCCTTTTTCACGTTTCCATGTGCTCTTGGAGCTGAGGGCAAGAAGGGGTGACTCAGCCGTGACCTCCTATGGGCTGGTAACTTCATTCTGCTCCAAGAAATAGGACATCCCGGTGGCTCTGCCAAAAGGGCCATGATGGAAATCAGGGCGTAGCAACTGAGGCAGGGACTGAGAGACAGGCACGAGGCCCGTGCTGGCCCCTCCCTCCTCAGTTCCCCAGGGTGGAGCGCTCAGTGGCAGAGTCACCGCTATACCTATACTTACGGCGACCATATTTCCCAAACCAAAAGTTCTTACATGTGGTTAGACACATATGACTGTCCCTATGAGGGAAATGGGAGAGAGAATTAGACATAGTGTCTATCCTAAGGTTTTTCAACCTCAGCACTATTGACATTTTCGGGCTGGATGATTCTTTGTTGAGGGCTGTCCTGCTCATTGTAGGATATTTAGCAGCATTCATGGCTGCTACCCACCAGATGCCAGTAACACCCCCAACCCCCAGTCATGAAACCAAAAACGCCTCCACTAGACATTGCCAAATGTCCCCTGGCCTTGGGGGGAGGCAGGGGTTCAAAAGCACTCCTGATTGAGAAGTACTGGTCTGTTCTTGAAACCCAGCGTGTATTCTATTCTGGACTGTCTAGGGGCCTGGAGATGGTGCCCAGTCTGATAGAGAAATATGGCCCTTGTCCCTCAAGGGAGACAGGCACAGTCCTGTCTCTAGTCTAAGGGTAGAGGTAGAGTCCTGCCCTTGGGGAACTCCTGAGCTAATGGGGGAGATTGGACAGTAGTCCCTAGACAGGTTGAAAACACAGTGGTCAAGAGCATGGACTTTGGTGCCAGAATGCCTGAATTCAAATCCTGGGTCTGCCATTCATAGCATAAGTTACCTCTTTGTGCCTCAGTTTCTTTATCTGTAAAATGGGCATAGTGATAGCATCTTTTTTTTTTTTTTTTTTTTTTGAGCCAGAGTCTCCCTCTGTTGCCCAGGCTGGAGTGCAATGGCGCAATGGCGGCTCACTGCAACCTCTGCCTCCTGGGCTCAAGTGATTCTCCTGCCTCAGCCTCCTGAGTAGCTGGGATTACAGGCGTGCGCCACCACGCCTGGCTAATTTTTGTATTTTTGGTAGAGATGGGGTTTCACCATGTTGGTCAGGCTGGTCTTGAATTTCTGACCTTGTGATCTGTCCGCTTCGGCCTCCCAAAGTGCTGGGATTACAGGCGTGAGCCACCCCACGCAGCCGATAGCATCTGTTTTTAGAATTTTATTACATTTAAAACTTTTTGTAACAAACTTTATTTTTTAGGACACTTTTAGATTTACAGAAAAATTAAGAAGTACAGAGTTCCCATCTATGTTACTGCCAGTTTTCCCAATTATTGACATTTGTTTCAATTAACGAACCAATATTGATACATTATTAGTATTGTTTTAAAGCCCCTAGTTAATTCATATTTTCTTAGTTTTTACTTGATGTTCTTTTTCTATGTCAGGCTCCCATTCAGGACATCACATCATATTTAGTTGTCATGTCTCCTTACGCTGCTGTTGGCTGTGACAGCTTCTTAGACTTTTCTTACTTTTGATGACCTTGAGAGCTTTGAGGAGCACTGGGCAGGTATACTGCAGGATGTCCTTCTGTTGGAATTTGCCTGATGCGTTTCTCATGATTAGACTGGGCTTATGGGTTTCTGGGAGGAAGACCACAGAGGTAAAGTACAATAGTCATGGGCCAGGCACGGTGACTCACACCTGTAATGCCAGCACTTTGGGAGGCTGAGGCGGGCGGATCATGAGGTCAGGAGTTCGAGACCAGCCTGGACAACATAGCCGGGTGTGGTGGCATGGACCTGTAGTCCCAGCTACTCAGGAGGCTGAGGCAGGAGAATCACTTGAACCCGGGAGGCAGAGGTTGCAGTGAGCTGAGATCGCGCTACTGCACTCCAGCCTGGGTGACAGAGTGAGACTCCGTCTCAAAAACGACAACAACAGAAAACAATAGTCATCAAATCATATCAATAGCACATCCTACGAACCATGACTTATAACCACTGATGTTAACCTTGGTCACTTGGCTGAGATCGTGTTTATCAGGTTTCTCCACAGTCAAGTTACCCCTCTCCTCTCCAAACTGTACTCTTTGGAAGGAAGTCACTATGTGCAGCCTATGCTTAAGGAGTCGGGAGCTCAGAGGGTTTTGGGGCATGTTGAATAAGGTTAGAAATGTAAAGTCCTTAGGGCAGTGCCTGCTGTGTGGCAAGCCCTATATAATGATTTACTGTTAGTGTGATGATGCCGAGACAGTCTGGAGGGGAGATCAGTGTCCACATAGAAAACATGCTTAGGACAGCTTGATAGATAGTGTACTGCATTAGGCCAAAGATGCCCCAGGAGTTTATGAGTATGTTACCATACAGGGCAAGAGGGACTTTGTAGATGTGATGAAGGGCGTGGAACCTTGAAATGGGAAGATTAGCCTGGATTATCCAGGTAGGCCAATCTCATCACATAAATCTTTAAAAGTGGAGAGCCTTGCCGGGCGCGGTGGCTCACGCCTGTAATCCCAGGACTTTGGGAGGCCGAGGTGGGTGGATCATGAGGTTAGGAGATCGAGACCATCCTGGTTAACATGGTGAAACCCCGTCTCTGCTAAAAAATAGAAAAAGTTAGCCGGGCATGATGGCGGGTGCCTGCAGTCCCAGCTACTCTGGAGGCTGAGGCAGGAGAATGGCGTGAACCCAGGAGGTGGAGCTTGCAGTGAGCCAAGATCGCGCCGCTGAACTCCAGCCTGGGAGACAGAGCGAGACTCCGTCTCAAAAAAGAAAAAAAAAAAAAAGTGGAGAGCGTTTTCTGGCAGAGATCAGAGAGAGAGTATGACAGCCTAGCAGAGGGCAGAGGCAGGCAGCAAGTGGGGGACTGTACCCTTCTTGGCCACCTTAGAGGGTAGAGAGAGGGAGCTAGGCCCCAGAAAGGCAGGCACTCTGCCAACACTTCAGCGTAGCCCCATGAGACGCGTGATGGGCCTCTGACCTGCAGAACTGCAGTAAGACAGGAAACTCACATTGTTTAAAGCCGCTGATGGAAGACTGGCAGCGATAGGAAACGAATTCATGTACTGACAAGCACAAGGCTGGAAGTGGAACCATAGTCCTAAAGCAAAAATGACTACTTACCAACTACGAATGAATCAGCCCTCCATCCTTGCAAGCTCAGTTTTTCCTAACAATAACAACCACGAAAAGAAATCAATGAGTCTACCATTTCTTGAGGGACAACTTCAGGCTAAGTGCTCCGCTAGGCCTTTTAAAATGTTGTGTCATGTAATCTTCACACCATGTAATACTCTTTCTATATTAATAGCGTAGACAGAGGGAGAGACCTCTTGTCCTTCCTTCTTCTCTCCCAGGTTAGCTCCTTGCTGATAATTAACTCTCAACAAGTCAAAATAAGCTCTTCAGTAAGCCAAAGTCCCTTTAAATCCAAAGAATTAGTTGGAGTGGTGTGTTTACTATCTTAGAGGCCTCAGTTCAAGAGTATCTAAAAGACAGTCTCGTAGGTTTGTCAGAACATCACCCGAATATCTGGAATATCCTGGAACCATTCATTCATTCAATACGCATCTGTTGAGCACCAACTCTTGAGCCCCTGCCCTCAAGAAGCTCAGTCTCTGTGGGGATAGTGAGGTGTGGACAGGCATCACCACAGCCTGGAGCAGTGTGGGTTGTAGCCGCCTTCAGGAAGCATACCGTGTTTATTTAACTGGGGAGGAGGCATAAGGCTGTGGCAATCTGGGAAGGCTTCAAGGACGTGGCGCATTTAACTTGGGCCTTTAAGAACAGGTAGGCTTCACTAAGCAAAGATAGTGCCAGAGGAATTCCAGGTAGGACAAGCAAACGCACAGAGGCAGGGGAACAGAGGCCCATGGATCTTCTATGTCTCATGGCATCCTTATTGAGTAGGTGCCAGTATTGTCCCCATTTTGTGGAAGAACAAACTGAGGCACAGAGCAGTTGAATGACCTGCCCTAGAGAACACTCAGCTTATAAATGGTAAGCTGGGTTTACAGCTGCAGTCTGACTACAGAACTCCCGCTCTTAGTCTTTTCTTCACATCTGCTGGGGAAATGCAAGTTTAGCAGGGTGAATTCAGATCATGGGTGCAAATAAGTGAAATGCATTTAACCATTCCCTTTGTCATTCAATAAATATTGACCACATACCCATTGGGTGCTAGCTCTGTGCTAGGGGACTTAGCAGTGCCCCCCAACCAGGAGCTCCCATCTGAAGGAGGAAGGAGATGTGTGGATGGAGACCTGCCTCACTACTCAGTGAGTGCCCCAAGAGAGGGGGACAGAGGAAGGAAATTGTGGATGTGAAAAGCTGGCTCCGGAGGAATCCTTTTTTTAGGAAGATAAGCGAGGGAGCCAAGTCAGTAGAGTCAGGGA
Source organism: Homo sapiens (assembly GCF_000001405.40). Lineage (NCBI taxonomy): Eukaryota > Metazoa > Chordata > Mammalia > Primates > Hominidae > Homo > Homo sapiens. Next base: position 41,625,753 of record NC_000006.12, on the reverse strand, counting down.
AAAGCAGTCCAAGAGCCAGAAGTCAAGCCAAGAGGGCAGAACCACACCCACCCCTAACATCTGCAGGACCCAGGAAACCCCACGAACCGCCTCTGGCTCACAGCCAGCCTCTTTCTGTTCACACTCCTGGCTTGTCTTGCAGAGTGAGGAGCGTCATGTGAATGAGCATGCCAGTGCCAGCAATGCCTTCAGGCTCTGGCCTATAAACAGCTCCACCTATAAACAGCTGCCCCTGGTTACTCCTCAGGCGAGGGGACATGTACCAGAATCACACTTTAGCCTCATAAGGACAAAGCCAGGAAAAGGAGGAAAATAAAACAAAACCAAAAACAAAGGGGCATGAAGAAGCTTTTGGAGGTAATGGCTGTGTTTGTTACCTTGATTGTGGTGACGTTTTCACAGGTATATGCATAAGTCTAAATGCATCAAATCGTATATAGGAGATGGGTGCAGTTTTTTGTGTATCAACAACAAAGAAGAAAAAGGAGGAGCAAGAGGAGGAAGAAAAACATAAAACAGACATATAAAAAGAAAATAGATGATGGGGCTGGGGGAGGGGAGGAAGGGGAAGTGATGCCAACGGGTGCAGGATTTCCTTTTGGGGAGATGAAAAGGATCTAAACGTGACTGTGGGGATGGCTCACAAAGCTGAATAAATGAAAAACCGTTGAATAGTATTTAAATCTGTGAACTGTATGATACATAAATTACATCTCAATAAAGCTGTTACAAAAAATAGCTATATGCTGGGGCACGTGGAAGCTTCAATAAGCTTCAAGGAATTGAAATAATATTTTAGAAAATAAAAAGAATAATAGGCCAGGCACGGTGGCTCATGCCTGTAATCCCAGCAGTTTGGGAGGCCAAAGTGGGCGGATTGCGAGGTCAAGAGATCGAGACCTTCCTGGCCAACATGGTGAAACCCCGACTCTACCAAAAATACAAAAATCAGCTGGGCGTGGTGGCGCGTACCTGTAGTCCCAGCTACTTGGGAGGCTGAGGGGGAATTGCTTGAACCTGGGAGGCTGAGGTTGGAGTGAGCCGAGATCACGCCACTGCACTCCAGCCTGACGACAGAGCAAGACTCCGTCTCAAAAAAAAAAAAGAATAATAGGGCAGGCCAGGTTCAGTGGCTCACGCCTGTAATCCCACACTTTGGGAGGCTGAGGCAGGTGGATCACTTGAGGTCAGGAGTTTGAGACCAGCCTGGCCAACATGGTGAAATCCTGTCTCTACTAAAAATAAAAAAAATTAGCTGGGTGTGGTGGCACGTGCCTGTGGTCCCAGCGACTCAGGAGGCTGAGGCAGGAGAATCACTTGAGCCCAGGAGGTGGAGGTTGCAGCAGTGAGCCAAGATCGTACCACTGCACTCCAGCCTGGATGACAGAGCAAGACTCCATCTCAAAAAAAAAAAAAGAAGAAGAATAGGACAAACTGAGGGAGGAAGCCCTTGCAGGCTCTAGAAGAGAGCCTAGGGCTATTGGGGCAAATAATGTCCAAACATTGGTTACCTGGCCCATGGCCCAGCGACAAGTTACACGTTCCAGGGAGGTGTGTTTCTTTGACCCCGTGAGCTCCCTGCTCTATCAGGGACCCTGGTTGTCCAGGTCTAAAGGCCATTTTGGATAGAATCATGGAAGCCCTAAGAACAGGTTTCAGCCTTTCTCCCTCTTCTCCAGGGAGGCTGAGTGGAGCAAGGATAAATAAGAGGCCACTGGCCGGGCGCGGTGGCTCACGCCTGTAATCTCATCACTTTGGGAGGCCAAGGCGGGTGGATCACCTGAGATCAGGAGTTCGAAACCAGCCTGACCAACATGGTGAAACCCAGTCTCTACTAAAAATAGAAAATTAGCCGGGCGTGATGGCGCATGCCTGTAATCCCAGCTACTAGGGAGGCTGAGGCAGGAGAATCGTTTGAACCCGGGAGGTGGCGGTTGCGGTGAGCCGAGATCATGCCACTGCACTCCAGCCTAGGCAACAAGACTGAAACTCCGTCTCAAAAAAAAAAGAAAGAAGAAAGAGAGGCCACAAGGTGCCCGGGGCTTGGTGAGAGAGCAGTGTCTGTGTTGCAGGGGCTTGTGGAGACGTCCCAGGGCATTAGGTGGGGAATGGAAGGTGGAAGGCACAGAGCACTCTTTCAAGAAATTTGGCAGTGAGAGGAAATATAGCAAGAGGAAAAGAGCTGGAGAGGGAGGGAGGACAGAGGGAATGTTTTTGTTTGTTTGCATTTAGAGGGCAGTAGACAGGAGTATGTTTTCGTCTGAGGGAAAAGGAGTGTGGAGAGAGAGAGGGACTGAAAAATCAGAGGTAGAGGGAAGGGAATGAAAAGGAAATATGACCAAAAAGGATCTTTTTTTTTTTTTTTTCAGATGGAGTTTCGCTCTTGTTGCCCAGGCTGGAGTGCAATGGTGCGTTCTCGCCTTCCCGCAACCTCCACTTCCCAGGTTCAAGCGATTCTCCTGCCTCAGCTGGGATTACAGGCATGCGCCACCACGCCCGGCTAATTTTGTATTTTTAGTAGAGACGGGGTTTCACCATGTTGGTCAGGCTGGTTTCTAACTCCTGACCTCAGGTGATCTGCCTGCCTCAGCCTCCCAAACTGCTGGGATTATAGGTGTGAGCCACCCTGCCCGGCCCCCAAAAAGTATCTTTTTACCTCATCAGCCAGGGGATTTGACAGCCTTATGAAAAAAGCAGGACCTCTCTTTCTCTGAGGCAAGGTAGGGGGTAGATTGAGGGAGCCCTACCTGGACGGTCTTGACTGTCCCTGAAATAATTACATGTATTGAACATTCACTCACTGTGTGCCAGGCACTGTTTTAAGTGTTAAGCATGTCATATCTTGCTCATTTCTCACAACCACCCTCAAGGTCAATACAATCATTGTTCCCTTCATTTGACAGTAGGGAAAACTCAGGCACAGAGAGGACTGGTAACTGGCCCAAAGTAATGCATTGAGTTAGCAATGCTCTTAGACATAGGCAGAGAGGCCTCTGACCTGAGGTCTGAATGTTTGAAGGCTCTGCACGTCATAGCCACCCAGAAAACAAACTTACTAACAAAGGAAGACTTCAGCTACTGGCCATAGTGAAGTTACAGAGATGAGATTTACTGTCCTGCCTTGAAAAACTAGGGCTCCAGATAAAGTAGATGAAACAATGATTTTTCAGACTTTGAACAAAGGCAACTCAGGACTATGATCTCTGAGAAAAGGGAAACAAAAAAGGTGAGCCCTATAATTACCTCCAGCTCACGGCCTGAGGCAGTTTGCAGGCTTCAGTACAGGGACAGGGAATCCAAACAGAGTTTGGAGTCTTGCTGATTGAGAAAACAGAGTTCAAGAGGCCAACGGGCTGGAATTTGCAGGGCAGAACACCAGAGAGCAGGGAGCTGAGCATATATCCAAAGATCTGCAGAGATGTCTTCTTAACTCTTTGGCTGAGTACTGATTTGCACATGCATGAAAGGCAAGGCCTGGGAAAGAACCACAGAAGGCAGAGCAGTGCCTGGGGCTCACACAGGGTTGAGATTAGTTTCTGTTCCCAAAAGGCAGAACGAAAAGACCTTGTAATACATGGGATATCAGGTACAATTCTCAAACGGGTATTGCCTTAGTAGAGGTCTAAATTAACCTTAGACTAACAGCTCCTCTGTATCTGTCCTAACAAATCTTAAAAGTAAGCATCAGAAGTAAAAATCTGATTCCAAATGTGTTAAGTGTGTGGCCAGAACCAAGTCTGACACTACTTAAAGGAATGCAACAAAATGCAGCCTCAAACAATGTAAAGTTCACAATGTTCAGAGTCCTGTCAAACTACAGATCAATTACCTCATAAACATAAATGCAAAAATTCTAAACAAAATTTTTGCAAATCAAGTCCAACAACATATAAAAAGTATAAAACACCATGGCTAAGTGGGGTTTATCTCAGGAACACAAAGTTGGTTTAATGTTTGAAAATCAATCAAATTTAATTCACTATATTAACAAACTAAAAAGTGAAAACCATGTGATCATTGCAATATATGCAGAAAAAACATTTGGTAAATCCAGTATTTATTCCTGATAAACACTCTCAGAAAACTAGGAATAGAAAGAAAGTTCCTCAATCTGATAAAGAGCATCTAAAAACAAACAAAGAAACAAACAAACACAACAAAAGGCATACAAAGAAATAGAAAGTGTGACCACAACCAATGGAAAAATCAATCAGTAGAAACAGACCCTGAAATGAAGAGATGAAGAAATTAGCAGAAAAGGACATTGAAAGAGATGACATAAATATGACTCATATATTCAAGAAGGTAGAGAAAATCATGAATATAATAATGAAAATGTGATTTCCAGGAACAAAAATATAGCATCTCAAATAAATAAAAAAATACAGTATATTAAATAAAAAATACACTGGAGTGGATAAAAAGCAGGTTAGATACTATAAAATAAATTATTTTGAAGATATAGCAATAAAAAAATCTAAATAAAATACAGAGAGAAAATGAGGGTGGGGGGAATAAACAGAGCATCAGTAACATTGGAGGTAATATCAGACAATCTAACACGTGTAATTGGAGACCCAGATAGGGTGAGGAGATAAAAAATGATATTTGAAGAAATAATGGTTAAGAATTTTCTAAATTTGCCAGGCACAGTGGCTCGTGCCCATAATCCCAGTGCTTTGGAAGGCAGAGGTGGACAGATCTCTTGAGGCCAGGAGTTCAAGGCCAGGCTGGCCAACATGGCAAAACCCTGTCTCCACCAAAAATACATACATTAGCTGGGTGTGGTGGCATGCACCTATATTCCCAGCTACTTGGGAGGCTGAGGCAGGAGGATGCTTGAACCTGGGAGGCAGAGGTTGCAGTGAGCCGAGATTTTGCCACTGCACTCTAGCCTGGATGACAGAGTGAAACCCGGTCCTCCCCCTGCCACCCCCCAAAAAATGCAAATTTGTTGGAAACTAAAAACAGCAGATTCAAGAGGCTCACGAACCCAGGCAGAAGAAACATGAAGAAAGCCACACAAAGACAAAGATACATCATAATCAAGTTGCTGAAAACCTGGCTGGGCACAGTGGCCTGTAATTCCAGCACTTTGGGAGGCCAAGGTGGGCAGATCCCTTGAGTTCAGGAGTTCCAGAGCAGCCTGGGCTACATAGTGAAACCCCGTCTCTACAAAGAAAAAAAAATTCTGAAAGCCAGTGTATTTGGTATTGAATTGTATTTGGAAAACCTGTGTATTTCAACTTGCATAAGGAGCCAAAGAGAAAAGAAGCATTTCACACAGAGAAACAAAGAAAAAGAATGACAATATATTTCTCGCAAGAAACTATAGGACATATATGGCAAGAAGCCATAGGACAATGGGAAGATATCTTTAAAGTACCAAAAGAAAAAATAAATTGTCAAGCTAGGTTTCTATACTCAGTGAAAACACCTTTCAAAAATGGGCTGGGCACGGTGGCTGATGCTAATCCCAGCACTTCGGAAGGTGGAGGTGGGAGGATCACTTGAACCCAGGACTTTGAGATAAGGCAACATAGTGAGGCCCTGTTTCTATTAAATATATATAGGAGGACTAACACTAACTGATTTCAAGACTTACCATAAAATTACAGTGTGATATTCATGTACAGACAAATAATTAACTGGTATTCACCAATTATAATTTGTATTTTTTCCTTTTCAATTGTAATAGATAATGCTGAATATTTTAAAATAAAAAATTTATATTTTAAAGTAAATGATTCTAATTTTTGATTTTATTACATTTACTTTAAATGCATTCATAATAATACATTTAAATGTATATTTTGAACACAATTATTTTATTTTTAATCTTTATATTATTACTATTAATAAATTACGTGAAAATCTTGATTATAAAAACATACCTGATTTTACTGAAATGAAAGCATGAAAAAGAAATGTTACAGAAGACAATATTATACCTCATGAATCACAGATGTTTTATTGATTTTTCATCCAAACATTGACAGCCCAACAAGAGGACCCACAGACATGCAGTATTAATTAAATTCGGTGATTTTAGTCTCGGAGCCGTGGCTTATACCTGTAATCCCAGCACTTTGGGAGACCAAGGCAGGAAGATCACTTGAGGCCAGGTGTTTGAGACCAGCCTGGCCAACATGATAAAATCCCATCTCTGTTAAAAATACAAAAATTAGCCAGGTGTTGGGGCACATGCCTATAGTCCCAGCTACTTGGGAGGCTGAGGCACGAGAATCTCTTGAACCGGGGAGGCAGAGGTTGCAGTGAGCTGAGATCACACCACTGTACTCCAGCCTGGCACAACAGAGTGAGACCCTGTCTCGATAAATAAATAAATAAATAAATAAATAAATAAATAAATAAATAAATAAATTCAATTACTGTTATATTTTGCTATCTTTTATCATATGAAAACCTAGCTCTGCAGGTGCATGTGCACACACACACGTATTTTTTGGTTACTAGGAAGATATGTTTGCCAGCTAGGAAGCTGGGACATAGTTTATGTAATGGGTGGACAGCTTTATTTGTAACCCTTAACTATCAAGACGCCTCCTTTGGGAGGCTCCTTTGCACTCTTGCCCTGGGCTGCAAATGTGAGGGGTGGGGTGTGCCCGGCAGGTGATAGACCCAGGACTTTACCCATGTGTTCTGGCCCCAGGACCCACTGCACCACCCTCCATGGGAAGAGAGAGTGGGGAGAGTGTTTGGGGAGAGTACAGCATGGAGAAGTTTCTGGAAGAGGCTTGCAAATATGCCACAAAAGCTCTGTGGGGCTGGAATTTAATATTGAGGAGGAAATGTTTGATGGGTGAGGGTGGTAAAGAGGACAGATTAAGGGTGTGAGGTCTGCGGGTATTGACTATTTCTCTGGGGACAAAGGGGTGTTATCAGAAGACAGCTTGTAGCCTGGAGCTGAGCAGCCCTTGGGCTCTGATGCCTGTGTTGAAGTGGCTCTCTTTATTTAGCTAACTCCCTACTGCCTTCAGGAATGGAAAGCCAGTGTCACTTGGCAATCTTAAAAATGCATGCTGGGGAAACAAAGCAAGGTGCTACATTTTAATACTTTTGCTGCCAGATGCTGCTAAATTCTGACCCAGCGATTCACTGGTGCTTGAGAGCCGTTGCAGATAGGCTGCACTAGGCTGAGATGATTCTCTTTGATGGTGTCAGAAGAATTGAAAGAGAATTCAAAATGCAAATTTGCTGCTTCCCAAGGTCCACCAAATCATCTTCAGGACCCCAGTGGTACAGTCAGCGTGGTCTGGGAAAGTCTGGGAGAGGGTGCTAGTCCAGTTGGGCAAGCCAGGCTTCCACCACTTGTCCAAACTTACATGCCGGGTATGCTGTTTTCAAAGACAGCCACAATTTCTCCTCTCCCTAGGTCGTGTCACTCCTCCTACCAGGAGGTAGAGGCTGTTTCCCCTCCCCTTGATTCTGGGCTGGCCTTGGAACTGGCTTTGACCAACAGAACGCACCAAAAGTGTTGCAGTGTCAGTTCCAGCCTGGGCTTTAAGAGGCCTGGCTGCTTCTGCCTGTATTCTCTTGGAGCCTTGGGCCACCATACAAGAAGTCAGTCCACCCTGCTCGAGAAAGAAGGTCAGCCAGCCTCCACCCCTTCCAGCCACCCCAGCTGAATGGCCAGCTGAATGCAAACAAATGAGCAATGCCAGCCAAAACATAATGGGTAGCTGCTGTTTTTTTGTTTTTGTTTTTGTTTTTTTAGATGGAGTCTCGCTCTGTCATCCAGGCTGGAGTGCAGTGGCGCTATCTCGGCTTACTGCAGCCTCCGCCTCCCGGGTTCAAGGGATTCTCCTGCTTCAGCCTACTGAGTAGCTGGGATTACAGGCACCCGCCACCACGCCCGGCTAATTTTTGTATTTTTAGTAGAGACGGGGTTTCATCATGTTGGCCAGGCTGGTCTCGAACTCCTGGCCTCAGGTGATCCTCTCAACTTGTCCTCCCAAAGTGCTGGGATTACAAGCGTGAGCCACCACGCCCAGCCTAGCTGCTGTTTTTTTTTTTTTCTACTAACTTGTCATTTACTACAATGGCATTTTAAATGGGGTTCCTAATATATTGGGCTGAAATTTTTAAATGAACATGTAAAGATTCATAGGTAATATGCTGTTTGGTTTACTTGAGTGTAGCTTTCATATTTAAAGTTGATATAAAATAAATTGTGTTTACAGTGGCATTTAAAATGGGGTTCCTAATATATTGGGCTGAAATTTTTATTTTATTTATTTATTTATTTAGAGATGGAACCTCACTCTGTCACCCAGGCTGGAGTGCAGTGGGGTGATCTTAGCTCACTGCAACCTCCACCTCCCAGCTTCAAGCAATTCTCGTGCTTCAGCCTCCTGAGTAGCTGGGAATATAGGTGTGCGCCATACTCAGCCAATTTTTTTTGTATTTTTAGTAAAGACAGGGTTTCACCATGTTGGCCAGGCTGGTCTCGAACTCCTGACCTCAGGTGATCTGCCCACCTCAGTCCTCCAAAGTGCTGGGATTACAGGCATGAGCCACTGCACCTGGCCTGAATTTTTTTTTTTTTTTTTTATTGTTCATTCTTGGGTGTTTCTCGCAGAGGGGGATTTGGCAGGGTCATAGGACAATAGTGGAGGGAAGGTCAGCAGATAAACAAGTGAACAAAGGTCTCTGGTTTTCCTAGGCAGAGGACCCTGCAGCCTTCCGCAGTGTTTGTGTCCCTGGGTACTTGAGATTAGGGAGTGGTGATGACTCTTGACGAGCATGCTGCCTTCAAGCATCTGTTTAACAAAGCACATCTTGCACCGCCCTTAATCCATTTAACCCTGAGTGGACACAGCACATGTTTCAGAGAGCACAGGGTTGGGGTTAAGGTCACAGATCAACAGGATAAGAATTTTTCTTAGTACAGAGCAAAATGAAAAGTCTCCCATGTCTACCTCTCTCTACACAGACACGGCAACCATCCGATTTCTCAATCTTTTCCCCACCTTTCCCCCCTTTCTACTCCACAAAACCGCCATTGTCATCATGGCCCGTTCTCAATGAGCTGCTGGGTACACCTCCCAGACGGGGTGGTGGCCGGGCAGAGGGGCTCCTCACTTCCCAGTAGGGGCGGCCGGGCAGAGGCGCCCCTCACCTCCCCGGGTGGGGCGGCTGGCCGGGCGGGGGGCTGTCCCCCCCACCTCCCTCCCGGACGGGGCGGCTGGCCGGGCAGAGGGGCTCCTCACTTCCCAGTAGGGGCGGCCGGGCAGAGGCGCCCCTCACCTCCCGGACGGGGCGGCTGGCCGGGCCGGGGGCTGACCCCCCCACCTCCCTCCCAGACGGGGCGGCTGGCCGGGGCTGACCCCCCCACCTCCTTCCCGGACGAGGCGGCTGGCTGGGCAGAGGGGCTCCTCACTTCCCGGTAGGGGCGGCCGGGCAGAGGCGCCCCTCACCTCCCGGACAGGTCGGCTCTAGCTGCTGTTTTAAGTCACCACATTTGAAAGTGATTTTTGCACTTTGTAGAGCTTTCCAAGTGTTATTTTTTTACAACACAATGTTCCCCACAACATTCCTATGAGAGTGTTATCTTTTTTTAATATGAAAATTTTATAATAAAATTATTTTAAACATCCCCCGCCCCGGCCATTTGCTAAATTAAATCCATTGACTCATTCTGCTCTAAAAATAAGGGAGACTGTTTGATATGATCATATAAAATTGGTCACGTTCTTGTTTGAAGTTTGAGGAGTTTTTGGCGTAGAAACTGCACAAATAAACATTTCTTTGTTGTAGTTTTTAAATTTTAGTTGACATGTAATAATTGTACATATTTACTGGATACAGAGTGATATTTTGATACATGCATATGATGTGTAGTGATCAAATCAGAATAATTAGCATATCCATCATCTCAATCATTTATCATTTATTTGTGTTATGAGAGTGTTATCTCCAGCTCCACTTTACAGATGAGAAAACCAAGGCTCAGAAGGGTAACCGCTGGATTCCATGAGCTGAGGGATCACGTCAGACTCCCTTTGGGGAAAGCGTCATCTGCTTCCTTTCTCTTGAACTCTCGGCTCCCCTCAGCCTTTTCTGTCTCAGACTCAGGCATCCCGCCCAACATGCTTCTTGGGTCACCAAGCTGACCCTGAAATCCCTCCTCCCTCTGGATTAGCTGGACGCTCTCTGGTGGGTGAGAGGGGAGGGATAAGTTTGACTGTTCAGCATGCTAATATGTCCCCAAGCAAGTCAAGCAGGGTGTCCTCGCTAAGCCACACTGGGACTCCGAGTTGAGCTATATGCAGAACTGGTTGACTAGGGGCCCCTCTGGGCATCTTTTTGCATGAATTTACCAGTGTGCTGGCGGGCATTCCTTCGGAGGCCTCAGAAGAAAAGGGAAGTTTCTGGAGCAGTTGCCTGGGACAGAGGTTCAGATGGAAGGGAAGGCATGAATACAACAGAGGGTGTGGTAGAATCTGAAGTGTCGTTCAATCTCTGGTCCATACTTCCCCGGAAATGTTGGAACACTGAAAGCAGCATTGTTCAAAACTTCCTTTCCATAAGGATTTAGGTAGATAATGTCATACCTTTGGTGGTGTTTGGAAGGCAGAAGCAAAGCAGAGGCCACTTTCTTGCCCCTTTCGCAGCTTTTGTTCCCAGGTGAGGTGGTGGAGATGTGAAGTGTTTCTGCAACAACATTCCAGGATCCATTCTGGAGTTTGCTGGGTGTTGACAGGAGGGTTTGGGGCAGCAGTAGCAGCTTCCTGAGCCCTGGATTGCAGCCATGGGGTGTGTTCTTAAACTTTTAGCTCCAGTGGGGCCTCAGAGGGAGGAGTCCCCTGGTGGGCCCCAGGTGGCTACCTCCTCTTCTGTGGAATGCTGTTCTCTTGAGAGGCTTGGGCGATGTTACACAATTCCGTTAGGAGCCACCTGAGCCTCTCTAATACCTCCTCCTTCTGGATGGCTTCATCTTCCCTCCTCTTGTTCTCTCTGTTCTCTCTCTTTAAGTCCTCTCCCCAAGAGAGCTGCTTGTCTAACTCACCACCTGAGCATTGGGGAACATGTCATTTCTACTCTGTGGGCCTCAGTTTTCTAACCTGTAAAATGATAGGGTTGCAATGAAAGTTCTCTTCTAGCTTGAACCTGCAATGATTCATTCCACAAATGTGTAATTGCAGTCCGCCAGGTTCTGGGCTAGGTGGTGGGCCACAGGATGAAGGGGTCTGGTCCCTGTCCTAGTGGCTCTCACCTTCTGGAGGACACACAGATGAGTAAGCACGGAATGACAACCCAGAGAGCTCCGGACCGGGTTGAGAGCATCATCAGTTGGTTCCACTGAGCTTACTAAGAAAGGCAGGAGCATCCTGACTGCCCCTGCCTCTCCTGCCTGCTCCCTAGACACAGCCACTTTCAGTTCTTCTAGAGGATTCTTTTGATTTTCAGCATCATATGGGTTGAAAAGAGACTTGCATTGCTACTTTTTGATTTTTCAGTTTCAGGTACTCATTAAGCCCACACTCCATGAGACGTGGATTCAATCCCTTTCACCCGCTCACCCCCTTGTAACCTTCCCCCAGCAATCCCTGCCTGTCTCCCCTACTCCCAATACGGTTACACCATCCTTTTGGTTAAATTAGGATTCTGTGTTTTCATTATTAAGACTAACTGTCATGTACAGCTAAACCACATAGTATGTTATTATTACTTTTCCTTCAACATTTTGCTTAGTTCTCTTTATTATCATATTAGGGATTCAACCCCAAATCGTCCCCATAGTACACTAGATCTCACCAGTGTGTTCACATGTCAGGCATTCTGTGAGTTTCATCTTCTGCGGGAACTCCCTTCCAGAGCCTTTGCCTTCTTTGTTCTGGCCTCGTAGCTCTTTCCTCCCGGGTTGGGGTCCTCTAACCTCTTCCTTATGCCCATCCTCTGCTTCCCTTTTCTTGTTTTTGGTGGAACACATCCTTCACCCCCCTATTGTGAGAAGTGGTGAGTGGAGCTGCATTTTGGGAATTTGCATGTCTCAACATGTTTTTATCCTGCACTTAATTAATAGTTTGGCAGAGCATGGCATTTTAGCTTGGAAACAATTTTCTCTTAGAGCTTCAAAGGCAATGTTCCATTATTTTCTATGACAGTGTTGTACATTCCAATACTGTTTTTAATGTGCTCCAGGTGTTTGTAGGATCGTCTCTTGTCTGCCATGTTCTGAATTCCTTGATGATGTGCTTTGGTGAAGGTACATTTTTACACACACTTTGACCCATTCAGTTAGACAAGATAGAAACTCATGTTGATCAATTCTGGGGCATGGTTTTAAGTTACTTAGGAGTTTTCTCTTTCCTGATTCTCTCTTTATAGGCCTCCTATTATTTAGATGTTGGACCTCCTGAACTGGTCCTCTAATTTTATTTTTTCTCTTCTGTTTCCGTTTGCTGCTGTTTTATTTGCTGTACTTTGTGGAAAATCTCTTTGACTTCCAGCCTTCCTGCTGTAGTTTTCATTTCTGCTATCATATTTTTAATTTCTTTTTTTTTTTTTTTTTTTTTTTTTGAGACGGAGTCTCGCTCTGTCGCCCAGGTCGGACTGCGGACTGCAGTGGCGCAATCTCGGCTCACTGCAAGCTCCGCTTCCCGGGTTCACGCCATTCTCCTGCCTCAGCCTCCCGAGTAGCTGGGACTACAGGCGCCCGCCACCGCGCCCGGCTAATTTTTTGTATTTTTAGTAGAGACGGGGTTTCACCTTGTTAGCCAGGAAGGTCTCGATCTCCTGACCTCATGATCCACCCGCCTCGGCCTCCCAAAGTGCTGGGATTACAGGCGTGAGCCACCGCGCCCGGCCCATATTTTTAATTTCTAAGACCTCATTTTGTTCTTGGAATGTTCATTTTTGTAACTTCATCTTATTTCATGAATGCGATATCACATCTCCTTAAGAATAAGTGATTTTTAAGTTTTCCTCTATCTGCTTAGTAATATCCTCTGTGTTGCTTTTTGTCTGTTTTTATTTCTGTTTTTCATATTAGGTGTTCTACTCATATCTCTGTTGGTCCTTGCATTTTTATTGAAGAATAGGATTCTAAAAGCTCTGTGTCTGCGAGTGGGCCTTGCTGACCTGACCTTTGGGAACCCTTGATGTCTATGGCTCTCAATCCCCCTGGAGTGTCCCTGCTTCAACCACATCAGTATCTCCCAGCCCAAAGACCCTCTACCCCTCCAGAATATTCATCTCCCATCATCTGCCATGGTATGGGGAGGAGAAGAGGCCTGCCTGTACGGAGTGGCAGAGTGGGGTAGGGGGTCTGGAGGACTCACTACTCCCTAAACTGACTTTCAACCAGTTTGCCTGATTTTTCTTTTTTTCTTTTAAAAAAAAATAGGCTTGTCAGAGCATGGTGGCTCACGCCTGTAATCCCAGCACTTTGGCAGGCCGAGGCAGGTGGATCACCTGAGGTCAGGAGTTTGAGACCAGCCTGACCAACATGGTGAAACCCCGTCTCTACCAAAAATACAAACATCAGCTGGGCGCGGTGGTGCATGCCTGTAATCCCAGCTACTTGGGAGGCTGAGGCAGGAGAATCGCTTGAACCCAGGAAGCGGAGGTTGCAGTGAGCCAAGATTGCATCACTGCACTCCATCTTGGGTGACAGAGTGAGATTCTGTCTCAAAAAAAAGGCTTTTTTTTTTTAGAGCAGTTTTAGCTTCACAGCAAAATTGAGTGGAAAGTACAGAGAATTCCCATACACCCCCTACCCCACACATGCACAGCCTCTTCCATGATTAACGTCCCCGCTGGAGTGGTACGTTTGTTACAATCTCTGGACCTACACTGACCATCGTTGTCACCCAAAGTCCACAGCAGTTCATTCTTGGTGTACATTCTGTGGGTGTGGACAAATGTATAATGGCATGTACCCACCATTATAGTATCACCCAGGGTATTTTCCCTGTCCTATAATCCTCTGTGCTCTGCCCATTCATCCTTCCCTCCCCTCCAGTCCCTGGCAACCACTTGTCATTTACTTGGTTAAAGATTTGCCATTACTCCCACTTCTTTTCCTTTTTTTCCTTTTTGAGACAGAGTCTTGCTCTGTCACCCAGGCTGGAGTGCAGTGGCACGATTTTGGCTCACTGCAACCTCCGCCTCTCAGGTTCAAGCGATTCTCTTGCTTCAGCCTCCCAAGTAGCTGGGACTACAGGCGTGCACCACCACACCCAACTAATGTTTGTAGTTTTAGTAGAGATGGGGTCTCACCATGTTGGACAGGCTGGTCTTGAACTCCTGACCTTAAGTGATCTGCCTGCCTTGGCCTCCCAAAGTGCTGGGATTACAGGTGTGAGCCACTGTGCCTGGCCATTACCTCCACTTCTAGAAGTACCCAGTGCCAGCCAACAGTCCCTGAGCCTTGGTGGGGAGGGCCACATGCAGGGTGGGCTGCCTCTCAGCTCTTCTCATGCTGCCTTAGGACTCAGCTGTCTCTGCCTATCCTCTCCAAGGGTTCCAGAATGTGTTGCTGTTGTCTCCAGTCTGGTTCTATTTGTCTCTCTGAGGCTATTCCTTAAAAGAAAAATCCCTCTACTGTAGCTCAGTAGGGCTCCAGGACGGCATGAAGGAAAGTGCATGAGCTCAATCTGCCATGTTTATTAGAGGCTGCTCCCATTGGGTTTTCTGATGTCACCTCAAATTCAACTTGACCCAGACCAATCCTCTCATCGTGTACTACAAATCGAGTTTCTGCTCCGTATATCCTGACTTCCGCCAGTGGCTTCTGCCACTCCGTTACCTAAGGCTGAAAGCCATAGTTTCCCTGTATATCTTTGTTTTTTTTGCCTCCCACCTGTGGAACCAGTCTCACCTCTTCTCTTCCTTTGTGGGTGGGGCATCCCTTCCATTTCCCTTCCTCTCTGTTCACAGCCACCACCCCCATCCAGCTTCTCACACCCAGGCCTGAATGAATGGCCTGTTGATTTTCAAGCTTGTCCCCCTCACATCTAATCTACAAATGCCTCTTATAAAAAAAAAATCATGATCATATCATTCCTCCACTCAAAAATATAGTTTTTATTTTTATTTATTTATTTATTTATTTATTTATTTATTTATTTATTTTGAGACAGAGTCTCGCTCTGTCGCCCAGGCTGGAGTGCAGTGGCGTGATCTCAGCTCACTGCAACCTCTGTCTCCTGGGTTCAAGCAATTCTCCTACCTCAGCCTCCCAAGTAACTGGGATTACAGGCACCCGCCACCACGCCCGGCTAGTTTTTGCATTTTTAGTAGAGACGGGGGCTTCACCACGTTGGCCAGGCTGGTTTTGAACTCTTGACCTCGGGCAATCCGCCCACCTTGGTCTCTCAAAACGTTGGGATTACAGGCGTGAGCCACTGTGCCCGGCCAAATACTAGACAAAATATTTCGTCTAGAGTAAAAAGTCCAAAGTTCTGAGTCAGGCCAGTGATTTTCCATAATCTGACTCCAATCTATGTCTCTGGGCCTAATTCTCCTACCATGACTGCTGGACACGGGCACTCTGAACAGATCAGCTCCTTTCAGACGCTGTGCCCTTCACGTGCTGTCCTCTCTGCTCAGGCACCTCTCAACATCCAGCTCAAGTGCTTCCCTGGTGTGAAGTTTCCCAGGTTACCCCAGGGAAGTTGCACACATCCTTTTCTGGGTTCCCATCCCCAAACTGAATGTTGTATTGTCATTCTTCTGCTTATATATCTGTCTATATCTATAAGCTTCATATATATATATGTCATTCTTCTGCTTATATATGTATCTGTTTGGAGTTCTTTGAGGAGACAGACTGTGTCTTATTCATCTTGTACTTTCAGAGCTCAGCTTGGTGCCTTGTATGCAGAAAGTTCTCAATAAATTTTGAATGTATGAATGATTAACCTCGGTTATACTTCATAATTTGTTGCTTTCTATTCTTTTCTATGCAGCTGCCTTCTCTGTCACCATATTAATAACAATTTTTATGGGAAAGACTTTTGTAAAATTAAACTCCTTGGGAGTGTCATAAGAAGACCCTTTTCTATATGGGGAGTGCTTACAGCAGAAGGGAGTCAAGCATATTCTTTTGTATGGGGCCTTATCTTGACTTATTTTACTTCTTTACATATCGGTGTTATTTTCTTTCTTTCTTTTTTTTTTTAATTTTTAAATTTTTTTAGACGGAGTCTTGCTCTGTCGGCCAGCTGATTCTCCTGCCTCAGCCTCCCCAGTAGCTGGGATTACAGGTGCCTGCCACCACATCTAATTTTTTTAAATATTTTTTTTTTAGTAGAGATAGGGTTTGGCCATGTTGGTCAGGCTGGTTTTGAACTCCTGACCTCAAGTGATCCGCCTGCCTCGGCCTCCCAATGTGCTAGGATTACATGTGTGAGCCACTGCGCCCGGACAACCTATCAGTGTTCTTTTTCCAGCTGCTCTGTTAGCCCCTCAGGGTAGGGCCTGTGCCTACTCATTGCTTTCCATATTACCTGTAACACCCAGCCCCAGGCTGGGTGTAGAATCGATGCTCAATAAAGGTTTGTGGATTGACTGGGTGCGCTCTGGGATAGGGAAAGATACACACGTCAGTTTGGGGTGATTCTCCAATGCGGAAGCAAAGTCAGGAAGCTGGGGGTGGGTCGTGGCAAAGGTGTGACAGCTGAGGACCAGAGCGGGTTGTGGGAGAGGGCACCCGGGGACAGCCAATGACAGCTGAGCAGTCTTTGCAAAGCAGGAAGCAAGAGAAGGATGAGGAAGGAATTCCACGGAAGAAGTAGGAGAGAAACTTGTGTGAATGGTGTAGTGGTTGGGTGGGGGTGGCGACTGCAATAGAGGAGGGGTGCAGGGAGGTGAGAAGGCTCCTGGGGTGAAGGCCTTAGCAGGTCTAACAGGCAGGCCAGCCCTGTGTTCCCTGCCACCTCCCTTGCCTCCTGTTCACACAGGTGCTCCACACTGCGGCCCATCTGCCAGAGCCGCCTTTGTCTTAACTATTGAGGAGCCCCTGAACCGCCTCATACCCTCCTTCAGTGTCACCAAGCCCAGGCCTCTGCTTGGGGATGGGATTCCCACCCGCTCTTGACTTCCCACTGCCAGCTGTGAGTCCCATGACTGTTTCTAGGCTGCCCTTCCCAGAAGGGGTCCCCTGTTCCTGAGTTCTCGGGGAGATAACAAGGAAGGAGACATCAGAACCAGGGGAACTGCTGAGTCTGCTGGAGAAGGGCTGGCTCATGTATGCACTCATAAAGAGGTATATAATCTGAGCCCATTCTGCCTTTTCCCTTGCTTTTTTTTTTTTTTTAATTGAGACAGAGTCTCGCTCTGTCTGCAACCTATGCTGCCTGAGTTCAAGTTATTCTCATGCCTCAGCCTCCCGAGTAGCTGGGACTAGAGGCGCACACCACCATGCCAGGCTTTTTTTTTTTTTTTTGTATTTTTAGTAGAGACAGGGTTTCGCCATGTTGGCCAGACTGGTCTCGAACTCCTGACCTCAAGTGATCCACCCGCCTCAGCCTCCCAAAGTGCTGGGATTACAGGCATGAGCCATCATACCCGGCCCCATGCTCCTTAAAAATACACTGAGGCACATATAACCATCACTGCTGAGAAAATTAATAATAAAACATTTTCTTGACATTCCTTGGCTATGTCCCACCTCCTCTCAACCTCTGGGGGTCTCCTCTCTCTCTCCCTTTGCTGCTTACTAAACTCACTGAAAGAGAGACGTACACCTGTGCCTCTACTTGCCCTCCACATACAGACTCCCTAACCCAGGAGTCCCCAACCCCCAGGCCGTGGACCTGCTCCGTGGCCTGCTAGGAACTGGGCCGCACAGCAGGAGGGGAGCGGCTGACAAGGGAGCATAACCACCCGAGCTCCGCCTCTGTCAGCTCAGCGGTGGCACTAGATTCTCACAGGAGTGTGAAGTCTATTGTGACCTGTGCATGCAAGGGATCTAGACTGTGTGCTCCTTATGAGAATCTAATGGCTGATGATCTGAAGTGGAACAGTTTCATCCCGAAACTATCCCCTCACCCCCACCCTGGTCCATGGAAAAATTGTCTTCCACGAAACCAGTCCCTGGTGCCAAAAAGGTTGGGGACCGCTGCCCTAACCCACCATTCTGCCCTCACTCTTCTTAGAAACTATTCTGTCCTAGGGCATCAGAAGCTTCCAGTTGCCAAGTCCATGGAAGCAGCTCCCAGGCCTCGAATTTTGGGAACCCTTTGGCCTCTGTCACAGTGAACCCTCAGGACTGCCCTCTCTTGTGGTTCTCCTTCCTTGCCATCCCCGGACTATCCCCACCTTCCTTTGTGGCCACATCTCCTGCCCCACCACCAGATGTGGGCCCAGATGTGCTTTGCCAATTTCCATCTGTCCAGTCCTGGGCATGGGAGCCACTTGATGTCCTGCCACCCCTGCAAACCCCTTTAACATTTTATCTTTTCCCTTGCTTGTCTTGAGCCCACAGGGGCTGAGAGGATAAGAATTATTCCTGTGGCACGGACCCCAAATCTTGGGGCCATTCTTCTTTTATTTATTGATTTATTTATTAAATCCCCCCTTTATTTATTTATTTATTTATTTATTTATTTATTTATTTATATATTTATTTATTTAAAGGCAGGGTCTCACTCTCTTGCCCAGGCTGGAGTGCAGTGGCACGATCTCAGCTCACTGGAGCCTCCGCCTCCCGGGTTCAAGCAATTCTCCCACCTCAACCTCCCGAGTAGCTGGGATTACAGGTGCGCCCGGCAAATTTTTGCATTTTTAGTAGAGACGGGTTTCACCATGTTAGTCTGGGTGGTCCCGAACTCCGACCTCAGGTGATCTGCCCACCTCAGCCTCCCAAAGTGCTGGGATTACAGGCATGAGCCACTGCACCTGGCCCATTCTTTTTTTATTTTTAAGTGAAATATTCCAGCCACAAAAAGGTACAGAGAAGAACAGATTTAACCTCTGTGTTCCCACCACCCAGCTCCAATACTAACCATTACCAACAGACTTGAAGCCCCTTGAATACTCCTCCCCATTGCATCCCCCTCCCCAGAGTGACAGCCACCATCTTGAATTTGTTATTTATCATTCCTACAAATTATTTAAATGTTTGCTACATGTGTGCCCATACATGATATATAGAATTATTACATGTTTTCAAACATTATACAAATGAGAACAGTCTCTATGTATCTTTCTTCAACTTACTTTTTTTTTTTTTGCTCAAATTTACCCTGCTGATGGGAGCTCTTTATTTATTCTCTTTGCAATATAATATTCCATTGTCAAATGTGCCACACTTGATTTCCCTCTCTCCTGCGAATAGACATTTAGGAAGACCCCGTTGAGCTCGTTCCTGACCTCCTTTCTCTCAGGTAGCCAACAGCCCCTCTTTTACTCTGTTGTTTTGCAAAAAGCCTCCTGACACTATTTTCCAAAGCAACCCCCCACCCTACTTAGGCCTTCATCATCTGTCACCTGGACAATCCCAAGAGTCACCTAATTGGCTCCTGTCACCCTATATGGTTCCACTTGGCCTATTCCCCCAATCTCAGGTCAATCCTGTTACTTCTCTGCTCTAAATGCCCCTGTGGGCACAGCTCCCCCAAGCCCCAGCTTGGTCCCCAGCTTGACCTCCGGGGTCCTCCCCTGTCTGGTGCCTGCCTTTCCACTATCACCTCCCAGTAACCCAGTCTCCCTGTCCAGCCTTCCTGGCTGTCCCCAGGTGTCCTGCCCAGTCCACCTGTGTGTTTTCAGCTATCCCCTGCCTTGCAAACTTTCCTGCTAAGTCGAATCTCTATGGCTCTGCTCTGCACACCTCTGAAGGTCACAGCACCACTCACTGGCCCCTGCCACACCTGTGAAGTACCTATTTAAGTCCAAGACAGTCCCTCTGTGGATGGAAACTCCCCAGTGGCATCAACAGCAGCAGCAGCATCGCCACTTACTGGCATTAGCAGGTGTGGGCATGCTCATGCCACCAAGTCGGGTAATTCTCCCCTTAACCTTCTGAGTAGTCAGGGAGTCCTAGGGCCACTTTATAGGAAACCACACCCCAATTCACCTGCCCAAAGCCCAGGGCCAGTCAGTTGGTAATGACAGGGATGGGGCCAGGTTTCTTTTTTTTTTTTTTTAGACGGAGTCTCGCTCTGTTGCCCAGGCTGGACTGCAGTGGCACAATCTCGGCTCACTGCAAGCTCCACCTCCCGGGTTCACGCCATTCTCCTGCCTCAGCCTCCTGAGTAGCTGGGACTACAGGCGCCCGCGACCACGCCTGGCTAATTTTTTGTATTTTTAGTAGAGACGGGGTTTCACCGTGTTAGCCAGGATGGTCTCCATCTCCTGACCTTGTGATCCGCCCACCTTGGCCTCCCAAAGTGCTGGGATTACAGGCGTGAGCCACCGCGCCCGGCCCCGGGGCCAGGTTTCTAAGACCCTGTTGACCTCCTTGCCTCGGCCTCTGTCTCTGCTGCCTCCATTTAATTTTTTGTTTTCTTCCACATTAACCTTCCCTAAGCTCCATCTCAGTTCCCCTGCAGGCCTAGAATGTTCTTTCTTCTCCCCTCTTTCTACCCAAATTTCCCCTCCTCAGCTCCAGAACTCTTCCAGGGAGTCTTCCAGGATACACTGGTCCCCAGTAAGCACTTAGGTCCCTCTGAGCCCCTATGGTGACTGGCACCCAGGACTCCATTTTATTAACAGCCATTATGTATTGAGGGCATATTATGCACCAGACATCTTTTTTTTTTTTTTTTTTTTTTTGAGACGGAGTCTCGCTCTGTCGCCCAGGCCGGACTGCGGACTGCAGTGGTGCAATCTCGGCTCACTGCAAGCTCCGCTTCCCGGGTTCACGCCATTCTCCTGCCTCAGCCTCCCGAGTAGCTGGGACTACAGGCGCCCGCCACCGCGCCCGGCTAATTTTTTGTATTTTTAGTAGAGACGGGGTTTCACCTTGTTAGCCAGGATGGTCTTGATCTCCTGACCTCGTGATCCACCCACCTTGGCCTCCCAAAGTGCTGGGATTACAGGCGTGAGCCACCGCACCCGGCCCAGACATCTTTTTATATATCATTAATCTTCTCAACAAGCCAGTGATGTAGAGATTATTACTCCACCCCATTCTACAAATGAGAACTCTGAGGCCCAGAGAGGTCCAGTGGCTTTCCCAATGCCACAGACCTGGCAAGCAGCAGAGCCAGGATTTGAACCCTTGTGTTTACTCCCTCACAGCACATGACAGTCGGCTGATCTCCATCTGTTTCCCAGCCAGAGAAGCAGCTCTCAGAGAACAGAGACCCACCCTGTGTTTCTCTGGTGACCACCCACCCTTACCCCCTGTACCTGGCCCACTCCTGGAGCCCAAGCATGGTGGCCTTGTATAGACAGGCCTGCATTCCAGGTCCCAGAGCAGGAGAGGCCCTCGTGGGAGGGCCAGGGCCAGAAGCCCAGAGTGCCAGCTTGGTTACCCAGCCCACCACTGCACTGTCCCTGTTAATTCAGCCAGTCTTCTGAAGGTTGCCAGCCCCCACGCCCTGTCCCTGGCCCCTCCTGGCTAGGACAGAGGGCCTTTCAGCCTGGGCTGCCACCATGACTGCCTTCTCAGGAGGGGCTGTTTTTCTAAACTTTTGATCCTGAGGCGGATGCAGACTGCAGGCCAGTGAGGTGTCGGGGGTTCTGTGTGGTGGGATGTCCCACCCTGGGGGTCCATTTCTGGTCACCTAGAGATGACTGCAGATGGAAGGGACCTCTGGTGTCAGTATATCGGGTAGTAGCATGTGCATGTGTGTGTGAAGGTGTGTGCTGTGCATGAGGGGTGTCATTTTAAAGTCCCCACCACAGACAGGGGGATCTTTGTCTGCACTGCTCTGCCTCACCGTCCCATCAGAAGGGCCCCTGTCTGATTATTTTTATAGGGTAATTCAGACTTCTCTGCCTCACTCTGTCCTTCAGTGACTGTTTCAAGATCAATTTACCTTATTCTGCTTAGAGTAGAATGGCAGCTGGGGAACTCAGAAGCCAGGGCCTAATTCCCAGCTTCGAGGCGCTCGGAGCCTCATTTCCCCACTCGGAGCCTCCAGAGAAGGAGGGAAGCAGCGATCACCAAAGTAAATCGTGTCACTAGAAAGCAGGGGCAAACCACAGGGTCTCCCTCTTCTCTTTCCCCACCGTCAGCCACAGGTTCATTTTTTTTTTTAAACCCAGAACCCGGATTGCTCATCTGCAAAGATTCTTTATTCTTAATGCTTTATCTGCTCATCTCTTTGACTCTGCCTCAGTCTCTTCATCTATAAAATGGGGATAATAATACCTAACTCAGAGTCGTTTTGGGGATGAAATGAAATATAAAGCTTCTAGGATAGTGCCTGGCACATAATGAGGGCTCATTAACTGTTAATAATTATTACTATTAAAAACAGGTACTGAGCCCTCCGCTGTACGGCGGCTGGCATTCTCAGGGAAGTTGTTCTGTGCCCCGGAAACAGGCAAGTTTGTCCAGAGGAGCCGGTCTGCTTTGTTTAAAGCGCCCTCTGCTGACCATCGGCAAGAAGGCCTTGGGCAAGGTGGCGAGTTCATGGTGGGGGAGCGAAGTGCTGAGTGCCAAGGGGAAGGGGGACTTCTGTCGGATGCAGAGCGCAGAGCGCTACTTATCCCACCCCTAAAACGTCCGGCTTGGAGTATTTCTCTTTTTTTTTTCCCCAGGTTCCAAAGATAGCTTCCCCAACAGGGCTCAGCAATGCTAAGACCAGGACAAGCTGCCAGCTGCAGTTAACAGCCTACTCCCTGGCTGTGAGTTAACAGTAGAAAGGAGAGAAGCTACATACCCAGCATGCAGCGCTTCCTGAGGCAAAGCGTGATGGGGGTTGGGGGTGGGGTGGACATGTTGGTTCATACTTCGAATAAGGTAATAATTGTGGGAGGGCTGCCCCATGTAGGATGTCAGATCAGGAAGAAAATAAATTACTGAGTCTATAAGCCCAATGCACCCAGAAGGTGGTGGTTCATAACAGCTCTTGTTTCTTATATTGCAAGACCCTCTCCTGTACCAGTGTCCAAAATAGATCATCACCCCACCTGCAAATGCACTGACCATTCACTATATCCCTGTGAGAGGAATAAAAAGAGGACTCTAGTTGAAGCAGGAGAAACTGAAGTTAGACCGCGGGAAGGACGGTCCTGAGAATAAAGCTAGGTGCAGTCTTGTCCCTCCAGAGTCTGGCATAGGAAGAATGCCCCCGGGGCTGGTCCACAGAACTGACTACTTCTTCAAGGGGGCAGAGTAAGGGGGCTGGGAGACTGGCAGCCAACACCTAAGGATTCTCTGGGGCATTCTGGTAGGTCCCAGCTGGGAGGGGAAGAAGGGGAAAGGGGAAGCGGCCGCAGCAAAATCATGGGTAATTGTTTTTATTGCATTGTAGAGAATGCCATTGTCCACAGATTACATGCAGCTAGGTTTACCGTACAAGGCCCTGGCAGCCTCCACGGAGGGCTGGGAGGGGCAGATTACAAAACACATCAGTGCTACTTTTTTAAACAGTATCTGGTGGGGAGACTCTGAGACCAAGCTGAGCTCCCCAGCCCCTCTCGAGGTACCATGGGGGACAGGGAATTCACCCCAGGCCCTACACAAGCGTCCAGAGGATTAGGGCTGTGGTGGAGCAGGCCTGCAGAGTGGATGAAGGTGAGACAGAGAAAGCGGGGCGAGTGAGCGACAGACAGAAATAGATGGACGAAAAGGACAAAAGACATGCCTGAGAGTAGAGAGAGGTCAGCAAAGACTCACCCTCCAGGTCCTTCTCCCAGCATTTGGCTGGAGAGTTCCAGCAGTTTGGTGATTTGTGGGAAGGGTGATTGACTCCAGTTCAGCTTTCTCAACACCCTCCCCTCCCCTGCTCCCCAAATACACTCTTCCCTGGGCCTTGTCCCTAGGGACAGGCCTGGGACTCCTTTCTGCCCTCAAGGAGGGAGTGTCCAGAAGGTGGCGTAAGACCAGTGAGAGCCGGGTGCAGTGGCTCACGCCTGTAATCCCAGCACTTTGGGAGGCTGAGGCTGGCGGATCACCTGAGGTCGGGAGTTCGAGATCAGCCTGACCAACATAGAGAAACCCCGTCTCTACTAAAAATACAAAAAAATTTAGCCCGGCGTGGTGGTGCACGCCTGTAATCCCAGCTACTTGGGAGGCTGAGGCAGGAGAATCACTTGAACCTGGGAGGCAAAGGTTGCAGTGAGCCGAGATAGCATCACTGCACTCCAGTCTGGGCAATAAGAGCGAAACTCCATCTTAAAAAAAATAAAAAATAAAGACCAATGAGACGGCTGAGGCCCTGGGGATGTGCACAGGGGTCTGAGGCGGCGGGAGGGGCTCTGTGTTGAGGAGGGGCAGCAGGTGGGGAACCAGGACTTAACACGGGATAAGAGGTGCAGGCTGGTGTGCTGGGGCTGGGGGAGGTGTCAGGGGCCATCTTTGGCTTAGCAGCTTGGCCCTTGGCCTCTTTCCTTGCAGCCTATCCAGGGTCCCCTTTGTATAGGTTGAATGATCCCGTTTCCGCCGTGAGCCCACTATGATGACCATGGTCACCACACAGTGTGCCACGTGGGTGTGCACGCACACTAATGGTCCTACTGCTTCAGGATGCCACCACCACACCTGGGCACTACACACACACACGCCTATCCAGGCAGCCCCCTTGAAGACGTGGACAATGGGCCTGGAAGGACACCTGGGAATGGGTGTGGATGTCTCCAGAGCTGGTGGCACAGGTAAAAGAACCCTGCGGCGGTGGTCCTCTCCATCCCTGCAGCAAATCAGCTGCCTTGCTCCAACACTCTGGCAAGAACTTGGATTTCAAACTAGTGAAAGAACTAGGGCAAAGGATTGGGACTCTGGAAGAAAACAGGAAAATGACAGAGAACCCTGTTTAAGCGTGGAAGGGACAGGAGGCACAGGGGAACCGGAGGTGGGTGGGCCCTGTCCACAGTGAGGGCACATGCCCAGCGCCCCTGCAGGGCTGCTCATTCCATCCACTCACAGAAACCACCACCACAGCGACCCTCACGTTGCTGCTGCTCTGCCCAGGCTCCCCGAGCAGAGCGATCTTTCAGCTTTAATGCTCCTCCCCTCCCGCACCTCGGTGACACACACAGGGCCCGGTGAATAGAGGACGTTTAATATTTCTGTGCTGGTCAAACGGAACACAGGTGGGGAATACATGGGGAGGGGGCGGAGGGCCCCCTGCCTCTCAGGAGGGGTGGCTTGTGAGGGGTGTATGTGGGGGGTTCTTGGGAAATATCCAAGGAGTCTTCTCAGTAAAGGGGCCAGGCCAGGGGTGTTATGAGCATCCGATACGCCCAGTCCTTGGCCTTGAGTTGGGGGTCCCCCATAGGGGGTCTGTGGAGAGTCTGACTTTTTTCCAGCTCTTTTGCTAGAATCCACACTCCCAGCACGACGGGTGACTTGGTCCTAGAGAGGGGTCTGGAGAGCCCCCAGGAAGCAGCCCAGGGTCAGGGAGAAGGGCTCCCGTGCCCACTCCTGAGGGGGTGAGAGCCCGCTTTCTCCCCTCCTTTCTCCTTCCCCCAGGCTGGGCAGGAGCGGAAGGGAGGGGGGCAGGGCCCTGCCTCCACTGAGCCCCAGGGTCCTCAGGGTGGATGGAGGAGGGGTGGAGAGAGAAGGTCTTGGCCACCAACAGACACTGTAAACTTTGGTTTAAAACAATAACTTAAGTGGAGGGAGGGCTTCCAGCCTGGGGCCGGGGTGGGAGACTGGGAGGGCAGGTGCTGGGGAGGCGACAAAGGAAAAAGCCAACAAAAAGTTTTGGTTTTTGCTTCCGGCATAAGAAAGGTCTTTGGTCATCCGTTTAACTGGTGGGGCGGCGGGGGGAGAGGCGGGCAAGGAAGGGGAGCTGAGGGTGACTGCAGAGGAAGGGGAGCTGAGGGAGGGTGAGAGGACTGCAGAGAGGCCTGCAGGCTGGATGTGGGTGTGGAGCCGGGGTCCAGCCTGGCCTTCCCCTGGGCTCCCGGCCCAGGCCCCGCCTCTGGCCTCAGGGAGAGCTTGGCTCCACCTGCAGAAGCGCACCTGGCACAGACCTCTGTGGGTGAGGCGGTACCAGGCCTCTTCCCATGGGGGCGGCTGGAGGAGCCCCCAGCAAACGGGGGTGGGGGTGGAGGCCTGGCTCAGCCTGGTTCTGTCTCAGGTTGGGGGCGGGTCTGGAGCCAGGTGGGCCTGCTCACACGGACCCCCACAGGGCACACAGACAGTCCCACCCCAGCAGCAGAGGGGGCTGTTTCTTCTGGGGATGGAGGCACAGTTCCTCCACCCAGGCCAGGGCAGGGTGGGAGCTGGGGTGGAGAGTTCTTTCTTCACAGTACGGAAAAGAAGGCGGAAGGGAGCACGAGTTAGGAAAGTGGGGGCCTCTGGCCAGAAAACACGGCCAGAGCCAGGTGCCAGGGGGCCCTGGGTTTGAGGGGTGGCTAAGCCCCGCCTGCGGGTCTCCATGATGCTGAGGGGCCCTGTGGGGAGAGCTGGTGGGGGAGGAGGGCCCTGCTGCTGCTGGTGGTTGGGGGGAGGCAGTTTCAGATGTGGGGAGGGTCTGAGGAGGGGTCTGAACCCTCCGTGTCCTCTACTGGTCCAAGACCAGGGGTTGTGTCCCTGGGGGTGGGGACCGTCCCTGCCCCTACGTGTTTTTGTCAGGTCACACTGGGAGCTGCTGGCCCGGGCCTCCCCGGTCTGAGTCCTGGACTTGCCTTGAGGCTCGGGAGGGGCTGTGGAGTTGGGGGAGATGGGGCCTGGATTCTGGAAGGGAGGGGTCTCACCCCAGCCCTGCCGGTCACTACAGGCCCTTAGGACAGTTCTTCTCCCGGCAGCTCCTCCTCCAGGTCCCTGTCTTCCGGAGGCCCCGAGGCGCTGGGGTTAGGGGCGCCCAGGGGAGGCCCGGGCTGCCTGTCTTCCTCTGCCTCTGCTGGCTCCTCCTTCACCTGCACCTGGTGGCTGAGGCAAAAGTATGGCATGGGCACCAGGCGGCTGTCCTCTGATGCCCTCTGCCCCCTGCCCCCCAAACTCACCCAGAACTCTGGGGCACAGTGGGGTGCCCACAGCCCCCTCCCCAGGATCCCATCAGACCTGAGGGCTGATCTCCCCTAGGGCTCTCTTCAAAGAAAAGCTGGTCCTGGGGCAGAGACTGCTCTGGGTTGGGGAGGAGAGAAGAGGGGAGCAGAGGGGAGATGAGCGAACGGAGGAAGGAGAAGAAAGATAGAAGAGAGGCCAGGCGAGGTGGCTCACACATGTAATCCCAGCATTTTGGGAGGGCGAGGCCAGTGGATCACCTGAAATCAGGAGGTCGAGACCAGCCTGGCCAGCACGGTGAAACCCCATTCTCTACTAAATACAAAATAATTAGCTGGGCATGGTGGCAGGCACCTATAATTCCAGCTACTTGGGAGGCTGAGGCAGGAGAATCACTTGAACCCAGGAGGCAGAGGTTGCAGTGAGCCAAGATCTTGCCATTACACTCCAGCCTGGGTGACAGAGCGAGACTCCGTCTTAAAAAAAAAAAAAAAAAAGAGAAGAGAGGAGGAGGAAAAATAAGAAAGGGGGAAAATGGGGAGGAGAAGGTGGGAAGGTGGGGAGGTGGGGAGAGGGGATAAGAACAGGCAGGTGGGACAAGGGAGGGCTGAGAGGGCTGAGGGAAGGAAGAGAGAAGCCACTTGTCCTGGGGAGAGGCGTGGTGGGGGTGGGATGGGGAACCCCACCCAGGGTGGGGGATGACGCCTCCTCCCTGGTGGTTGAGGGGTGCTGGGGTGGGTGGGGGTCCGTGCTGTGTGCTCACCTGTACTGGGGCGGGGAGAGGCGAGGAGGGCTGCTGCTGCCGTTGCTGGGCAGCGGCTCCACGGGGGCACCCACGTCATCGTGGCTGAGGGGCAGCAGGCTGCTGGCGGAGCCAGGGTTCAGCATGCCAGGGCTGTTGAGGAGGGGGAAGCTGCTCTCGGCCAGGGCGGCCTGCAGGGGCACAGGGTTGGGCCTCGTCAGTGGCTCCACAGGATGGGGCACACTCAGTCAAGTGCTGTGCCTTCCCCGCCCACTAGAGAGCTGCCTGTGTGTCTGCCTACTGGCCCCACGGGCGGATCTGTCTGGGCAACCCCCAAGCCCCAACTCAGCCTTTGAATGTAGCACCCCTCCCCCATGGCTGGAACTCTGACCCCCCGACCTCCTACCTCCTAGCTTTCCTGGAACCTGGGCCTGGCTTATCCCCTCTCCCAGGGAACAGAGAACCCCCAGACTGACAAACCAGGAAAGGGGATGCTATAGGTATGCCATCCTCCCAGCTGCCTGCCTTGTCTGAACCCAGCCTTGAAAGCAGAGGTGGAGGCTGGCCCCGAGTTGGGGTGGGGCAGAGAGGTGGGGTCTCGGAGAGTTTGGGTCTTCACCCTCCTTCCCTCCTCTGGTGAGTCCTCTGCAGGGGAGGATGGGGGTCTCTTGTATGAGAAAGCAAGGGGGCGGGAGGTAGAGGTGAGTGGGTGGGCTCTGGGCAGGTCACCTGGTAGCTGGCATTAAGTGCTCCATAGCTGAGGCCAGAGATCATGTTCTTCACCAGGGTGGGGCTCCTGGAGGACAGAGAAGGCCATCTTTGGCTCACTCATTCACTTAGCTCTTCATTCGCATCTCTTTACTCTCACTAAGTAACGGCCTGTGCTGGGAATGGGTCCCATTCCCTATTCCGGGAGGCCAGGGCGGATCAGCCGCTGTCTTGGAGCTGTGTGTGTACTTGGTCTGATTCGGTCTTCACGCTCAACTGGCCCTGCAGGAGCAGCCCCTTCACAGGTGGGTGCGATGGGCTTGGTTCAGGGACCTGTCCAGGTCTCGGAGCTGGGAAGTGGGAACTGGCATCCCCCCAGTGTCTGCCTTCACAGCATGCTGCCCCCCCACCCGTTTTCTCTCCGGTCTAGATTTTCCAATGTTTGGCAAGGTCTAATCTATAGTCTCAGTAGTTACACACCTGGTCTGCCCACACTGTCTTGCCATCCTAGATTTTGGGACATGTCAGACATATGCTCAGCCTGTCCCACATGGAGGCTTCTGTATGGAAGCCTCCATACAGAAGGCTTCTCTGCACGGGAAGGTGTTCGGGAGTTGGGACAGGAAAAGCAGTGGCTGGGGGCTGTCCCTCTTCCAGTGATGACACCATCACAGAGCTCTCACAGAGCTTAAGGAAACAGCCAAAGGTCACCAAACTGGTGAGAAGCAGAGGTGCAAGCGCAGCCAGGCCTGGAGACTGGCCCCTAGGCATTCACCAGGGGATGGCTTCCCTCCATTCTCCAGGCTGCACACTGCCTGGGGTGCAAAGGCTCCTGCCTGGTAAGCAGGCATCTTTGAGGGGAGCAGACACCCCACACCTCAGAGACATCCATCTAACTTGCTCTCCTCTCCTTACCCAGGGGCTCTGGCCCAAGGGGCACAGCAAGCAGGTGGCTGGGGTGGGGCTGTTTGAGGTCGGGAGAAGGCCACTGCTGCTACGTGGAAGCCAAAGGGAGGTCCTGACCCTGTCCCAGGCTCCTCAGTTTCTGTTTAAACTGCCAGGTGGAGGCTAGGTGCGGTAGCTCACGCCTGTAATCCCAGCATTTTGGGAGGCCGATGCGGGCAGATCACCTGAGGTCAGGAGTTCGAGATCAGCCTGGTCAACAGGGTGAAACCCCGTCTCTACCAAAAGTAAAATAATTAGCTGGGTGTGGTGGTGGGCGCCTGTAATTTCAGCTTCTCGGGAGGCTAAGGCAGGAGAATCGCTTGAACCCACAAGGTGGAGGTTGCAGTGAGCCAAAATCGTGCCACTGCACTCCAGCCTGGGCAACAGAGCAAGACTCTGTCTCAAAAAAATAATAGGCCAGGTGCGCTGGTGCACGCCTATAATCCTAGCACTTTGGGAGGCCAAGGCAGGTGGATCACCTGAAGTTGGGAATTCGAGACCAGCCTGACCAACGTGGTGAAACCACATTTCTACTAAATACAAAAAAAATTAGCCGGGCGTGGTCGTGGGCACCTGTAATTCTAGCTACCCGAAAGGCTGGGGCAGGAGAATTGCTTGAACCCGGGAAGTGGAGGTTCCAGTGAGCTGAGATCGTGCCATTGCACTCTAGCCTGGGCAACAAGAACAAAACTCCTTCTCAAAAAAAATAAATGAATAAAATAATAAAATTAAAAAAATAATAAATAAATAAGTAAATAAATAAAATGCCAGGTGGTGAAGTGAAGCTGAGCACAAAAGACCAGGAGGGCAGAGACCTGGTCCTGGAACCAGCTCTGCCACAAATCTGCTCTGGGGCCTCCTGCCAGCCCCTGGCCCTCACTGGCTCTCCTCTGCCGTAAGATGAATTGGTGGGGTCGCGGGACCTCAGAGGTCTAGTCATCCTGATGAGCTGAGAGAGCGGGTGCCCTGGGGGTGGCAGCCCCTCACCCATGGCCCGTTGGCTGGCATCTGCCTGTGTGCCAGCTCTGGCCAGGGCTACTTGGGGCCCCTGTCTCTCTTTGCTACCAGGCCTCCTTCTTGGCCCCTTCCCTCAGTCAGAGTGAGGACAGAAGAGGACATAAATGTCTGCCTTCTGATTATCCATCACTTCCGGATTCCAGCCCCCTGTCCCCAAGCACTAGTCTCCTCTGCTCCTTTCTCCCCACACCCCTTCCCCCAGCCAGGAAGGATCTGGTGCACATGTGTACCCTGGAGAGGTAGGGGGTGGGGGTGAGTTGGCTCCTGCCCCCTGGGCAGGTACAGCCCATCCAGCTCTGGACCCACATACCCTGTCATCTTTGGCGGTCTCCGCTTCTGATACTCCCGCTCGTCCACAGTCCACACGGCACCCTTGACGTTCTCCACGCGGACGAAGCACTTGTGCAGGCTGAGGTTGTGGCGCACGGCGTTCTGTGGGTGCAGTGAAGAGGAGCTCAGAGGCGGCTTGCTTGGCCAAGCACAAACATGATAGTCCTCATCCCATCCCATGTCCCACGCAGCAGCGGCCCACCTTCCCCAGCTCAGGGATGAGCAGGGGAGGGGGGTGGGCTGGGAGGAGACCCAGCCAAAGGGAAGGCGGGCCCCTACCCTTTCCATAGAGCCAGGGGTTCCCAGCCTCTTCACCATGGATGACCCATTTTATTAGCTGCCTCCTCTCTCCCTGCCACATCTTGGAAAGTTCTGTCTACTAACTAAATGCTATCCAGTTAGTAATAATCTGTTTCATCATCTTCGTTAATCAAAGACACATGTAATTGTTACTCAGGGCTTTGGATCAGCAGCAGATCACATTCGGGCCCCGGCATCTCTGCGAGCCCAGGATGCTTCATCTCAGCTGCATGCAGAATTTCCACAAAGCTTTTAAAAGTTTGGGAAAGAGCTCATAAACCCTCACTGCCACCTCCACTGACCCACAGGAGTCTGGGAGCCATGCTTTGGCTGTGGCTCAGAACAGGCAGCTTATATTTTGAGAGCACAAGGTATACAGTAAAGGCCTCATACATACTTGTTGAAATAAACAGGGAGAGAGGAGAGTGTGGGTTGACAACCCAGAGGCAGAAAGAGGAGAGAAAGAAGATAAGTCACCTTGTCTGTCCCACCTCCTCCTGGCAGGATAACTTCAAGAATTGAGGTCATCTGGTTTGTAGGACGCTTGGGCGAGGGCGGGGTGCTTGGCCCAATTCCCCCCTCACCACCATGGGAGCCCGGACTAGGGCCCTAGTCTGCCCCACCTCATCGTGTCCCTCAGTCCTGTCCCTGCACCCTCCTCTCTCAGCTGTGCTGCCCCCACGGCCAGCTCCCAGTTATCACCATCCCTGCCTGCATCCCTGGACCCTGTTACCTGTCCTCCCTTAGCCTCCCCCGCCTCGTCCCCATCCTTGTCTCCTCTTTACATTTCTAAACGGGGAAGAAAGCGGGTAGGGCAGGCAGCCCGTGCCCCTGGAGATCCCTCTCCCTCTCTCCCTTCCAACTCTTGCCACTTGCAACTGGCCCGATTTCATTACCAATTTTAATTTGCCTCTAATTAAATCCTGTGTATTTTTCCGACTCGCTTGCTAATCCACGAGGGAGGCGGGCGGCTGGAGTGGAATCTCTTGGAGCGATAATTACAAAGGGCCTAATCACGCCGGGGCTCCTGCCTCGGAATAAATTTGCCCGCATTACGGGGCTCCGATCCTCCGCTTTGCAAATGAGAATGACCCCAATTTCCGAGGATGGCCTCACCGGGGCTTTTTTCCCTCATTTCGAAGCCTGATTCGTGATGAGAGACTAATTCGTTACGCTGAAACATTAACGGCAATTTAAGGGGTCTGGCAGGGGCTTCGTAAACAAAAGGACGGGCCCACAACACGGGCCTTGGGAGGGGATGGACACGGGGAGGGCCAGCAAGGACCATCAGCTTGGCAGATGGCAGCTCTGTCCCTGGATGAACGGCAGCTGGCTGGGCCCACACCATGCCCGCTCCCAACCCTTCTGCCCTGGTCTGAGGTGGAAAGTATCTCAGGGTGGGAGCCAGCAAAGGTGAAGAAGGGAAAGAAGAAAGCACAAATAATTCGGGAGAGGAGCAGAGATGACCTGAGGGGCTGAGAAATGAGTGGAAAGTAGAGGTGGAAGGGAAGCAGAGTTGGGTGTAGATGGTGTATTTCCCAAGTAACATGAATGCATTTGGCTGAAAAAAACCAGAAGGTCAAAGTGGACCTCAAGCTGGATGGATTCTGCTGTGCCATGAGGAAGGCTCAGGCAGTGGCCTCAGGCACAGAGGCAGCAGCAGAACACTGCTAACTGGCAAAGTCACCCACTTAGTCGTTCACTTTCCCCAGCCCAGATGCTTCTTACTGGACCCTAGACTAGGTGAGGGGAGATGGGGGTGAAGAACTAGGAGGAACACACCACAGAGATGTGAAAGGCTGGGCTGGGCAAGGGCGGCAGGGTTAGAATATCAGGGGGGTGGCTTCAGGATGGTCACTGAGTAGTTTAAGGAAGTCACCTAAACCAGGTCACCTAACCTGACCTCAAGAGAAGAGAGAATTAGAAAATTGCAGCAGGGCATTACAGGTAAGACAGAAGGAAGGAAGGAAGGTAGGTGGCTTAGCAGTACTTTGCCCCCAAAAAGGAGGCTGTCTTATGGAAAGGAGGCTCTATATTACTACCCCTAAAGGCAAAAGATTAATATGCTTTATTAAACATTAGGTAATAATTATAATCATCCCTTATGTTTGTAGGACTCTATCATTTATAAAAACCTGGTATCTGAACTGACTTGGAGGTTGGAGACTGGACCAGGTGGTCCCAAGCAAGCCCTGCTGGCTCAGAAAGAGGGCAGGAATGTGGTTGGCAGAAAATGACATCACTCACAGCCAATTACAGCAGCTGTCCCAACAGCCTCCCAGCTTCTCTCCCAAGCTTTGGGAATTGGGTATGAGCATATGAAAGTCATGATGCAGTCCCTTCTGCTGCACTTAGCATAATCCCAGGGCAAAGGGTAGGCAGGCACTGTGCAGACCCCACCAAGTCCTGGGCGCTGGTGGGGAGGAGGGGTTCAGTAACACTTGTTGAAACCTAGTGGGATTGGGGGAGGTAGCCCGTTTAACTGCAGTTTCTTCAGTGGCCAGCAGGGGGACTCAAGAGCCAGGGATCCAATTAAGGTTCTGAGAGGGAGTCCTTCCCCGCGTCTAACCTTCCCTGCAGGGGCGAACACTCTCTCCTTCTTCCCCCCGCCCCGCCCACTCTCCCAATTTAGATATCACCTTCCCACCTTGAGACAGACAGACAGACACACACACACACCCCCCTTTTGGCTATAGAAAAATAAATGGCCTAGTACCCCAGCATCTGTCTCCCATTTTTCTAGAGTCCCCCTCTTGCCTGCTTCTGCTCTCCCAGGAAAACTTATGGCTGAAGGTGTTGAAATGACTAATTGGATGGAGACAATTATCTTCCTGCCAGGGATGGCAGAGCTGGGGAGGGCTGTGAGTGCCGTCAGTGCCCCAATGTGTGGTCCACGGCTCTTGGTCCATCCGTGTGTCTATACCTGCGCTTTCCTAGCCCCACCTCAGGCTTCAGAACATGTACCTTAAGCCAAGGTATCCAGACCCTTAGGGTCTCTGTGAAATTCGGCCCAGGCTTCTGTATCAAGCTTGGGCATTAGCAATTCCTAGAGGCCCTACCTCGTGGGGCTGGCGTCTTTGGGGCCCTTGGGGGTGTACCCTAGAGAAGGATTGCTTCCCAGAAAGGAGGCAGCACCAGGCTGGAAGGAAGGGATCATTAAAAGGTTATGGAACAATCCACAGCCCCTGCTGAGGTGGGCGTGGGCATGCAGCCCTGGCTGGGCCCTTGGGTGGCTGTTTCTGCAGGACTAATGGTTTAGGGAACTAATTGTTAGGCAGCCTTGGTCTCCATGGGATATGGCAGGTCCAAGGGTGACTGGGGCCCAGAAGGTGGAAGGGGCCTGCTTCACCTTCCAGGTGGCAGTGTTTCTGCGGAAATAGGCGAACATCCTGGTGAACCAGTTATAGATCTCATTCAGGGTCAGCTGCCTGTCAGGGGTTTCCAGGATGGCCTGCGGGGAAGGAACAAGCAAAGGGACCGTCAGCCTGGGCCTCGAAGGGTCACAGCCCTGGGTTCCCTCCCCCAGTACCTCTCCCTTCTGCCTAGCCCCGAGTTCACTTTGTGAGAAGACCTGCTCAGAAATGTGTGGATAACAAGATGGGTGGTGGCTGGTGGGTCCCCTCAGAGGGACAGGCTGGTTATAGCTTGGCCAAGGATAAAGAGGGCAGGAGCCTCCAAGGGCTATGTATTTGTACAAGAAGGATTGGAGCTGCTTCTGGAGAGAAAATGCCTTTAGTACCTGGCCCTGCACCGAGGGTGAAAGCAGTCAGTCCTGTCTTTCTTGGGAGAGATGTCCACGGGGTGGAGGCTGTTTGGAATTTATCCTGATTTTGGCAAAAGGTACCCTAAGCACAGTGTGTGTGTGACAGAAAGAATGTGTGTGAAGGTGTACATGCCTGTGTGGGTATCAGGGAGGACATATGTGTCGATGTAAGTTCATGCTTGAGTGTGAATACTATGTGAACATTGGTGACATGAAGATCATGGGCTTGAGGGAGGAAAGACAAAGGAGAGAGACGAAGAGTGACCCTGAGTCTATCATGGCGGGCTGTGTACGTGGAAATGAGCACATGAATGCCACGGTGGGTGTCAGTAAGAAGAACAGTGTGTGCACCCCCAGAGACACATAACCCTATGCAGCAGGCTGACAGGGCCCAGCCTGCAGGAGAGCCCCGCACAGCAGAGAGGGAAGACCGCCACGTGAGAGGGAGCGGGACAGCTCCATTGCTTGGCCCCAGGACCTTCCTGGAGGCAGGGGTGTGGCGGGGGCTGGGGGAGCAGCCTGTGTGCCATTCCCCACCCTCCTCCTACCTGCCCTGCTCACCTGGCGGATGAGGGAGGCGTAGGTGAAGGGGGGCCGGACGTCGGCGTTCTTGTAGAACTCATGATTCTGGGCCAGCTCTGGGGAGACAGGCAGAGGATGAGGTAGCCAGATATGGGGCTCAGATGGGAAAAACAGCCTCACGCTGCTGTCGCCCTGCAGCCCCCAGCCCACCCTCACCTGAGGAGATGGGGGAGCAGAACTTGTCACTGCTTCTCCGACGGGCTGGGCCCCCACCATGCAGGGAGGCAGAGCCCAGGCCAGGGGGCCGTAGAGGGGTGACAGGGGCTGCGGCCGAGGTCGGGGGGTGCACGAGACCATCTGGGAATGAGTCTGCTGCAGAGACGGTCACCTTGGAGAATGAGGAGGAGCCGGGGACCGGGTTCAGCTGTGAGCAACGGGGAGGGTACTGAGACCAGTGCCCGAGGGTGGGGGTCCCGAGGCTCCAGGGTCTGTGGAAGGCTCTGGGAGGGGCGGGGAGGGGAGCAGCACTCACTGGCTGGCTGAAGGGCTTGGGCTCCGAGGGCCGCATGTGCAGGTGGGCCATCATGGCCTGCAGCCGCTCGCTCTCCTTGGCGAGCTGTGGAGGGTGGCAAAGCAGGAGGTGAGCGGGAGGCTGAACCCTGGAGGCAGTGTTGTCCCACCCCTCCACCGCCAGGCTCTTCAGAAGGCCGCCGATTCCCACCCCCATTCGCCTCCTTGCCTCAGCATCCATGCTCCCTCTGTGACCCGCTCCAGGGAGGCCTCAGCAATGCTCTACCCCTCAAGGGCTGCCAGCTCCATGAAGCCTCTCCCTTTCTCCCCTGGATGGTGACCATTTGAGCCCTCCCAGTGCGTCCTGGCTGGAGCTTATCCCTGCCTCTACATGTTGGGAGGCTTCTTCCTACCCACCCACGGGGGGGCGGCCACTGTGCCTTGTGCAGTGGCACTTGTGTGTGAGGGCCTTGCATACTGAATGCAGATGCAGGAACTGATGAATGGCTCAGACACCCCATTCATAAACTCAATGGGTCTCTCATGACCACCCTCTCACAGCAGGATGCTCTGCTAGGTGCTGGAGGGAGATGGGTAAGCACAGAGGAGCTGCCCTGAGTTGCTTCCTGGGAACCCTGTGCTGCTGAGTGTCCCCTCTCAAGTAGCTGGGATACTCCCTTGGGAAAGCCAGGCTGCCTGGGTTCTAATCCCAGCTCTGCCACTCACAGGCAAGTTACTTTAGCTCTGTGTGCCTGTTTTCTCCATCTGGAAAATGGGGAGAATAATGGTACCCACCACATAAGGTTGTTGAGAGGATTCCTTGAGCTATATAAAGTATTTAGCACAGCACAAAGTAAGTGCTCCATATGTTAGCTGCTAATAATTATTTTTGATGTTTCTATGTAGCGTGAGTCTCTTCTGGACCTCCCAGCAGAGACGCCCCCAACCTTGGTTTACCCCTCAGAATCCAGCTGTCCTCACCTCACAACCATGGTCATTAGGACCTAGAAAGCATAAGATGGTGGCTTTGACCATAGGACCCTTCCATGAGACCCTCCCAACAGAGCCCACCTAGCAAGTCAGTGCTGTGGGTGGGCAGGGGCTGGAGCCCACCATGTCCCTCCCCAGCATCTTCCGGGCCACACCTGGATCTCCAGCTGCTGCACCACCTGCATCTGTACCCGGCACTGGGCTGTACTCCGGTCATCCAGGGCGTGCTCTGTGTTGAGGTGTCTTCAAGGGGAAGAGAGGAGGAGAGAAAGTTGGCTCCGGTTTCCCTGCTGCCACCATCCTCCCATCCTATCCTCTAATCCCACCCATGGCCTGAAAAGCAGACAGACCAAGAGATACAAAGAAGAGAAAGAGGTGGAAAAACGGGGCAATGGAGGAAGGCTTCTCCCTTCTCGTCAGCCTCCTTTGATGTCTTTGCTAAAATCCCAGCTACAGAGAGATCTAATTGCAAATGAACTAATTAAGTAAACCTCTGACGAAGCGTGAAAACAATTTGTTTGACCCTGATGCTGCAAGGGTCTGGGAGACAGCGGAGTTAATCAGTCAGTGACAGAGCCTGGCACGGCTGTGGCAGCTGGCCGCCTGCTGCCAGCCGCCCGTCCACCTCCCGCCCTGCCTGTCTGCGGCCCTCAGCCTGTCACTCGCCATCACTCCCCGGGGCTGAGGCTGGAGGGGAGCAGGGGAGGGTGGGGGGAGGAGTAATGCTTATGTTTGTCCTCTCCTTCTCCTACCCGCACCCTGCGCTGGGGATGGAGTCAGGGGAATGCAGGCCCAGAAATATAGACAGGGTAGGGAGTGGGTGATCAGGGAGTCCGTGGGGGGCAGAGAAAGAACTAGAACCCTCTGGAGTGAGGACAGTAGTACAGCTAGTGAGGAGGGCTCCCAGAAGGGGCAAGCTAGTGGGCAGGGTTGGGGGAGAGGCCCTGTGGGGAAAGGCTGCTGGGGGAGGGGCTGGGGGTGACACCTACTTGATAAACTGGCCCAGGTCTTCACACAGGGTCTCACAGCCTGGCCACTTGCACTCTCCGTGTCCGTACAGGGGGTGGGAGCCGGGGGTCTCCTCGTGGGAAGAGCTGGGAGGACAGCAGGGAGGTGGCCGATCAGGGACCCTGAAGACCCCAGCGGCCCTGTAGTCAGCTGAGCACCAGCTCCCCTGCTGGTGACATTTCTGCCCCAATACAGGTTTCCCAGCGGCCAAGCACCATCTGTACACCCCGGGAGAGGGAGTGGAGAGGGAGTGAACCTCCGGTCCGTGGGCTCCACCCCCTCCCTCACAGTCAGCCCTCATGGGTGGGGGGCCAGGTCTACCCCCAGGCAGGCCTTTGATGCCCCTCCCAGCCTGGACCCCTGTACCTGTCTCTCCGAGATGTGAGCACAGTAGGCTGTCCGTTGGGCAGGGTATGGTGGGAGAGGGGGGGTGAGACCTTGGGGGGAGCGGCAAACGAGGTAGCGGTGGCGGCCGTGCCAGTGAGGTCCAGCCCCTCCTGCTTGACGCTGTCCTCGGCAGGCTGCCCGGGGGCACCCTCGCCCTTCCACAGCTGGGGCAGGTCTGTTGGGCAAACAGCTGCTGTGGGAGAGACAGGGGAGGCTGGCAGGGCCCCACGAACACTCGGCTTTCTACCTGGCCCCAAGAACAGGGGCTGCCAGCTGTTGCGTACAGGCAGGGCTGTGGGGTTGGGGCTGGGAGGGGAGGAGTGGCGGGTGCTCACCTTGCGGAAGGGTCTGGAGGGGCCCCGAGGCTTGGTTGGGCTGCAGGCTGACCAGCCCCTGCCTCTGCAGGTTGAGCAGGTGCTGCTGCTGCAACTGTTGCATTTGCAGGAGCTGCTGCTGGAAGGCCAGCTGCTTGTTCCCCAGTGCCTGGTGAGGGGCCCGAGGGGGCGGGCAGAGAGGGGTGCCATCAGCTTCAGGCATGCCATCTGGCCCCCACCCCGCGGCCACCCCCTCCCAGGGCCTGTCAGCCCCTGGAGCTGTCGTTGTGGCGTCTGCAGCTGCAGTGTCTCTGCTCCCGGCCCAGCTTCCATAAGGCTGCATGCCTCCTCGCAGTAAACACACGCATGCACGCACGCACGCACGCGCGCAAACACACACAGCCAGACCCAGACACGCAGCACGACGCCCTCCCTCCTCCCGCCTCCCTCCTTCCGCTGCTTCAGCTCCCTGCACCGCAGCTGTGCACGCCTGGGGGTGCCTCATCACAATGATCGATGAGCCTGTCAGATTCTGGGGGCCACTCCTGCCTGGAGGGCACCCTTCCCACATGCCCGGGGTGCCCCCTTCTGCTCTGGGGAGGGAGTTTTCTCTCCCCCAGCTCTTTTCCTCTCTTGCTTTTTAGATACAGAGAATCAAGGAGTCTGACGGGACTCACTGGGACCCAGGCTCGGAGAACAGTCACATCACCACTGCCCAGGCGCCCTGTACTCGTTGGCTCACCCACTCTACCTACCCCCACCCATTCAGTTCTTCACACAGGCACTGACAAGTCAGGCTGTCAGCAAGTCTCTCTTGAGCCCCATGAGCCAAGCATGTCCTGGGTGGGTTGAGAGGCAGAGATGTCTCTGCCTGCCTGCTGGGGGTGGGAAGCATGGGGTAGGGTGGGGGCTGGCTATTCAATAGAGAGACACAGGATAAACTTAGCCTAGAGATTTACCTGCTGATAACACAGCAATTACAAGACTGCTGAGGGGGAGACTGGGGGTGCTGGAGAATTCCTGGGTGTCAGGGCAGCCTTCTGGGAAGAGGAAACTTAGAGCTTGGGGCTGCGGTTGGGCAGCAGGAGAGATGCACAGGTCTGGGACCCAGGGGAGAAGGGCCTCCAGGGCCTGGTATAGAAGCTCCGATGGGGTAGGGGATGTAGGCTGGGGAGCTCTGAGAGGAGACCGAGGGGTGGCTGGGCAAGTCATAAGAAGAAGGGGAAGAAGCTGGGGGCAGGCTGAGGTAAGGGGAGGTGGTTTGCTGAGGGACTCAGAGATTCGCAGGACAAGGAGGGGAGGGCTGAGGTGCTGGGTCACAAAGAGACAAGGGGGCAGGAAGATGGTGCGACCACAAGGCACATGAGCGTGGCCCGGCAGACACCACACACGGGGGTGACACGTACACACCTGTCTACACCCATGTGCACAGAGACAACAACACGAGGCAAGGAGAGAAAGAATGAATGGGGATGAGGGGAGATGGAGACACGTAAGAACCACCATCCCCATTTCCCCCACACTGATCCTTGGTCCCCTTCCTCAGCCTTTTCTAGATTTTTCTACTATTCCTGCAAGGCAATTCCCTCCTGACCAGCTCTGGACACCCAGCTCTGGGCAGGGGGTGAGGGCGGTGGTGGGCCCTGGTACAGCCCCTTACCTCTTTGGGCTGCGGTTTCCCAGCCTGCTGCTGGGTGAGGAGCTGCAGGTGGAGCTGCTCCTGCTGCTTCTTGTAGTACTCCTGTAGCTGGGGGGGTGGAGGAGGGTTACCACTGGCAGGGTACTGCTATCCCCACAACCCCAGCCCTGTCCCATCTGGGCTCCTGGGGGCAGGAGAAGGGAGTTTCCCTAAAACATGGTCTGGCTTTCCCCAGTCAGCCTGGAGGGGCCCTGAGCAGGGTCTGGGTGCGGAGGGAGGGAGCAAGGGATGGAGGAGTTTCATTCCCACAGCTCTGAACCCTCCCTGCTTTTGGTGGATCTCCTGAGCAGGTCACAGGGGACAACGTGCCAGAATGTTCCAGTACTTTGCCCTTCCCTGTTCAGGAGATAGAAGTGGGGCCAGCATGCAGGGAGGGAGGACCGGGGAGTATTGTGGGGGCAGGGCCACCATAAGAGATGCCTGACCTTTGACCTCTCCCCACTACCCTAGAGGAATGCAGATCAGTCTGGCCTGAGCAGTCTCTCTGGTTTCTGGGACAGCTTGGGCCCTTGGTGAGGTGTAAACAGGGTGGGAGGAGCCAGGCCAGGCAGAGGAGGAGGGACCAGCTGCCCTGGGGCCAGACTCACCTGCTGGAGCATGAGGGCTTGCTGCTGCTGGAGCAAGGCCTGCAGCTGCGGGGGCGACAGGATCTGCTGCATCTGTTGCGGGGTAAGCATCTGCGGCGACATCATGGCCACCGACACAGGCACCTGCAGGATTCGGCCCGTTAGCCCTGTCCCCTGGACCCCAACCCAGGAGGAGGCACCACCCAGGGCCCCACTCTCAGCGTGGCAGAGTGGCTCCCAGGGAGGCTGCCTGGGTTCCAATTCTGGCTCTGCTGCCTGCTGGCTGTCTCTCTCTTTGGACAGTGACTTACCTTCCTGTTGTCTGTTTTCTTTATCTCTAAAACGAAAACAGTGATAGTACCTACCTATTAAGGTCACCATAAGGACTAATCAGTGAATACTTAAAACAAGGCCTGGCACACAGCAAGTGCACATAAGGGTTGGCTATTATCATAGGACGGGCTGTCCTTAGAGCAGGAAGATTAGGCTGTAGTGACACTGGTCAGTAGAACCCATGCTTTGGCTGGTTCCCCCCAGTAATGGGGAGGGACAGCATACCAGGCCACCCATAGTCTCACGCAGTCTATTTTGAGACCACTTCCTGCAAGGTAGGCCTGGCTGGGAGGGCAGTCTACAGCATGGGAAGGATTCAAAACGTGGCCCACCTTGCACGAGGACCTGCACTTTGTCTCCTCTCACACACCCCGGCACACCTGCCTGGACGGCACACACAGTGGCCAGAGGTGAAGCCCACAGAGCGCTCTTGGTGCCATCCTGGTCCTAATGTGTGTGCATGTGTGTAGCTATGTCTAGGGTGGGGTGGGAAGAATGGCAGGCAGGGAGTTAGCAGGGCAGGCTTCCGCTCCTAACTCTGCACTGAGCTGGCTGTGTGACTCTAGCAAGTCACTTGCCCTCTCTTATGTTTCGGTTTCCTCAAACATAAAACATAAGAGACTATGCTGTAAGAGATGATTCCTTCTAGGCTGGAACATTCAGGATTCTCAAAGTAGAACAGCTTTCTACCCCCTGCCCTGGGTCAGGCCTCTATAGAAGGCCCAAAGAATCCAGCTACAGGGAAAAGATTCAGAGAAAAGCAATGACATCATTCTCTTCCCAGCCCCACCTCCCCTGAACCCCCCAGGCTTGTGCAGTCATGGACAGGCAGGTCTCAGCTGCTATTTTGTCTTGTTCCTGTATTAGCAGGACAGGTGCTCTGATGGGGCTGTCTGCCGCCCCCTCCACTCTGTGACCCCATGCATACAGGACTCTTCTCTAATTTCCTCTCTCACTCCCAAGTTGTGGCAGAGTGCCTGGCACATGGTAGGTACACTAAGTGTTAGCCCCCCTGAGCTGAAATGCCTTCCCTGGCACCTCAGAGGCCCCTCTGCCAGCCCGGAAGCAGGAAGGGAAGGTTACAGGGCTAGCCCAGTCAGAGAGGAGTGCTGTGTAGGGACTTGTCCTAGGCTGTGACAGGCTAGGTCCTCAGGGGACCCTCTCCCAAGCCTCAGCCTCACCTGTGGGGTAGGGGAGGAGGAGTTGGATCTCTTTTCAATGCCTGGCAGAGGCAGGACTCAGCCTTGAACCACCCCTTAAGCCATGGATTAGGAAATCCCCAGGCAGAGAAGCAACCAGGGAGGTACAGTGAATCCAAGGACATTGGGGAATCCCATGGCTCCCAACACCTCTCGCTCACCCCATCACTGGCGGCTGTCCCTGCCCCTGGGCTTTACTCCCCTATCCCAGCCCATCTCTATCCACATGGGCCTGGGAGGGGTAACACCTAGCTCTTTAGTCATGGGCATACCATGTGAATGAAGGCTCCAAGAGACCTCTAAGCCAGTGGGGGATATGCCCTTAGGAGTGTTTTTTGTTCTTTGTTGTTGTTGTTGTTTTTTAACCTCATTTTTACCAATGAGGAGACCAGGAAAGTCTGGTGGCCTTAAGTGGCAGGGTTGGGATGTAAGCTGAGGTCTGCATACTCCATAGCTCCCAGGGTTTTCACATCCTATGCTGCCTGCCCCACCGCAGGGCAGGTCTTGGGAAGGGTTAGGGAGAGAATGTGGAGGTGGGACGTCCGGAGGCTGAGGGGGCTGATGAGGCTGAGATCCCAAAGGCTAACTTCCTACTCTACGGTTGTATCCTAGAAGGACTCTCTGAAAGCCAGGCTGCAGGGGTGGATGTGGTGGGCCTGGGGTTGGAGGCAGACAACGGCATAGACCCAACTCCAGAGCCAGCCCCTAAGTCTGTTGTTGGGTGTTCCAGAGGCAGCTGGGGAGGCTGCTCAAAGAAGGTGGGTTTTGCCATCCAAAGACATGGAACAAGTACCACTGTCCTTTCTTTCCTCCTCCCAAGGGGGTGCCCAACAAAGAGAGGCATCTTGGTGCAGGTGAGCTCAGAGCCCTAGATTTCTGGGTCAGGTGACCTTGGTTTTTGTCCCTGATATTTACTAGCCTTGAAATCACCAAGCCTCACTTTCCCGGTCGGCTAACTGGGATTTGGGGCACCTGCCCTCCCTGCATCATTAGCAGACGTTGCTGACTGCTTATTATGTGCCCAGCACGGCACTTGGCTAAGCCCTTTACACGTGTATCTCATGGAATCTTCACGGCAACCCTGTGAGGATGGTGCCATCATCATTAACATCTCACAGATGAGATGGGAAAACTGAGGCCCAGAGAGGTTAAATAACCTGCCCTGACCCTGACCCGGAAGGGACAGTGGGAGCAGGGGTGAAAGTGACTTGTACGCCATTAAATTCTATGTAAACGTGAAGAAAATCACTTTTTAAAACATTCTGGATTTTCCCTTTCCCCTCCTTCTCTGTCTCCTCCCCTGGTGTGCCTTAGGGTGCTGCCTGACAAAGGTCACTGAGGACCAAGGCACTAGGCCACTCATTCTCACTGCTGTGAGAGCTGAACTAGAGACGAACGTGGCCCGCAACAGGAAAGACTGAGACCAGACACTCAGAAGATCTTTCCAGGCACCAGGACTGTGAGTCACTGACAGGAGCATGTGAAAAAAGGATGTGGCCTTTCCTTCCTCGGGCCTTTCTTCCTTGGAAGCAGGGGAATGGAAGAGATGACCTTGGAAGGCCTCCTTGGCACTTGCTTTTCCTGCCACTTGGCTGAGCAGCTGCCTATGGAGGCTGCTACAGAGATCTGGATGGATTACATGGTGTGCACTCG
This sequence comes from Homo sapiens, assembly GCF_000001405.40. Taxonomy (NCBI): domain Eukaryota; kingdom Metazoa; phylum Chordata; class Mammalia; order Primates; family Hominidae; genus Homo; species Homo sapiens. The sequence continues at coordinate 41,581,727 of NC_000006.12, read as the reverse complement.
TCTCGAGGTGGCCCACTGGGGTCACAAAGGGTCTGGGAAGTGGCTGCCGCATGCTGATCTCCTGAGTTGGTTGACCTCATCCACCTCTCCTTGTGCCCCTTGGGGGTCTGAGAACTGAGCTGGAGCTCCTCTGGTGTCCCGCTGGCCCCTTGCCAGGCTCAGATGCCTCAGGATGGGCGCTCTGCAGCTAGCAGGCTCAGCAGGGCCCATGAGTCACCATCTGGAGAGTAGCTGGGCAGCTAAGTGCTAACTTAAGCCCTGGCAGTGTGAGCCCTGGGCCAAACGCCGGCAGCTGCCTCCAGCCCCTCCCTCAGGGACCCTGCACCCACCCATGAATACAGCGTGCTCGGCTGGACGGTCTGACTGGAAGGAACAGGGACAGTGCCTGACACACAGGAAGCTTATTTGAGGGCTGAGAGTGGGAACGAATGCAATTTGGTGCCAGGGTCAAGAACCCAAATTGTCTCTTGAGTATGGGGTCCCTGTGAGTGGGGGGCAATGTGGGGAGATCAGGCCAGAGTTTGGTTTGGCTTAAACTCTCCTGCAAATGACCAGAAGTCCTCAAACTAATCCTGGGCTGCAGCTGCAGCAAGGAAAGATAGCAGTGAGATATAAAGAAGAACTTCTGAAAATGCCAGATGGGGATGGACGAAGCCAAGGCCCCAGCCACCTTTGCCCCCATCATGTCCTCAACTCTCGGCCACCTGTGCTGCCTTCTATGATAGGTCTCTCCCTGGTGGGGTCCAGGCCTGGAAGGAGGGCCCCTCACTAGGCTGGAGCTGGAGACCTGACAATAGTTTTGGAAACTCTTCTGAAGCTGGCTCTGGAGGAGAGGGATGGTGAACGTGGCTGGGAGGTGCGTGGGCAGAAAATCCTGCTGGGGAGCAGAGCAGCGTTCTGTGGGGAGCCCTGGGAAAGGAGCTGCGCTTGATCTCCCTTCATTATCCACTGCACTCAGGCTCAAGATGCACTCTTCTGCTCGGGTGGGGAGCCCAGTCCTTGCTCTCCCCTATCCCCTCACCAATCTTGAGCTCATAGAAGAACATTTCAAGGCCCTGGGCCCTACTTCAGGACAAGGATCTGACCTCCTTGGAGATAATAAACTTAGGAATAGGGGCAGAAGGCAAGGAAGGTATTCAGGGTTGGAGAAGAAATAGAGGGATCAATATAGGTAGGGAATCCAGGCTCCTGGGGAAGCATGGCTCCATGGCCCCAAGAACCCCCATATCCCTGAGACCCTGAGAACCATCTGGCCTAGGCTTCTACACCAGGGAAATATTGGCATTATTACCAATATTGTGCCAAGCACAAGGGATCGTCACAATGCAGAGATTAAAAGTGTGAGTTCTACTGGCCGGGCACGATGGCTCACGCCTGTAATCCCAGCACTTTGGGAGGCAGAGGCGCGCAGATCACCTGAGGTTGGGGGTTTGAGACCAGCCTGACCAACATGGAGAAAACCTAAAAACACAACGCTACTAAAACCTACTAAAAATACAACCCTACTAAAAATACAAAATTAGCTGGGCTTGGTGGTGCATGCCTGTAATCCCAGCTACTTGGGAGACTGAGGCAGGAAAACTGCTTGAACCCGGGAGGCAGAGGTTGTGGTGAGCTGAAATCACGGCATTGCACTCCAGCCTGGGCAACAAGAGACTCCATCTCAAAAAAAAAAAAAAAAAAGTGTGAGTTCTGGAGCTATTGGGTTCAAATCCTCACTCTGTCTTTTATTTGTTGTATAACTTTGGACAACTTTCTTAACCTCTCTGGGCCTCAGTTTCCTCATCTGCAAGATGGGGCTAGAATAGCACCTCTCCCATAGGACTGTGAGGATAAATGAGATAGCTGTAAAGCGCTTAGTGTCTACACTTCATGGTAAGCACTCTGTATATGTCAGTTGTTAGTTTGGGATGTACTCAGTAAGTATTTGTTGAATGAATGAATGAATCAATCAATGAATTTTTGGAAGTAATGAGACAAGGAGAGAGAAGGCCTGAGAAAAACATCATTTTATCTGTCTTTCTGACTCTGAAACCTCTAGGCCTCTCTTATTTTGGAGGGAGGGAGTTTCCTAAGGAAGATTCCATAGTCTCCCTTCAGCTCTCAATTATTTCAGATCTGTGACCCTTAATCCCCAGCTGAGCAGTCCTTCTAGATGTCTTACCCCAGTCCCTCCCACTACCATCAAGCTCCTACCCTCCTACCCCTGGGTCAGCAGCCCCTTTCTGGTTTGGGGGAACGTTTGCTGTTGTCCAGCCTACTCCTTCCTGTTCTAAGCTGGGTCCAGGGCGGGCAGGATTCAGAGTGGAAGCCCAAGGACCACTTCAAACCCTGGGATTGTATGTGGGGATCATTAATTTAAAGAGGCCCAATCCTGACCAGCATGGGTATGAGAACCTTTTAGATCTCATTCTGATGAGATCTTTCTCTTCCTCTCTTTATTGACTTTCCAGATTGTGTCTTCCCCTCCTCCACCCCAGGCCACGCCCTGATCTTTGCCCAGCTCCTCCCCTTTGAGGGTTGTCTCCTTAGGGTCAAGAATTTTAAGAGGGTTACTGTTAAGGCTGCACATCTGTTGGGCACCTTGAACTTTTTCCAAACATAAACTTGTTTTACATAAAACTCAGACTTTGTCAGAGCACTGGAATCTCCACCCAGGACAAAGCCTGGTCCTGGGTCCTTCTCTGAGCACCCTGCACCCACCCCACCCTCCTCTTCACTTCCCTCAGCACCCAGCCCCAGACTCCAGAGCACCTCCAGCTCAGAACCAACCATACTCACCCTTCTTCCCTTAGATAAACTTCCTTTCAAAGCCTGGCTTAATCCCTTCCCCAATTCTGAGCCTCCCTCTGCTGGGGGAGGGGTGGGGGGAGCATGGATCCCGGGCTGCTGGGCAGAGGGGGAGGGGAGTGGCTGCCCGAGTAGTGACCCAACCCGGACTCAGACTGCAATTCTCCCAAGTTCTTTGTGACACAAAAGGTAAACAGAAGGCCTGGCTCCCCCACCCCCCGCCCACCCCCCACAGATCTCCCCTCCCCCAGCCAGCCAGATGGGCTGGCAAGCTGGAGGGAAGGGAGAAGGGGAAAAAAGGGCAGATTGTGCAAAGGAAAACAAAAGAGACAGAGAGACATCAAGAGACAGGAAGCATGGAGAGACTGCGAGAGAGCTGGTGGATGAGGGATAAGGGGGGAGGATAAGAGAAGGGGGGACTTGGTGACGTGACTGCAGCAACAGAGATGGCCTGGGAGGGGCTGAGCCCCAGACACAGGAACACAGAGGGACAGAGGGAGTGACCGACAGGGACGCAGAAACATGAGAAGTGACCAAGAGAGACCCTGAAGGGAAGAGGCAGGGGAGAACAAACAGTGAGAGAGGTACAAAGAGACAGGGAGAGCTGCAGACAAACTTTGAGTGACAGGGACAAAGAGGCTAAGCTAGCGGAAGGTCTGGCTGATCAGGTGGAGACGAGAGAAAGTGGGAAGCCTTTTTGCCCCACCCCTGCAGTGACTGTATTTCCTTTGAAAAGTTGCCCACTTTTTGGTGTTGGAACTGGCAAGAGCAGTTCTCCAACGGGTCCTTGCCCTCCCTCTGTGCCAGGCCCACACTCCAGCCCAACCCAGAGCCAGCGGGGTGCTCTCTTCCTCACCTGCACAGCAGAGGCAGACTGTTTGCTGTCATTGTTCCCTGGGGAGCTCAGGCCTGAGGCCTGCTGCAGCAGGAACTGCCGGGCCACTTGGAGAGCCTGCAAGACAGGGGCTGAGTCAGCAATGGCCTGGGAGGCTGGGTGGGATCCAGGGATTAGGGAGTGTTTGGGGCAGTAAGGAGAAGGAGATCAGGGTAAGGTGGAAGGTCTTGGGGGTGAGAGGGTCATGGGTCCATAAGGGCTTGGGGTAAGGGTAGTAGAAGTCACTGAGAAGAGCTGTTGGGGTTCAGGGATCAGAGCCTCTACAGACTCAGCCTGGGACCCAGTGAAGTTTTGTTAGGACTCAATGGGGACAGCAAATGGAAGGGCCCATGGTCAAAAAGGGACTCTTAGAGGAAAATAAAGGGGGTTGACTCAGGGCATTAGTAAATCAGTACTATTTGTTGAGCATCTACTATGGGTCAGGCACTGTACAGGCAAGAGCTTATTTAATCTTCCTCTGTAAGGCTGTAAGGTAGGGATTATTGCCCCATTTTGCAGATGAGGAAACGGAGTCTCCAGGAGGTTAAGTAACTTACCCAGGATCATACAGCTAGGCGGCATCAGAGCCAAGATTTGAGCCCAGGAAGCCTGGCTCCAAGGCCAACTGCCTTACTGGGTGGTCAGTCTGGGGGCTAAAAAGTAGCATTCACTGTGGAGCCAGAGCACACAGTTGGGAGGATGAGGGAAGAGCCCTGGGGTCAGTGGCACAAGGTCTGAGTACCGTGTGACTTTCTGAGTTCAAGGATTGTACATGCATGCTGCTGGAGGAATTAGATTAAGTTCTGAAAGGTATACTATCAGCAGAGATGCATGGACCATCGTGCTGTGGGCTTGGTGGCCACAGTGGCTTAGACTGAACTGAGCCAGAGGGGTCATACGAGTGGGAGGCATATGGAGATTGCTGGAGGAATCACTCCAGTGGGTCAGTGTGACAGTCAAGGAGTAGGAGGGGCCCGGAAGGTAAACTGATGGGCAGTGAGACGTCTGGTAGGAGTGAGGGGTCAGGAGGGCCCAGGAAATTATCTATGAGGCCAGTCAAGCCCTCTATGTCCTCACTATGCTTCAGTGGGAGGTTTGAAGGCAAGTTCTGAATCCACATTTCAGCAGCACAAAATTTATCTGCTTCCAGATTGCTCAAGACCCCCTTGGGAGCCAGTGCAGGTGTGTCTAAGCCCTTGACACAGGGCTCCAACCTTAGGCAGTCCTGGGTCTGAATCCCAGCTGTGCGGCCTGCCAGCTGCGACCTTGGGCAAGTTATTCCAGTTCTCTGCACTTCAGTCTCCTTATCTGCAAAACTGGGAAACTACCCATCTCCAAATTACTAGGGGGATTAAAGGACCAATGTTTGGCATCCAGTTGGCATTCGGGAAGTATTCACTCCCTTCGGCTCTCATTAATCTCTCCACAATTCTCCACTTCACCTCCTCCAGCCTCTCCCCAACATAGCCTCGTGCCCTGCGCACTTATTAGACGAAATGCGCCCGCCTGTGGCTCTCTCTCACATCTGTCCACACATACACTTGTTTTTTCTGTATGGGCCCCTATTCTCCTACCCCACCACAAGCACCTTCAAGGCAAAACCTTTTAAGGTGGGATATGGCTGCACCACCCATCATCGCTCAACAAGCAAAGAGAGTGACCACTGTGTACCAAGCATATACACACAACCACCTTCGCGTCCGTTCATCATCAGTGCAAACAGCCGAGCCTCCTGAGGCTTTAAATCTAGTTTACCCTAGGAGGGCAACTAAATATGCACTGGCCTATTGACGGGAAGGTGTCCTGCAGCAAACCTGGAGCTCAGATTGGTGTGCTCCTCACAGGCCACCCCCACCCCACCTCCTTCCCTGGATGTCACACCCAGAGAAGTGCCCTGGGCTTCCAGAGGGGGACAGGATGTTTCTCCTCTTCCAGATTCACTTCAGAAAGCAGAAATCTGACCTTTCTAAGTCAAAAGGCTCTGCGGAAAGAGGAGGAAGGGTGGGGGGGGGGGTTGCGGGTGAGGAAGGGCAGGGAGTCAGGTGGTCATTAGGAAGGAGCCCCTGCCTCTACTACCTTGCTTTTACAAACTCCTCCAGGTCTACTGACAAGTGCTCTTTGTCCTCCAAAGGTGGAGGTAGAGTAGGGTTGAGGGGGTACAGGGGTCAGAGGCCAGGGCACAAGGGTAGGGGAAGAAGATGGCTCAGAGAGGCTGGCCAGCCCAGGCGACCCAAAAGGGACACTGGTTGGGGTGGGGAGATGACACACTCCAGATCCCCGGGGGACAGGAGGGAACAGCAGGGAGGGGCTCCTGGGGGCAGTTGGGGGCAGAGCCCTGCTCAGTCTCCTGGGGTGGGGTGGGGGGTGGCCAGGGGAGTTGACTCCCCACTGACTCTCTTACTTTGTGGTCCCCTGGAGCATGAAATTACATGATTTACAGGAAAAAAATGGCAAGGCCTTGCAGTCTCATTCCTGAGACCTCCCCCTCCCTGTGACAGGCCCTTCCTCCCCCTACACCCCCTACCCACAACCCCTTTCCTTCTTCCTGCCAAGACCAGGCCAGATGAGAGCCAGGTAAGACCTTAGGTCTGGCCAAGGCTCCCCTCCCTCAGCTTCCCACCATTCCTTCTCATACATGGGTCCTCACTCACCACTCTTCTCACATCTATGAAGTACCTGCTGCGTGCCAGGGACCAGGCTAGGGGCTGGGGATACACAGAAACAGAATGTGGCCTCTGCCCCCCCAGGGCTCACAGCTCAGGTTCTGTGATGATAGCCTCTAATATAAAGAATGATAGCCAGGCGCAGTGGCTCATGCCTGTAATCCTAGCACTTTGGGAAGCCAAGGCAGGCGGATCATGAGGTCAGGAGATCAAGACAATCCTGGCTAACATGGTGAAACCCCGTCTCTA